>NC_000017.11:14127474-14430504 GCF_000001405.40 Homo sapiens | reverse complement strand
AAAGTGGCAAGGGGACTTCTATAATGCAGTAAGTGTGAATTGCAGCAAGTTAAACAGAAGAAGTTTGAAGGAAAAGACAGAATGTAATACAGTCAAGACAACAGTATACAGATCAGAACTCCTCTTGCCCCGCTCTCCCGACTAAGGTGGAAGGACGTTCACTTGTTGAAGCAACATGGGGAGAAGAAAGGAGAAACCTTGTAGAAAGAGAGATGAGCAACTTGAAGTTGAAAATAGGTTTGTCCTAAGGGCTCAGATGGAAAGGCTGGGTTTAGAAAATGTAAGCAATTTCTGTGATCCCTGCAAAAAGAGAAGGCAGTTGTAGGAAATGGAAATTTACTGGGGTAAATGTGGACATAAGTGAAGGATCCAGTGCCCAAACCCCTGCCTTTTATATGAAGTAAAAAGCAAAGACTCTAAAGGTATGAGAAGAGTGACTTCAGAGAACTTGTTACAGGGCTTTCAAAAGGAACCAAGAGGGCTGGGCGCCGTGGCTCACGCCTGTAATTCCAGCACTTCGGGAGGACGAGGCAGGTGGATCACAAGGTCAGGAGATGGAGACCATCCTGGCCAACACGGTAAAACCCCATCTCTACTAAAAATACAAAAATTAGCCAGGCGCGGTGGTGCGCTCCTGTAGTCCCAGCTAGTCGGGAGGCTAAGGCGGGAGAATCCCTTGAACCAAGGAGGCAGAGGCTACAGAGAGCTGAGATCGTGCCACTGCACTCCAGCCTGGTGACAGAGTGAGACTCTGTCTCAAAAACAAACAAACAAACAAACAAACAAAAAACAAAAAAACAAAGCCAAGAAAAATGGACTTGGTCAAGTTGAAAGAATTGAAGGATTAGTGTCATCCATGACCAGAACCCCTATATGGAGCCAGGTCTAATGTAGTTCTTCAGAAGTTCTCTAGCCGAAGCCTGTGGAAGGCATGGTCCCAGCCTGGGACAGACACAGAGGGTATTATATTCTGTCCCTCTATGATCCAGTCTCTGATCCACAAGCTCTGGTTACATTTTTTTTTTAAGATGCAGGGTCTCTCTTGTCACCAAAGCTAGAGTGCAGTGGCATGATCAGAGCTCACTGTAGCCTCAAACTCTTGGGCTCAAGCAATCCTCCCACCTCAGCCTCCCAAGTAGCTAGGACTACAGACACACAGCACTGTGCACAACTATTTCATTTTATTTTTTGTAGATAAGTCGTCTTGCTCTGTTGCCCAGGCTGGTGCAAGCTCTGGTTTCTAAGCGGACTTTGAGGTCTTCTCTTAGGAATCATATCTTCTCTGAACTTCCTCATTTTGGCCTGTTCTTCATCCCTTCTATCTTGCTCTCCTATCCTTTATTCTGGAGTAATATAGGTGTGTGTGGCAGGAGGAGACACTCTGTCTCTCCCCACCTTCAGCCTTGGAAACTTCAGGGACAATGTTTCCAGAATAACAATGTATCTCCATGATGCTATAAGAAGAGATCAATATCAGCAAGAGAAATTCATTTGCCTGTGGGTGCTACAGAGTAAATAACAGGGAATGTGGAATAAAATGGGACTTCTCAAAACATTCGAGGTTCAGCAGCTTAGAAAAGAGAGACAAGAGCAGAAAACAAGAAGAGGAAGTGAGGGGGAGGGAAAGGGCTCCACCAGGGCCCCTGTGGGCCAGCCTGGGCATAGACTGAAAGGAACAATAAAGAAATGTCAAACCACCTGGACCCTGAGCATTTTCACAGAAGTAAATATCACATTTTTTGGAAACCATAAAGCACCTTTCTTCTCATATCATTTCATATGCCAGACTTTTAAATTTTAACATAAATTCAATTGATGCTTGCAAATGAATGTGTACCTCCCAGCTTTTATCTGGAGGCGGTGGGCATCACTCTTGGGGGAGGGGAAGCATTTTAATGGCATGCTTGAGTTCTGTCTGCAGTTCAGCACAAGCATCGTTCAGTTCCTCCTGGGTATTCGTCCCTGGGGATGTTCACGCCACTTCTTCTCTCCCGGCTCAGCTCCACACTTGTTTTGAAGTGTGCCTCAGCTGCCAACACCCTGCCCCCTAACAGAGCAAACTCAAACACACTAGAAACACACAGGAACTAACACAGGAAACCAAGCTCAGAGCACACGTGGTACAGGAAGGTATGGGATGCCCCGGTGCTTTCTCGAGCACAAAATCATACCTCAATGTCACTTAGCAAGAAAAAAGGCATGATTATGACAAAACACCATGGGCCCTCCGTGCATGTACCACTTTCAAAGGGAAACTTGGTCCAGAGACTATGGGTCTCAATATATCCAGCTAGGAACCTTAACACTGGCACAATGGACAATTTTTTTCTGCAGAGAACGAGAAACTGAGAAACTTAGGCTACCGTATGTGCCAGGGAGCCTCTTGCAGAACCAATGGAAACACTGAGTTTCAAAAAAGATCTGATTCAAGCCCAAACCCCTCGGTTAAAAATAACCTAGAAATCCTGGCATAGCTAAAGCCATCTCACATTCTGACTCTCCGTGAAAGTCAAAACCTGCTCATTGGCAGGGAGAATATTTCACCAAGAAGCGGCCCCAGGGAGCAGAACCAAGGCCTGGAAGCTGAAAATATAAGAGAAGAAATTTTAAGAAGAACCATTTAATAATTAGAACTGGCCTAAAATTGTGCTGTGTGAAGAGGATAAGCTTCCTGTCCCCAGCAGTGATGGAAGCAGAGGCTGGAGGTTAGAGATGATTCTTCTGAGCAAGGTGTGGGTGGGGACAAAGTCGGTCTGGAATGATTTACAAGGTCACCTCATTACAGTGCCCCCCACCCCTTTCATTTCTCATCCTAAATTTGGGGCAGTGGAGCATAGCGAAGGGAGATTTAGAGTCAGGTAAATCTGACTTTAAATCCCAATCCTATTTTTGACTGAGCACGTAAACTTACGCACTTCCTCTCTTCTCCTCCAGATTTCCTTATGTGAATGGTGGGATAATCCCCCTACACTGCAAGGTGTCATGATGAATAGATAAACCTTGCATGAGTGAACACTCCAGAAATATACTGGTAGCTATTGTCATTAGGCAAACGAGGCCCACATATGAGGACTCAGGCTGGACAGGACCCTGGAAATGATCCAGTTGGTCTTCTTCACTTTACAGTTCAGGAACTAAAACCTAAGGAGCATACATCATCTTCCCAAAATCTGACAATAAGTTAGTGGTGGAGTCAATATTATTAGCCAGTTCCATTTCTACCTCCCAATACCGTGTCTTCATTCTACCACTCAGCTTAGTTTCTGCCAGGAAACTCCATTCCAACAAGACCACTTCTGAAGCTCTGGGTATGACTTTTATCGAGGGCCGCTCTGTATACAGCTCAATGTGCCAGACACAAGGGAGACAATGATGAAAGGTGAGAGTCATACTCAGGAGGAGCTCATGATCCATTTACCTGGGAGCCAAACATGGTCATTTCAGCCCCTAAAGATGGAGAAGTGGCATACGGGAAAGAGAGCCTGAACCCCACAATCTCCAGAGATTACCACAGAGAATGCTGAAGTGGGCAGCCGTCTGGGACTTAGGTGGTGTTAACTTGAAGCCTGGACATTGCTTTTGCTTCTAGCCCAGGGTCTCATGAGACATGCTTACAACACTGGCCACAGCCCTGGAACATCCTAATTGACAGAATCCTCCTACATTCCAGGAGGTATCCATAGGACGACAGCATTAGTTGTAAAATTGGACATGCAGGCATGTGTACATCTGGTTTTGATGCTGTTGTTGTTATTTTTTCAACCAACATTCTGCCTTGCCTGCTCTTTTTGGGTCCCAGCATAGGGTACCAAAGCTGCATTCCTTCATGTCATCCACTTGCATCATTTCCATGATCCTTCCATGACCCTTTAAATAATCTTCCAACAACTTCCTGTCCCCAAAAAGGAACTTGCTCCACCAACCAAATGTTAAGGAGGCATCATAATCAGAGCATTGGGAGCATGCACTTAGCCACTCATCTATATCGAGGGGGTGTTGTCATCCTTGGATCTGTTTTTGTACAGGTGATGGCGCTTGGCCAAGACATTTTTATTCAGTGTGCTTCAGTTTCCTCATTTGTAAGCAAGGAGAATAAGACTAAGTCCTAAGTTGTGAAAAAATGCACCAAAGAGTCCCAGCGTTCCACACAGTGCTTCAGATACCTGCTCAGAGGCTGGAAGGTACCAGAAATGGGGTTCGTTGTACCCAATTCTCCTGTTTCCACCTCATCAGTCTCACTTCTGCTCTCATCTTTTAAATATTGGTTTTCTATGTAGGATTCTAACTGAAGAAAGTGTTCCAGTGCTTTAAAAAGTTTCAAAACCTCTAAACCCAGTGTTCCCTAAGGACTCTTCAATCTGAAATCTCTGACTTTGATATTCCATTCTTCACAGAGGACATGAATTCATGCTGGCGGCCACCCTGATCTAAGCCCAGCATAAGAAGGCTTTTTATTTGTGAAGTCAAAGTTAAAAGATTGATTTGTGTATGTGTGTGTTTGTGTGTGTGTGTGTTTGACAATACTTGAAGTGAATCAAAGCTTTCAAATGTTAGCATTCTTGTTACCAGATTGTAATGGTTGCCTCCCCTTTTAATTTTAATTTTAATTTTAATTTTATTTTATTTTTTATTTTTTGAGACGGGAGTTTTGCTCTGTCGCCCAGGCTGGAGTGCAGTGGCACAATCTCGGCTCACTGCAAGCTCCGCCTCCCGGGTTCACGCCATTCTCCTGCCTCAGCCTCCTCAGTAGCTGGGACTACAGGCGCCCGCCACCGCACCCGGCTAATTTTTTGTATTTTTAGTAGAGACGGGGCTTCACCGTGTTAGCCAGGATGGTCTCGATCTCCTGACCTCATGATCCTGCCTCGGCCTCCCAAAAAGCTGGGATTACAGGCATGAGCCACCGCGCCCGGGCACCTGCCCTTTTTAAAGGAAAGAGTGGAGAGGGTTCTTCAAATCAAAAACTTTTATTTACCCAACAGTAACAATGCCACCTTTTATAGAGTTACCAGCAGAATGCCTTATAGGAAATCCTTTTATCTGATTCTATCACCTGATAGCACCTTCTCTGATCTTTCAGAGTTCTCCCATTTTATTTTCCTTATCCATTTTTGGTCCTCATTTACTTCAAGAGTATAAACTTGCAACACTTCATTGTTTCCATTCAGAGAGACAGATTTCAAATGGAAAGTGTTGCATCTGATTTCAGATAGTGTGTGTGTGTTTGGCCGTTCTTTATGAAAAGAGCCTAAGGCTAGGCACGGTGGCTTACACCTGTAATCCCAGCACTTTGGGAGGCTGAGGTGGGCGGATCATTTGAGGTCATGAGTTTTGAGACCAACCTTGCCAACACAGTGAAACCCCATCTCTACTAAAATAGAAAAATTAGCCAGGCATGGTGGTGCAGGCCTGTAGTCCCAGCTACTCAGGAGGCTGAGGCAGTAGAATCACTTGAAATGGGGAGGCAGAGGTTGCCAGCGAGCTGAGATTGTGCCATTGCACTCCAACCTGGGTGACAGAGCAAGACTCCATCTCAAAAAAAAAAAAAAAAAAAAAAAAAAAAAGGAGCTTAAAATTCCTCTAAAACTCTTACAACTCATTCCTCCTCCTTATTTGGAATGTGATTTGAACAAGGTCTTGTTGGATTTTTTATTTCCCCTTAGGTTAGGAAAAATGACAATATAGCCATGTGCAAAATGTTAGTGGAAAAGGAAGAAATGATGGAGTTTTGGGAGGTGGAAAGCATTGGCAGAGGTAATGCAAATGATGAGAAGGGAAATGCAAAGGATGAGACAGGAAATGCAAAGGATGAGACAGGAAATGCAAAGGATGAGACAGGAAAGGTAAATGATGAGACAGGAAAATTCAAGTAGAGCTTTGAAAACCAGGACAACATCCTATTCATCTTTCTATTTGTGTCCCACAAGATACTTAGAAAACAGTCTCAGTGCGACTGAACATCATACTTGTAAAGCAAAGATTTGTTAAACTTTCTCCTGCATAACCCTCTACTTATCTACTTCATCCCTATAACTAATAGGAGGTATAGACATCTCCCAAGGATAACAAACCAACACGAAATTTAACTGCATAAATTTGAAAGAAGCTCTTGATTTTTTGTATGTGTGTGCAGTGCAAACACTTGCTATCACACCTATGATTCTCTCCTCTTTCTCTCCTGTAAACTCAGTGTTCTCTCTCATTTGGAATTGATACTTACTCAAGTACTCAAAAACTGTCTCTTTATAGACATAAATTGACCTGAGTTTGGATCCTACCTATTTCTTAGCTTTTGAATAGGAGTATATTGCAGAGATTATACCTACAAAGACATAAGTTGGTTAATTGGTTATTTAGATTATAAGTTGGTGGGGGTGAGGGGTTTGCAAGATTTATATTTTGAAAAGTACACTAGCTATAGTGTAAACAAGTTGGAAGGAAGTCAAAGACGCAGGATGAAGTTAGGAATTTATTGCAGTGGTCCAGATAAGAAATTATGATAGTTTGGATTAGTGAGGTGGCAGTGAAGAAAGAATAAGATGGATGGGATTGGGGTATATTTAGTAAGTGAAAAATAATGTGATTTGATGATGAATCACACATGAAAAATGAAGAAGAAGGTGGTATCAAGGCTGACTCTCTGATTTCAGTCTTGTGCAATTAACTGTATGCATAATGTTGTCATTCTCTAAGATCTTTAGAGTGGACTGAGTTTAGAGGAAAGGGGAGAAGATAGAAGATCAGGAGGTTAGAGGAAACAGAAGAAGATCAGGAGTTTTGTCACAGGTCGGGGAGGGTCCTACTGACATCTAATGGGTAGAAGTCAGGGATGATGCTTAACACCCTACATTGCCCAGGACAGCCTCCACAGCAGAGAATTACATGGACTCAAATGTCAATAGTGCTGGTCGGGTGTGGTGGCTCATGCCTGTAATCCCAGCACTTTGGGAGGCCGAGGCGGGTGGATCATGAGGTCAGGGATTCGAGACCAGCCTGACCAACACAGTGAAACCCCATCTCTACTAAAAATACAAAAACTAGCTGGGCATGGTGGCATGTGCCTGTAATCCCAGCTACTCAGGAGGCTGACACAGGAGAATGGCTTGAACCCGGGGAGGCAGAGATGGCAATGAGCTGAGATCATGCTACGGCACTCCAGCCTGAGTGACAGAGCGAGACTCCGTCACCAAAAAAAAAAAAAAAGTCAATAGTGCCACACGATTGGAAAACCTTTCCACAAAGGAATACAAAGCACTGGAATTAGTGACTATTAATGCAGTAGAATTTTTATAATATCTCTCCATTTATTTTTATTTTCTTTTATTTATTTGATTTGATTGCCAAAGTTATATGTATTTATTATATACAACATGTTGCTTTGAAACTTGTACATACTGTGGAATGGCTACATTAAGCTGAGTAACATATGCATTACCTCACATACTAATCATTTTTGTTGTGAGAACGCTTAAAATCTACTCTCTTGGCAATTTCCAAGAATGCAATACATTGTTATTAACCATAGTTCCCGTGTGAAACAATAGCTCTCTTGAACTTATTCCTCCTGAAATGTTGTGTCCTTTGACCAACATCTTCCCAACCCTCCAACCCCTTAAGACCCCTGGTAACCACCATTCTACTTCCTGCTTCTGAGTTCTTTTTCACACTCCACATGTAAGTCAGATCATGTAGTATTTTTCTTTCCATGTCTGCTTTATTTCATTTTCCATAACGTCCTCTAGTTTCATCCATGTTGTCCCAAATGACAGGATTTCCTCCCTTTTTTTTTGAAAGCTGAATATAATTTGCTTAATGTTTACAATTTGAAGCAATTGATGAGGTTGAAAAGAGATTGGATATTCAGGAGATACAGAACCACCTAAATTATAAGATTCCTGCGAAGGAGAAAGGAGATGGGGTCTAAAGCACATGTGAGGAATTGATCTCTTTCAGAAAGAAAAACAGCTCCTCTATGGAATAGGCAGGAAGGAGGACCAGATGGGTACAGATGCTGTTATGTTAGTGAGTTTGGTAGCAGGATTTGGGGGTGTGGAGTGGGGGGAGTGGCCTTATGTGACAGTGTCTATTATCTCTGTGAAATATGAAATAAAGGCATCCGTTGATGGGTAGGAAAGTTGGGCATTTAAGGAAGCTAGAGAAGATCTGGAATGGTCATTGTGGATTGCTGGACTATAGATTGACCAGAGATATCTGAAGGATTCTGGCACTGTGGTGCCCATTCAGAATGGATGCTCATGAATATATGATGGTACAATCTGCTCTGTTGTGTTTTTCTCCAGCTGCTTAAATACAAGAAGAGAGACAGCACACAGTGTGGGTTGCTCTGGGAATGGTCTTCGGCCAGATGGGGTCTGACAAAAGCCCAAAGGGGCGAGGGAGTTTAGGATTTTGGCAGTACTATCGCTGAAACAATGGACCCTGAAATCTAACCTGGACAGGTAGAAAACTAAAGAAAGGGGACGGCTGAAGGATGGGGCAAATTGAAGATAAAGAAGCTAGAGGTCACAGTGAAATCAAGATCTATTTCAATGGTTGCAATTAAAAAGCCAAGAACGTGGCCAGGCTCAGTGGCTCATGTCTGTAATCCCAGCACTTTGGGAGGCTAAGGCAGGCAGGTCATCTGAGGTCAGGAGTTCAAGACCAACCTGGCCAACGTGGCAAAACCCTGTCTCTACTAAAAATACTAAAATTAGCCAGGCATGGTGGCAGGTGCCTGTAATCCTAGCTATTCAGGAGGCTGAGGCTGGAGAATTGCTTGAACCTGAGAGGTGGAGGTTTCAGTGAGCTGAGATCATGGCACTGCACTCTAACCTGGGCCAACAGAGCGAGGCTCCGTCTCAAAAATAAATAAAGAAATAAAAATAAAGCCAAGAAGGAAAAGAAGGAAGCTGTGGTCAGAAATGGGGTGCCTTGCATTAATGATACTGGAGGTGATGCTATGATACAGAGTGGACGAGGAGTCACAGCAATCTCTGGAGATAAGAAGATTAAAGACCAAAAACTTCAGTGTGTTACATAAAGTATGATTGTTACATGGAATTTATTTTCTTTGTTTTTTTTGTTTTTTTTTTTTTTTAGTAATTTAGAAAGGATACATCCTGTTTGTATTTCCAGTTATCTTTATCAAGAGTTAAATAATATCCCTCTTGGGAATAATGAGGAAATAAGTGTTTTCTCCTACCATTCTATCTCCTTCATTTCTATTTTTGTGCGGCAAAACATTAGGTTCAAATTATTATAATTAGGCCATTTTTATACTATAAATATCCTCTTCCAAGAGTTGCGTTTTACACTTTTATTCTGTTTTATAATTATATGTAAAACAATCATCTAGACTTAATTTTCTTTATACTTGTTTCAGTGGTCACTGATGTGACTCTCACATCCCACAGCTCTGTATTTAGATTCATTCACTGTCAGTTAAATCAGGTCTTCGAGGGCTTTGTTTAAAAGGTTATAACAGTGAGTTGCACATCTAAGAACATTTCTTCCATTACCCTTTCACTTGAACAACTTCCTAAATATAGGATTCTTAGAATGCAGTCTTTTTCCCTTGAAGCTCTGTTGGTACTATTTTATTTCTCCTGCTATTAGACATTGCAGAGGAGAATTTTGAATGCAGTTTGATTTTTGTTCCTGTGGAGTCAACATGCTTTTCTGTCCAAATGCCTCTTGGAATTTTTTTCTCGATCTTCAGTTCACGAAGATAGGTCTAATAAGTATTGGTCTCTTTCAATAAATTTGCTTGATTCTTTGTGAGCCTTTTAGATGTTCAGACTTAGGTTCTTGTCTGTCCAGAAAAAGTTCCTGTAATAATTTCTAAATATCTAGAATAGATAATAATAATCATAGATCATAATAAAAATATTCATATTAACAATAACAATCACAACAATTAAAATAGTTCTCTTAATTTAGTTTTCCCCCACCCCAAGTCATCCTAAAAGCAGGATTACAAAGACTTAAGTGTAATCAGTATATTTGGCATATGATTTCACAAGCAGGGAAAGAGACAGGCAGAAAGGATAAATGCCTACACAGTGCATGATATTAGCTCATTACCCTTGTGGGTAGCTCAAATCAGTCCTGACAGAGACCATCTGAGAAACCCTCTAGAATGCACCTCCAATGGGAAGACACGAGGCGGGGCATTTACGTACAACTACAGTACTCCCCAATTTCCTATCTGCATCTAGGCACAATGTGATAAAATTCTTGATGCTTTGGACATGGCCCTGCAGGCTCTTGAGGTGGAATCGGGGATCAGGGAGGCCATGGATGTTCTCTAGAACTGTCCTCCAGAGCTGCAGTTAAACCCAGAGGGGGGAAGGGGACTGTAGAGCTAGACACCAATAGCATCTGATACACCAGCCAACCTTTCCTCAGCTCTTCTGATGTGCTAGGCAGTGGTCAAAGCACTGTGCATGAATTAACTCCTTTATTCCTTATGATAACCCAATGAGGCAGGTAGAAAACAATTTGTTTTTAAGTTGTCTTTATACAAACTCTTCTGAGTTATTATTCCTTTTTCAAAAGAGGTCCTAGAGCCCCTAGACCCCTAGGACAGTTTTCATTACTTCCCAATCCTGCCTAGATTACATTATTGATCATCTGAAACATTCTTTCTTCATCACCTACAGCTTCATGTACCACTGTTCTCTCACTAAACCCACGCAGCAAGACTATAATCCCACAATCTGCCTCCTCAGCTCCATTACTGAGCTGCTAAATATTATGAAAAAAATGAAAAAAATATCAATGAACAATTGTCATTTCCAGACTCCAAGTTCAACTGGACATTCAGGATGATCCAATATACCATTTACTTTTCCTCACGCAGCTTTGCTCCTTTTCCATTAGCAATCTACAAAATGTTTACACCTAACTCATGCCCTCCACCAAAACTTAACTTTCCACTTTAAAAACTTTGCCTCCTACTTCACCAAGAAAACTGAGACCATCGACCTCAACTGTTAGATTTATAGCAAATCTACACATTCAACCCCCACATTAAGTGAATGATCTGACTCTTCTCTTTATTAAAGTCAACTTCCCCTCTCCTCCATATCCGTGATTGTGTCTCCTCTCTGTTCTAGCTGATCTCCTACATCAATTATCTATTCTTATCTTATATCATCGCCTTCTCCCTATATCCTCCTATTTTTTCAATATGCTCAATTTTCTCTTATGCTTATAAAATCCCTTTCTTGACACTGTGTCTACCTTCTATATCATCCTAACTCTCTTCTCCTTTCAGCCGGATTTTTGGAAGAATAATCTATATTTAAACATCATTCAGATCTGACCATTGATCTGTGCATTCCACTGAAACTGCTCTCAATGAATATCTCTATATTGCCAGATATCGAAATGCAAATTTCTCTTGGCTTCAATGACACAAACCTCTCCTGGTTTTCTTTCTACATCACTGATTATTCCTCCTTCTCAGGATCCCTTGCTGGTTCCTTCCTTGTCCAACTTCTAAATATTGGAGGGCCTTAGGACTTGATTCTCAGGTGAGGGGTATGTTCTAAATTCTAAGCATTGATACAACTATAGCAGTATTAATACAGTCAACCCTTGAACAATCTGGGGGCTAGAGGTCCCAACCAACCACACACAGCCAAAAATCCATGTATAACTTGACTCCCCCAAAACTTAACTACTAATAACCTACTGTTGACCAGAAGCCTTTCAGATGACATAAACAGTCAATTAACACATGTTTTGTATGCTACATGTGTACTATATTCTTACAATAAAGTAGGCTAGAGAAAAAAAAGTTATCAAGAAAATCCTAACGAAAATAAAATATATTTACTGTTTATTAAGTGGAAGTGGATTATCATGAAAATCTTCATCCTTGCTATCTTCATGTTAAGTAGGCTGAGGAGGAGGAGGAGGCGGCATTGGTCTTGCTGTCTCAGGAGTAGCAGAGGCAGAAGAAAATTCACATACAAGTGGACCTGTGCTGTTCAAACCTGTATTGTTCAAGGGTTGACTACACTGACTTTTTACTACAAACACACCAGAATTCATTTTTCTATATGAATGTTTTCACCATTTTACACACTTGCTAATCTTCCAATTAGTAAAGTATTAAGAATCACCTTCAGAAATACCCACAAAGCACACAAGAAAAACATTGCCTTCTGTAACAGCACATTTTCTTAAGAACAAAAATCGTATTATCTACTTTATTTACTAGACTTAGCTTGAAATGATTTTGTCAGCTTTCGAAACTCAAACCCACCCTTAAAAGATTAAAATCTCCCATCATCAACATTATTCCATAGAATGGACCATACATAGCCTCTGAAGTTCACAAAGAGTTTCACTAATTTTCTGGACAAGTAAATGATTTTAAAATATGTGAATAATAATTGGAGGACAGTTCTATCAGATATTTTAACATATTGACTTTTAAAGTCTCCATGAAAAACATCTTAAAAATATGTCACATCTTGTGGTATCACAACCTACAACTAACATAGTGCCAGAGCCCAGAAAGTGATCAATAAATTTGTGTTACATAAGGTCATTGTATTAATTTTGAATCCTTCCTTGTATAGAATTTGTGGGAGACACTGGGTTGGGATAACAGATTTTTTTTAAAGGTATGTTAAATTAAATTAAATATAACCTAAAGCAAACTGCAACCTAAGTATGCAAACAGGTTGTAACCTAACTTAAGAGCATATTCTTGTAACAAGTTGCTGAGTCTCAGCCAATCACAGACTGCCAACTGATCAGCTCATATTTACATAAGGCAAATACTTTATCACACCATGTCGAAATAAGGTATAGCACAAGCTGTAACAAAGCAATCAAGCTGTTTCTGTATGACACTTCCTTTTTCTCTCTACAAATATTGCCTGCTCACTGGTAGGCTGTACTGCCAGGTGGAGCTCTCTGAACCTCTACTGGTTCTGAGTGCTGCCCAATTCATAAATTGTTCTTTGCTTGAATAAACTGTCTTGAATTTAATTTGTCTACAGTTTTTCCTTTAACAGTTGGTCATTAGAAGTGGGACTGGAAGTAGACCTCCAGCAAACTCCAGGAGCACAGAGTGACCAAGCAAAGGTGTTCACAGGGCCCATTGTGACCACTGATTTCTCTCAGCAACTGGGGTCATGGAAGAGTTGTCTATCTCTCCAGTTGGAGTTCCACAAACCTAGGCTTTGACCTCTTTCAAAAGAATTTATTTGAGCATTTTAAGTGTAGACTATGTTTGAAAGTTGCCATAGAAACAGAACCGGGTTCTGTAGCAAGGCCTCAGGTTTCCAACTAGGTGAGAGAGAAACTGAATTGGGTTCATTAGGTAAGTAATGTTACTTAAAGATAGGGAATCATGGGTTGGTCTGGATAAAAGGGGCCAGAACTTCTCTATCTGGAATTCCAGCTAATTTCATGTATAAGAACTATGGGCCCAGAACCTGGAGAAATGTGTGAGCTTTACCAAAGGTAGCTTAGAGTTACAGTGGCCACAGTGGGGAATAATGCTTATAAAGGACAAGCAGGCACATACCTTTACAGTTATAACAGCTACAGGGACCAAGAGGACCTCCTCATACATATTTTAAGCCCAAACAGAGAAATAGAGAAATCCTATACTAATGAACCCTATGCCCCAAGATGTTTGTCCTTATTGTAAATAACCAGGCCATTGAAAAATAAATTGTCCACCTTTATACCAGTTATATGATGTACCTATTCCCTTTGCCCTGGACTATTTCCCCACTAGAGGTATTCCCTCAAGGACTTCACTCCTGGGACAATGATCAACCAATATCTCAGAGAGAAAAAATAATATTCCTGTGGAGAGGTTTTTCAAATCAAGTTCTAAAGATCCCTCTTTCAATCGGACACTTGGATCATTAAAATGTATACATGAACTAGTCCTCTGTCTTTTCTCATTTTGATTCTGCTTCTTCAATAGAAACCTCTGAATCAACTGAAGCCCCTCCTCTTAAATACCTGCTGACCATATGCTTTGCCAAATATGTCTACCTCTTTCCCATTGTCATTATCTTTGCTATGCTCTAAAATGCTTTACTGAAGAAAAATACACAACTAATTGGTCCATCAGTCAATCTTGAAAACAAACAAACAAACATAGAAAGGATGAACCAATCTCTGACCATAAAACAAGATTAGAAGTATCCATGCTTTCTTACCTATTGAGTACAACGTTTACTATTCAGATGATGGGTACTCTAGAAGTCCAGACTTCCTCACTATACAATATATGCATTTAAGTAAGAAACTTGTGCTTGTACCCCCTAAATGAGAGAAAGAAAGAACAAAAGAAAGAAAAAGAAGAAATAAAAGAAAGAAGACAAAAGAAAGAAAGAAAGAAGACAAAAGAAAGAAAAAGAAAGAGACAAAAGACAGAAAGAGAAAGAAAGAAAGAAGAAAAAAGAGAGAAAGAAAGAAAGAAAGGAGGGAGGGAGGGAGGAGGGAGAGAGGGAAGGAGGGAGGGAGGCAGAGAAAAAGAAAGAAGGAAGGAAAGAAAAGAAGAAAGAAAGAAAGAAAGAAAGAAAGAAAGAAAGAAAGAAAGAAAGAAAGAAAGAAAAAAGAAAGAGAGAGAGAGGGAGGGAGGAAGGAAGGGAAGGAAGGAAGGGAAGGGAAGGGAGAAAAGGAAGGAAAGGGAGGGAGAGATGGAGGGAGGAAGGGAAGGAGGGAAGGAAGGAGGGAAGGAAGGAAGGAAGGAAGGAAGGAAGCTGAGTCCAGGCATTCAAAGTGCTTGTTTTTTTGTACTGGCACATGGCTAAAATTTTAGAATGAAAACTATAAGATCTGTTTCTGTTTATATGTTTGTCTGTATGTATAATATATATGTGATATTTTTCTATCTCCTTATGATATCATCAAAATTAAATTGTAAAAGAGCCCTATTTATTTGGCTTAAAGAAAATTAAGTGCTTATATAAATTAAGTATTCTCTTGGAAAAATAAGAACTAGCCCAGATGCTTTCAAGTTCATTCGACTTGGGTAATTTTTGGTAAATAAGAATATTGTTAGTTTTATTATAACAGGCTTATCTTCAGAGTCATCACCATTAAATACAACACAAACACACAACTTTTTAATTAGGTTTGCTGGAAATAAGCTTCTGTTATCTCTATATTACACTTTTTTTTAATGTTTTGTGTTAAATTCTTCTCAATTTCCTTTTATTAGCCTACAGTGGTAATTATCAAATGAATATACTGTGGTATTGTTAGCTATTCCCTCACTGATGTTTATCACTTTATCATGAGTACTACTGCAATGAACATTTCTGTTTTCTTGTTGTTGTTGTTGCTGTTGTTTTTGTTTTTTTTTTTTTTTTTGAGACGGAGTCTCGCTTTGTCGCCCAGGCTGGAGTGCAGTGGCTCGATCTCGGCTCACTGCAAACTCCGCCTCCCGGGTTCACGCCATTCTTCTGCCTCAGCCTCCAGAGTAGCTGGGACTACAGGCGCCCGCGACCATGCCCGGCTAATTTTTTGTATTTTTAGTAGAGACGGGGTTTCACCTTGTTAGCCAGGATGGTCTCGATCTCCCGACCTCGTGATCCGCCCGTCTTGGACTCCCAAAGTGCTGGGATTACAGGTGTGAGCCACCGTGCCCGGCCTTCTATATTACAACATTTATCAGCAAGAAAAAAAACATAAGATGATGTCTAGCTGTTTAATGTCTCATATTTATGAGAAATCCAAGCATAATTATTAAAAAGAAACAACAAGTGAGTTAAATAGATGTAAGTAAGTTACACTTCCCAGGTGAAAGAGGTTCTCCCTACACTAAAAGTTTCTAACATTCTTATCAAGAATGGAAAGTTGACACTGAGGAAAGTCTATACAAACAACAATTTAATTTTCAGGCCTAGAAAAAAAAAAACTAAGAGGATAGAGACAGACTTTTGCCTCCTCTACAAAAAATTTCTTATTACAGAGAGACTAAAACTATCTGAGACTGTTAGTAAACATGCTCTGTGCCACACTAACAAATTGTACTGTAAGAAAGCACATGCGGGCCTGGCGCGGTGGCTCACACCTGTAATCCCAGCACTTTGGGAGGCCGAGGCAGGAGGATCATCTGAGGTCAGGAGTTTGAGACCTGCCTGGCCAACGTGGGGAAACCCTGTCTCTACTAAAAAAATACAAAAATTAGCCATGCATGGTGGTGGGCACCTGTAATCCCAGCTACTCAGGAGGCTGAGGCAGGAGAATCACTTGAACCTGGGAGGGGGAGGTTGCAGCCGAGATCATGCCACTGCACTCTAGCCTGGGCAACAGAGCAAGATTCCGTCTCAAAAAGAAAGAAAAGAAAACAAAAAAGAAAAAGGACATGCTCCTAGATATCTTCTAGATATTATGGTTCAAAATTGCTGGTGTGACAGATAGTTCACAATTATTTGCACCATGGTGTTCACTGGAACATAGGGGTAAAACATTCTAATTAATATATGTAAATAAAATCACTAGTAATAATAAGAGAAACAACTCTATATGCAAGTATACAAAGAAGGTAATATATGCTTTTCATAATAAAAACTATAAGTTATGAGGATGTTCTGTTTTGTTAAGGCAAAAAGAGAGTAATTTTTATCCTAAATTAGAATGACTGGTTATTTCAAAATGAGAAAGAAGAAAAGCATAGGACAAAAAAGTGAAGGGTAAGAAAATTGTAGAAGGTTTATGGAAGATGAATCCTTTGAAAGAAATTTTATGTGTGGTCAAACTGGCTAATCAAATAAGTAGAAGAGAATTATTTATTAGTTTTTCTTAAACTCAAGCATTAATATCAAAAGTACACTAACACAAAACTAGAAGTTCATCCTTTCTGTTAAAAAAACAAGGTTTTCTTGGAGTATTGGTTTGCTCTTAATAGGAAAATGTGAAAGGATTTCTTAATCTTTTAGGTAATTGGCCTAGGAGAAAAGATTCTGTGTCTTACTATGATATTTCCTCCACTTCATGATGTATTTATTAGGATTTGGATCATGTAAGAAAACTGAGTCCTCTCTATTAAAAGAGCTAAGGTTTTTCTGTGGCTACGTAATTTTCTGTTTTTGCCTTTGACGTCTTTACTTATCACTCTGGTTAAGTGAATGCCTATTGTTTCAAGTGACTTGTCATCCTATTTTGATGAAGTGTTTTAAGTCCTTGATATTTTTGACAAATGTCCTAAAATCAAATTCTAAATTAAATCTTTTTCTTGACCTTAAGTTAATTTTAAGAATTTTCAGATGGCCCTTGGAGCATCTTAAAATAATATCTTTCCTTACATTAAGAGAGATATTAAACAGATTTGGCTTATTTGATATATGAAATTGTATAGAAAGCATTATCAAATAATAAGTAATGCTAAACCTCACTTAAGTTATATTGGTATGGATTATTAACATGCATTCCAGAAATTGTATGAAATCTCTAGAAATCTGATCATACCACTGGATTGGGTAAGAATTCACAGAACTCTAATGAAAAAAATGGATTGGTTTCATAGAACTGTTAAACCAACATCAAGCACAACAAGAATTAATTGAATACCAAGGAAATGATTTGGCAGGTTTTCATGCTATGTCAGGCAGTACTGGAATTGTTAACATATGTGATTTGAAGAAACTCCATCAAATTGATCCAAGTCAAATTACCTATGATAACCTATTTAATAAACAGTGGTATGCACCTGAATTGGAGAAACAAAACTGGAATGTAAGAGGATGTAAATTCAGTGTTAAGCATGGACTCATGGGGAGCCTGGACAGCCACCTGTTCCTTCCTGAGTCCTTAAAACTTCCATTATTAAAAGCACTCTAGGCTGGGCGCGGTGGCTCACGCCTGTAATCCCAGCACTTTGGGAGGCCGAGGTGGGCGGATCACGAGGTCAGGAAATCAAGAACTTCCTGGCTAACACGGTGAAACCCCATCTCTACTAAAAATACAAAAAATTAGCTCGGCGTGGTGGCGAGTGCCTGTAATCCCAGCTACTCTGGAGGCTGAGGCAAGAGAATGGCGTGAACCCGGGAGGCAGAGCTTGCAGTGAGCCGAGATTGGCCAGTGCACTCCAGCCTGGGTGACAGAGCGAGCCTCCGTCTCAATAAAAAAAAAAAAAAAAAAAAAAAAAAAAAAAAAGCACTCTATGACTCATCGTGAAGCGACAAAATAAAAAAAATTTAAAGTTGGTGGGATGATCATTCTAAAATGGTTTATAACCCATGTTTGATTTGTCAAACCTGTAATTCTGATAAGACAACAACAACTTTCAGGTGATGCATTTCCAGTACCTGCTCAATAATTTGAACACTTACAGATGGATTTCCTTCAATTGCTACTTTTAATACATGTTTTCTGGTTGTACAGAAGTTTTTTCATTCAGAAAGACGATGCTACATTAGTAGCTAAAAGGTTATCCAAAAATGTGTTTTACTTATGAGGCATTCCTGAAGAAATCTAATAATAAAGGTATTTATTTCAATGGACAAGTTATACAGCATTTAAATAAGGTACTACAAGTACAATGGCATCAGGCAAAGCTAACTGAATTGATGAGATTGCCTTGGTTAAAGGTATTAGTGATTGATGGCAATCAGATCTACCCCCAGTGGAAAACACAGATAGGCCCCTTATGAAAGTTACTGGAAGGCCAATGCTTCTAATGATAGAACCCCATGTGTCTCCTTCTCATAAACTCTGACATGACTCAACATTGCAAGGTTGTAATGCATTATGCCAAAGTATATTTTCACCAGGTAAAAGAAGCCTTTTGTGATCCACCAACTGATGCCAACCAGACCTGTCAGAATCCGGAAGATTAGGTCTTTTTAAAAAGACACGGGAAAAAGACCGTCCTTGAATTCCACTGGAAGGGACCATACCAAGTACTTCTCTACAGAAAAACTTCAGGGCCTCACATCTTGGATCCACATCTCTCAACCCAAGAGGACCCCTCAAAACTCTTGGAACTGTATACCCAATGGGGGTCTCAAGGTAAAACTGAGTAGGGAGGTTTCTTCTCAGAAGCAAATGGCATCCCAGGTGTGGACAGCTTTTTCAAGATCACAAATCAAGACTTCTCTTCTCTGTCACCATGAAACGTTTATTCCTGTTCCTGTTTTTTTTCTGTTTATACACGACAAAATCATATAATATTGAAGATTTCATAATCAACAGTTTCTATAAGAAACTTAATATCGGATATATCATATGAAACCTAAATTTGTACATGATTTTATAGATTCTCTGGTTCAGCTTGTAACAAATTGCACTAATATTCCAAGTTTGACTATTTGTTCAAATTGTACCCTTTCTAGAGGGTTAGGTTTTTCGATTCATGCATTCAAATCCTTTATCTAAATCTAAGAGTAGATAATACCTGAGAATTTTGAAATTTGCAGCTAAATTATAGCATAAGAAAGCCAAGAGAAAGATAATCTAACAGTTTGTAGACCAATGTATAACTCTTATCCCTTAATTGTTGGTACCCTCCAACCATGAAATGATTCAACAATGGAGCTTTAGAAAAATATTACTAGTGCTTCCTTTTTGGTGACCCCTAATGCACAAGATGTCCCACAGAAACTGTCTTTTGTATCCCTTTAGAACATATTTTTATCTGTGGAAGATTTTAATAACCAACTATATGTGTGGGCAATTCTGTGTCTCAATAGTGGAAAATAAGGGGCCAATGTGGATTAAGTATTTTAACAGTATCACTGTCACTCCATAGCCTATTGGAAACAGAACACTAGTCTACACCTCTGAGTTTGCACTGTGGAATAAAGACAAATTTGCCAGCCCTCATAAATCTCTCTAAGTGGACATCATTTGGTAGAATGCTCCTTCCCTGGCTTGGTATAAATGTCAATAAAGCTATGATGAGAAATCTGTCTCCAACATTAGCTACTATAGCTGTTCTACTACACAGGCTACAGTTGGCCAGCAAGCTTCTTTAAATTCTCTTGCTAAATTTGTTTTAGATGACATGATTGCTTCAGACTAGGAGTGCATGCAACTGATAGAAACTCAGTTGAAAGAACTCAGCAAACAAACTACTTAGTTAAAATTACTCATCTGGGTCAGTTTTGATGTATTTGATTTTGATTGGTTTGATCTGTGGGGGGTCCTCTTAAGGAATATATTTCAGTCTCCCAGTATTGTTCTCAAAATAGCCAGAATAATAGTTTCTTTCTTGCCTCATAACCTCTGAAGAGAGTCTTAAATGCTTGTATGCAGCATAAACTGGTCTTACTACAGTTAAAATAATGAAGACACAAGAACATAAGGAATCATGCAACTGACTTGATGTCATAAATTGTGAATTTGTACTGAGACCAAACAAGTCCATAATGATGACACAGTGGCATCAATGCCCAAAGTTGGGTCAATCTCTCAAAATTGAGATGCTTATCAAAAGGGGAAATTTTCAATTTAATTATATTTGGTCTAAAGCTGCCTCCATATGTAGCAAACTGCAACCTGACTGATATGGTTTGACTCTGTGTCTCCACCCAAATCTCATCTTGTAGCTCCCATAATTCCCATGTGTTGTGGCAGGGACCCAGTGGGAGATGATTGAATTTTGGGGGCAGGTCTTTCCCATGCTGTTGTCATGATAGTGAATGGGTCTTACAAGATTTGATGATGGTTTTAAAAATGGGAGTTGCCCTGCACAAGCTCTCTTTTTTGCCTGCTGCCATCCTCATAAGATGTGACTTGCTTCTCCTTGCTTTCCTCCATGATTGTGAGGCCTCCCCAGCCATGTGGAACTGTAAGCCCAATAAACCTCTTTCTTTTGTAAATTGCCCAGTCTCGGGTATGTCTTTATGAGCAGCATGAAAACAGACAAATACACTGACTTAGTATGCAAGCACATTGCAACCTAACAAGAGTATATTCTTGTAAAAAGTTGCTGAGTCTTAGCCAATCACAGCAGCCAACTTCAGCCAGTCTCAGGCTGCCAACTGATTGGTCCACAACCATAACCATAACCATGCCTCATCACACCATGCCCACATCAGGTCAACACAGAGCTATAGTCAGTCAAGCTGTTTCTGTATGTCACTTCCTTTAGTTGTCTATAAATACTACCTGCCCATGTTGCTGAGTGGAGTTCCCTGAACCTTTCCTGGTTTGTTCATGACAATTCAGGCCCAATTCATGAATTGTCTTTTGTTCAAATAAATATAAAGTCAACTGAATTTAATTTGTCTGACCTAAATTTTAAAAATGAATTTTTCTACTTTTCATTTGCAAGATGACTTTTGTATTAAATTCTAAAATTGAAGATCAGAAAATGACTAAGTGGGCTTGTCTCACCTATCATCCATGCAGCTCTGAGCAAGTTAATATCTCTGGGTCTCAATTCTGTTATCAGAAAGTAAGAAATAAATTGCAGTACTTTTGCAGTTTCAAATGAGATAATGGATAAATGTAAAAAAGTGTTAATATTTCTGGGCATCCACAACATTGACTCAGCAGCTCCGTGGACAAAGCTTTCAGGGACAACCATCACCGTCACACTCTGATTATCTCCAGGGCTCATGACTCTGGCCATTGTCTCTTGGTTATTGCTGATTTCTCCTCTCTCCCTTCAACATACATGGCACACCAGCCTCAATGACCATCCTCACCTACACATCAACACATGCAACCCTGCTGGAAACTCCTAGCAGCCCCAGCCCCTGCTGACATAGGGATGCTGGAGCAATTGCTATCTGTGTATGATGCTAATTCACTACCAGAGTGGCTGAAGACTCAGACCACAGCTGCCTGTGCTGGCTTTCTTTACCTAATCTTTGAAAATGCCAACATCCTCTTTCTCCAACAAGCCATCATTGAGCCAAGACCTCAACAAGATGGGGAGGTCCTCTCCTTATGCATATAATAGCTTCTCAGGCGTGGGGAAAACAAACAGGAGATCTAGGGATTACCAAATCCAATTAATGTCAAATCAAGCCCAAGCTCAGCCTCTGCAGCTCAATAGAGCTGCCTTGTTTTTTGATTACTATCGAAATGGTAGTCATGAATTCATCAACTCCCCAGCAACAGCCTGTTAAGAGGCATTTCCAAAAATAACCTAAGTAAGCAAAGCATTTAGAAAACGGTAGGCCCTTTGCCCTCTGGCCTTCCCAGAAGACATACCCAAATGCCTCTACTGTTGCCTTATGCCCCCCATGGGTAGGGCTATTTATTGTCCTCCATACTCAAATAGAGGTTCAATTAAAAATCAGGATTTGGCAGCAACAACCTGTTTTCTTGTCAGACACATTGTAAATTGTATGAAATCTATTTTGGTGCAATTTACAACTTTGGAAATAAAAACACCCTCATACAGCAATTTGTCTGCTGTAGCATTAGGACGTCTGGATGCTGGGGCTCCTGGTCAGAGGCTGGAAAATGGCCAATAAAGGGAATGCGTTTGAGGGTGGAATGCACACAGTAGTGACCACCAACAGCTAGGTGTGGATACAGAAACACACTCCACCTCCTCTGAGTGCTGTATAAAGATTAAATGGATAATAAATTTAAAATATTTTGCACAGTGCCTGGCACATTGTATTTTAATAAAAGCAGGGGGATGGGGATGACGATAGTAGTAGTAATAATAGCAGTCATCATCATGGTAGTAATAAGAGTGGCAAGTGCTGAACTGGAGCCAGGAAAACCTAGGTTCTCATCATAGCTCTATTACTAATAAGCTCTCCAATCCTTCTTTCCTGAGTCCAGGAAAAATCAATAAAAACACTGGAAAAGCAGATCAAAACCAGGGTAAAGTACTGTGCTCAAGGATAGCTCATTATTAGTAACTCAGTAATTACTTGAAACAGGCAGAGGTAGGCAGAGCCAAAGAGAAAAATTAGCTCTCACAACTTGAGAATGGAGCAAGAAACTAGTCAAACTGTCTCGTTATTAGGCCCCTCCAAAAGCTTCTCTTGGGACAAAAATAGGCAGGAAAGTTCTGAAAGAGAAGATGTTGAGTTTTCCAGATATTAAATACATATATGTTATAGAAATTGAAATTTAAGTGAAGTGATACCAGGACAGAAATAGATAGACAGATAAATAGAATCAAATGGAAAGACCAGAAATAAACTGAAGTATATGATAAAATTGGCACTTTAAATCAATAGAGGAAAAAAGATAGATTACAAATAAATGGTATTGGAAGAAATGGATAGCCCTCTGGAAAAATAAATAGATACATTTAGTTCTCTAACTCATATAATAAAAGTAAATTACAAATAAAAAATGTGAAATATGTAAAATGAATCCATAAAAGAACTAAAATAAAATATGAGCCTTTTTTCTTAGAATGGGTAATACCTCCCTTAAAATATTATATAAAACTCAAAAGCCATTAAAATCTTAACTATCACAAAATTGAAAAAGAAATTCTGCATGACAAAACATAAAAACAAAACAATAAAAACATAGAAAGCCACAATAAAAATGTCAAATTAGGAAGAAAAAAATATGTACCTCATATCACAAAGGGCTAATTTTCCCAATATATAGAAAGTTCTGGCAAATTAAAAAGGGCAAATATATAAACAGACTGTTTACAGAATACAAAATAGAGATGCTCTGAAATCTATCAAAAAAAGCTTAATCTTGCTTGTAACAACAAAACCAGAATTACAAGATATCACTTCTTCCCTCCTCAGATTTGCCATTAAAAGGAATAGAAAGACTTTGAGGTAATGTGGTTAAGTAATAAAATAAAAAGTATATACTTAAGTAATAAAAGTAATAATGGTATATAGAATATTACTATTTGTAGGGAAACATACAAACATTTATATGTTTTCATATGAAACTTGTGCCTATAGTTGTCTTGTGAGCAAAAATGGATGGCTAATTGCAAAAACGTGGAATTAGCTTAAATGCCTATCAACCAACAAGTAGATAAAGGAAATGTGTGAGAGAGAGAGAGATGTATGTATATATATGTATATATGGTATATATAAGTATATATGTTTTATATATGTGTATATATGGTGTATATATGTATATATGGTATATATATGTGCATATACGGTGTATCATATATACATACACACACCATGAAATACGACTCAGCCATAAAAAGGAACAAAATAATGGCATTTGCAGCAATTTGGATGGAGCTGGAGACCATTATCCTAAGTAGAGTAACTCAGAAATGGAAAACCAAATACTGTATGTTCTCACTTATAAGTGGGGGCTAGGCTATGAGGACACAAAGGCATAAGAATGATATACTGGACTTTGGGATCCACTGTACACATTTGGGTACAGTGTATGCTGCTTGGGTGACGGATGCACCAAAATCTCAGAAATCACCACTAAATAACTTATTCATGTAACCAAAACTCACCTGTTCCCCAAAGACTATTAAAATAAAATTTTAAGAAGTTTTTAAGGCTGGGCGCGGTGGCTCACACATGTAATCCCAGCACTCTGGGAAGCCGAGACGGGCAGATCACGAGGTCAGGAGATGGAGACCATCCTGGCTAACACGATGAAACCCCGTCTTGACTAAAAATACAAAAGAAAAAAAAAATTAGCTGGGCTTGGTGGCGGGCGCCTGTAGTCCCAGCTACTTGGGAGGCTGAGGCAGGAGAATGGCATGAACCCGGGATGCGGAGCTTGCGGTGAGCCGAGATCACGCCACTGCACTCCAGCCTGGGTGACAGAGCAACACTCTATTTCAAAAAAAAAAAAAAAAAGAAAAAAGTTTTTAAAGTTTTTATGCCTCTGTACCTGCTCCTGAGTACCTTATAATTGCATGCACTTTGTCCAGCCCTCTTACTAATTTAATAGATGGGAAAAGTGCCATATACAAGCCTAAGCTCTTATAGCTATTTAGTGGCAGATCATGAATTACCAGCCTTCCTCTCTTCCCACTGTCCTAATTTGGTTGCCTGCTTATTCTTTAACTGGTAGCCAGGCACTAAGAGTCTTTGTCCCCCATTACCAGCATGGTATACTAAGTGTACCTCGGAACTTGTGCCCAACTCCCTTTCCTATTTATCCATGCCTTTTTTTTCCTTCAAAACGTAGCTCAAAACTTCCCAGCTCCCCACCTGCCCATTCCTCACAGGCTTATGGACAACAATTGCACGTCATTATTGTGCTCTTTGTTGTTCAACTTTCAAAGCAGTGTTGCACAAGTAAGAAGGGTCCTTGGCCTGAGTTGCCAGGTCTCCTAATTATAGGTCCTAGCTTTCATTCTTACTAGCTGGGCAATCCATAAGACCTCTCCAAGCCCCAGGTTCCTTGTTTGAGATATGGAACCATAGTGCCTGCCCCATCTATCTCACGACTATTAAGAGAATCAAATATGTGAAAATGTTTTATACATTTCAGGAGCTATTCTTTATTATAAGCATTTCAACCTTAAAGAAAGCCCACCGTTACTGAGGGAAAAGACGGGTTAGCCCTCCCATCTGAGTGATTACATGGAGCATTGTCTTCTTTAGACTAGTCTTTTTCTAAAAGCAGAAAGACACTCTGAAAGCAGGCATGGGGGTGAAACATATCCACTGTGCTTTCTGGGGAGGTGGTTCCAAATAAGAAAAACTGCACTCAGGAGGCTAAGGAAGGAGAATTGCTTGAACCCGGGAGGTGGAGGTTGCCATGGGCCAAGATCACACCACTGCACTCCAGCCTGGGTGACAGAGTGAGACTCCGTCTCAAAAGAAAAAAAAAAAAAGAAAGAGAGAAAGAAAAACTGCAGATTTTTTTTCTTTTCTTCTTAAAATTATTTTCTGGCATCATATCAAAAGCTGAAAGCTGTTTGATGCAATTGAAACTGAAGATGCAACAGGACCACAGAGTCAGGAAGCTGTTTGTTGACTGAGTTATCTTTAGAGCTTCCCCACAATAGAGCAAAGTTTGTGACTGGGTTAATTTGGGTGCTATGTGAAGAAAGAATGACACTTTAAAAAACAAAAAAGCTAGTTTCCTATGTTCCAGGGATAAGAGCCCTGTGGTGGACACCAGCAGAAGTGATTCTTCTATTTTCTGCTCTACCACTAACTAGCTATGTGATCTTTGGTAAGTCACTCACCGTCTCTGAATCTCAGTATTCTAGTTCAAAGGGATGCTATGAAGATCAAATGAGATAATAGATATACAAGCGCCTTGACCGTAACTACCTGTGAGTGTGAATTACTATTCTCTAAACTGGCATTTTCCAAAATGATGCTTTGCAGAGCTCTGTTAATAAGAGGGCAATGAGAAAAGTGTCTGCACTTACATGAGTTGGGGAACTTAGCTTCCTCACTGCAGGTCTTTGCAAAGCCTTTAACAAGCTAATATGCATTATGAGTGTCAAAACCAAAATAAGGAATAGATTTTGAAATGTTTCCCAATATGTTCCAAAGAAAGTCACTTTAGGAAACACTGCTCTCAAATCAATCCCATTTTGAAGGCAAGATCCTCATCTTCTTTCATTTCCTGGGTATGGAAACTCAACAGAGAGCCAAATATTACTAGTCTTTCGGTCATGATGTTGGTTATTCTTAGTGCCCTACCACCACTGCCTCAATACCACCCACCCTCATCCATTCTCCACCCTTTTGCCTTCTGGCTTCCAACTGGGTCCAGTCAATGAAAGACACTGCAGGAAGTCAAACAGTAAAAGAGGAGAGAGATTGCAGTACTTCTTCCTCTGATGCTTCCCTGTATGGGTGTCATGGTTCTGGAAGGGGCTATATCCTTGTATTCATCTATTTTCTCACGGCTATAAAGAACTGCCTGAGACTGAGTAATTTATGAAGAAAAAAGGTTTAATTGACTTGCTGTTCTGCATGGCTGGGGAGGCCCCAGGAAAATTACCATCATGGCAGAAGGCAAAGGGGAAGCAAGTCACATTTTCACAAGGTGGCGAGAGAAAGAGAGACAGCAAGGTGGGGGGATCTGCCAAACACTTTTAAACCATCAGATCTCATGAGACCTCACTCACTATCATGAGAACAGCATGGGGAAACCACCCCCAAAATCCAATCACCTCCCACCAGGTCCCTCCCTCAACACATGGGGATTACAATTTGAGATGAGGTTTAGGCGGGGACATAGACCCAAACCATATCATTCCACCCTGGCCCCTCCCAAATCTTATATCCTTTTTACATTTCAAGACACAATCATGCCTTCCCAACAGTCCCCCAAAGTCTTAACTCATTCCAGCATTAACTCAAAAGTCCAAGTCCAGAGTTTCATCTGAGACAAGCCAAGTCCCTTCTGCCTATGAGCCTGTAAAACCAAAAGCAAATTAGTTACTTCCAAGATACCATGGGGGTACAAGCATTGGGTTAATGTTCCTATTCCATAACTTGGCCAAAAAAAGGGGCCAAAGGCCCCATGCAAGTCCAAAACCTGGCAGGGCACTCACTTAATTTTAAAGCTCCAAAATAATCTCCTTTGACACCATGTCGCATCCAGGATAAGTTGATGCAAAGGATGGTCTCTGCAGGGTACCCAGCCCCTTTGGCTGTTTTCACAGGCTGGCATTGAGTGCTTGCAGCTTTTGCAGGCATACAGTACAAGTTGTTAGTGGTTCTACAATTCTGGGGTCTGAAGGATGGTGGCCTTCTTCTCACAGCTCCACTAGGCAGTGCCCCATTAGTGACTCTGTGTAGTGGCTCCAACCCCACATTTCCTCTCTACGTTGTCCTAGTAGAGATTTTCCATGGGAGCTCTGCCCCTGCAGCAGACCTCTGCCTGGACGTCCAGGCATTTCCATACATCCTCTGAAATCTAGGCTGGGGTTCCCAAACCTCAGCTCTCATCTTCTGCACATCTGCAGGTCCAACACCACTTGCAAGCCACCAAGGCTTGGGGCCTGCACCCTCTGAAGCAGCAGCCTGAGCTGTATGTTGGTCCCTTTCACCATGGCTGGAGCAGCTAGGAGGCAAGGTGCCATGTCCCAGCCTGCACAGAGCAACAGGGCCCTGGGCCCAGAACATGAAATTATTTTTCCCCCTAGGCCTCCAGGCCTGTGATGGAAGGGGCTGCCGCAAAGATCTCTGACATGCCCTGAAGACATTTTCCCCATTGTCTTGGCTATTAACACCAAGCTACTTATGCAAATTTCTAAAGCCAGCTTGAATTCCTTCCCAGAAAATGGGTTTTTCTTTTCTACCACATGGTCAGGCTGTAATTTTTTCAAGGCTTTATGCTCTGCTTTCCTTTCAAACATAAGTTACAATTTCAAACCATCTCTTTGTGAACGCATATGACTGTATGCTTTTAGAAAAAGCCAGGTAACCTCTTAAATGCTTTGCTGCTTAGAAATTTCTTCTGCCAAGTATCCTAAATCATCTCTCTCAAGTTCAAATTTCCACAGATCTCTTGGGCAGGGGCAAAATGCAACAAGTCTCTTTGCTAAAGTGTAGCAACAGTGACCTTTGCTCCAGTTCCCAATAAGTTCCTCATCTCCATCTGTGACCACCTCAGCCTGAACTTCATTGTCTGTACCACTGTCAGCATTTTGGTCAAAACTATTCAACAAGTCTCTAGGAAGTTCCAAACTTTCCCACATATTCCTGGCTTCCTCTGAGCCCTCCAATCTGTTTCAACCTCTACCCATTACTCAGTTCCAAAGTTGTTTCCACATTTTCAGGTTATCTTTACAGCAGTACCCACTTGCGGTACCAATTTTTTGTATTCATCCATTTTCACACCACTATAAAGAACTGCCTGAGACTAGGTAATTTATGAAGAAAAAAGGTTTAATTGACTCACGGTTCTGCACGGATGAGGAGGCCTCAGGAAACTTACAATCATGGCAGAAGGCAAAGGGAAAGGAAGGCTCATCTTTACAAGGTGGCAGAACAGAGAGCAAGCAAGGGGAGAACTGCCAAACACTTTTAAACCATCAGATCTCATGAGAATTCACTATCCTGAGAAGAGCATTGGAGAAACTGCCCCCGTGATCCAATCACCTCCCACCAGGCCCCTCTCTCGACATGTGGGGATTACAATTAGAGATGAGATTTGAGTGGAGACACAGAGCCAAACAATATCAATCATTCTGTGACAGTTTCTTAATCTACAAACCATGAACACCTCCCCCTAAAAATGGAGACAAATAGAATTTTGAGGCTCTGTGATCTTGGAAGGGGGGCAAAATGCACCATTTTTCCATTAACTTTTAACTGAAATTTAGTATTTTTTTCCATTATGAATATAGGCAACACATTCATATCTATGATCTGTCACCAACCAAAATTAAAAGTATGTTTATAGTTTGTTACAGTTGTTGCAGATATCTCCAGATATTATCAATATTCATCACTATCATCAGATCATGGCATTATGAAATCTGCCTCTTAGGCTTGGCTCAGTGGCTCATGCCTGTAATCCCAGCACTCTGGGAGGCCAAGGCTGGTGGATCACCTGAGGTCTGGAGTTCGAGACTGGCCTGGCCAACATGGTGAAGCCCCGTCTCTACTAAAAATACAACAATTACCTAGATGTGGTGGCGGGTGCCTGTAATCCCAGCTACTGAGAGGCTGAGGTAGGAGAATCGCTTGAACCTGGAAGGCAGAGGTTGCAATGAGCCGCGATCGTGCCATTGAACTCCAGACTGGGCGACAAGAGTGAAACTCAGTCTCAAAAAAAAAATAAAGGAAAAGAAATCTGCCTCTTAGTTTTGTTTATTTAAGATGCTAATAGGGAGGTTCATAAAATACCGTATCACAAATTTGCTTTTTAAAATATCTTTAATAGCATATTTCAATATAGTTAGTATCCTTTGTGGTTCTATTCATTCAGAAAAGGGATCCGTAAATTTCACCAGGCTTCCTAAGAGGTACATGGCACACACACACAAAAATTAAGACGTCCTACTTAAATGATCTGAATGGACATTTCTCCAAAGAATATACACAAATGGCCAATAAGCATAAACACAGACACACACACATGCACACACACACACACCCATGAACATCATTATTCATTAAATAAATGCAAATTAAAACTACAGTGAGATATCCCTTTATGCTCAGTAGGATGACTATAATCAAAAAGTCAGATAAGGCCAGACATGGTGGCTCACGTCTATAACCCCAGCACTTTGGGAAACTGAGGGGGCTGATCCCTTGAGGTCAAGAGTTCAAGACCAGCCTGGCCAACGCGGTAAAACCTCGTCACTCCAAAAGACACAGGTCTCACCAGGAAACTGAGGACCTTGATGACCAGGGAGCCCAGCAGGGAAACCATGGGGCTCCAGCATACAAAATGCACTTTTCCGTTTTCTTCAAACAGCTTTACTTCATGTTTTTTTCTCCTTCTTAATTAAGTTAAAATGCTATAGCTTACAATTCCATAGCTGTGCATAGAGGTCCTTGTTGGTTTATGTTCCAGGTTCTGAATCTGATCATTTCCCTGTTTTACTAGACAACATATTGTTTCAAATGACTTTGCTTTTTAAATGAAGGCTTACATAATCTGACATTAAGTTGATTTTATAAAAATAATATTACATTCTGGGGATCTATTTTTAATTCAAACCTTTAACTCATGTGAAGACATTAGCTTTTACAGATGATCTACCTTGAATCTAAAGCTTAAGCTATGTGGTAAATTTCTCCGCAACTGTATTTGGTAACTGTCCTATTTGTTCTTTGGTAAAACCTAATCACCTAGGCTGGGTGCGGTAGGTCCCGCCTGTAATCCCAGTACTTTGGGAGACTGAGGCGGGCGGATCACCCTGAGGTTCGAGACCAGCCTGACCAACATGGAGAAACCCCATCTCTACTAAAAATACAAAATTAGCCAGGTGTGGTGGCACATGTCTGTAATCCCAGCTACTCGGGAGGCTGAGGCAGGAAAATCACTTGAACCTGGGAGGCAGAGGTTGCAGTGAGCCAAGACTGCGCCATTGCACTCCAGCCTGGGCAATAAAAGTGAAACTCCGTCTCAAAACAAACAAACAAACAAACAAAACAAAAGAAAAAAATCATCTTGCAAACAGGTGTGAGGGTAGAAGTCATCTTCTCTGCCTACCTACCCACACACAAAAGCATGCACTAGAGAGAGAAACAGAGACAGAAAGACAGACAAAAATGAGAAAGAAGGAGAAAGAAGCAACAAAAAAGGACAAAATTTGCCTATTATAAAGTCCTGGGCAGCGACTGAGGGTCACTACCATAGGCAACTTGTGCTCAGATTCAAATACCAATATTTCCTTTTAAAATAACTAAAATCAGAATTCAACGAGATATTTGTATTACCATGTTCCTAGAAGGATTTTTCACAATAGCCAAAAGGTGGAAGTAACCCAGATATCCATTAACAGTGAATGGATAAACAAAATGTGGTATATCCATACAATGAAATATTATTCAACCCTTAAAATGAAGAAAATTTGGACACATGATACAACATGGATAAACTTGGAGGCCATTATGCTGAGCAAAATAAGCCAATCACAAAGGGAGAGATAGTGTATGATGCCATTTGTATGAGGTATCAAGAATAGTTAAATTCATAAAGACAGAAAGTAGAAAGGTGGCTTCCAGAATTGTGGGGAGTTGTTGTCTGACAAGTATAGAGTTTCAGTTTTACAAGATAAAAAGAATTCTGGAGATGCATGGTGGGGTGGTTGCACAATAATGCAAATGTACTTAACACCACTGAATTGCCCTCTTAAAAATGAGATGATACATTTTATGATGTGGGTATTTTACCACGATTTAAATAATTTTTAAAAATAATAAAAAACCAAAATCAGCTCCCCAAAATAGAGCCTGACACCTTAATCAAAGCTATCTATCTGGATTTTGTGTCTGGGTTAGTCCAATATTTTCTGCCAGTCTTCATTTTTACCCTTGGGGGAAAGAGAGGAAATAAAAACAAATTAAAATAGTATGCCTGAGGCTGGAGAATCGCTTGAACCCGGGAGGCAGAGGTTGCAGTGAGCCGAGATCGCGCCACTGCACTGCAGCCTGGTGATAGAGCGAAATTCCATCTCAAAAAAAAAAAGAAAAAAAAATAGTATGCCTGTTTCCTCTCCTGCCCTTCTTTATTAAATACAATATTCCTGGAATTCTCTGTTTTAGGGGTCTTTAGAATTATTCTCCCAGTGGTTCTGAAGGCAATACCTTTCAATATTATAGTTCAACAGTATTCTGTAGCATGGAGAAAGGTTTAAAGATTTAATTCTAAGACCTGAAGCAAAAGTTGTAAAATACACTTCAAGTTTCGTTCACAATTATTGAGAATGCAACTGTAACACATAAAAGATGAGTTGCTTGGGGCTTAGTCTCCATCTGGTCTTAAAACACACACACACACACACACACACACACACACACACACAGCCAGAGGTAATCTTGGCAAAGCAGTGTTGAGCCAGTGCTAAGAGAGTCACTAATAATAGAGTAACACCTTAGTAAAATCACTTTCCTTTTATTATACCTTAAAGCATGCTAATTTATAGACCCTGAGTCATCCACAACATGAACGATTTTATATTTCTGGGTATGGTAGTAGTCATTCATTTAACAAATATTTATAGAGTGCATGCTACATGACAAGTCCAGTCTTCGCAGAGCTCACAATGCAGACACTTGCTCTCAGCTGAACAAGTCAGTTGGAACATGCAACAACCACACAACAACCACTTTTCCTCCCCAGACGTGGTCATTTCTAAGCTGGGATCCTACTGTCTTTTTTCAGAAATAGATGAGGGCAGAGGTGGCAATTTAGAAAGTCAGCAAATAAAACTTCATAGATTGGATCCTTATCAATTAGAAAACTCAGCCCCAGCTTCTATCTCTAGCCAATCACAAAAGGATAAATACTGTATGATGCCACTTATAGGAGGTACCTGGAGTAAATTCCTAGAGACAGAAAGTTGATCTAACCAGCTTAACTATTCTTCAACCATCTCACTTCAAAGGAGAAACACACCGCTAAGCTGCCTCTGTGGGACTATACTAATTGTTTCATCTACAAAATTATTATTGTTATTGCTAGTGCTATTATTATTATTAACACTTGCATAGTGCTTACTATGTAATATTACATATATATGTGTTTGTATACACATGCTCGTGTGCACACACACACACACACACACACACCCCGACATACACATTTAATAGTAGTAAGGACTAGCATTATTCTCCATTAATAGATGAGGAAACTGAGCCACAAAAAAGTTAGATAGGGCCAGGTACAGTGGTTCATGCCTGTAATCCCAGCACTTTGGGAGGCAGAGGCGGGCAGATCACGAGGTCAAGAGATTGAGACCATCCTGGCCAACATGGTGAAAGCCCGTCTCTGCTAAAAATACAAAAAATTAGCTGAGCATGGTGGCACTCACCTGTAGTCCCAGCTACTCAGGAGTCTGAGGCAGGAGAATCTCTTGAACCCGGGAGGTGGAGGTTGCAGTGAGCTGACTGCACTCCAGCCTGGCGACAGAGTGAGACTCCATCTCAAAAAAAAAAAAAAAAGAAGTTAGATAACTTACCCCAAGTCACCCCATTAATAAGTGGCAGAAGTAGGATTTGAACCCAGGCAGTTTGGCTCCAGAATCATGCTCTAAACCAGCCTTGCATAAAGTAGCTAGACTTGAAACTTTTTTATACTGGTCTGTGAGATGATAAGGAGATTACACCAGATTGTAAATCTATGCACTGCTTCCTTCATTAAGAAAGTCTTGCTATGAAAAAATATCAACTGAGCTAAATAGTGTGCTTTTTTGGAGCTGGTTTACATTCTGGTGTAAGCTTCTTATCTCCTTGGGAACCAGTAACAAACAGTTGTAGAGCGGCATTAGTCAGCAAGCTATACTTTGGGTAGCACTGCTAAGCCGTTATGCCTTCCTGTCTCCTAAACTACCTCCCATAGAAGACACAGCATCCACATTTCTTGGGCAGGACTATGACTGTTAACCAGAGGTGTTTGGAGAAGTCAGTAACGGTCAAACTCTATCAAAGGGTACCCCAATTCCAAATAAATCTTAAAGGGATGAAAGGATTTCCAAGTCCCAGCCCACCCATCCCAAGCAGCATTTAATATCTGTAAGGTATAGAAACCTCCATGGGAACAAATCCTTTCCAGACGAATGTACAAAAAGGCATCTTCTAGAGTGACAGCTGGAGCCCTTTGTAATTTAGCTTGGCTTTGAACCCACTCTAGTTGGATGCAAAATAAGCCAAATTATGGTTACTCTCTCAGAAAGAGATAAGACTTCAAGATTTGTCTTTTCTTTTATATGGATGACCTGAAGCTATAGCCAGAGGAGAGTGCTCGATTACAAAGCATGCCTGAAATAGAATCCTGTTTCAATCAGTCAATTAGTATGGCATTTGGACGGGATAAATGCAATTTCATGTGCCAAATGTGAAAAGGTAAAGAATAGCAAACACATGCAAGTCTTTGAAGCAACTGAAATTTGGGAACTAAAGTTCCCAGGGGCTTATAATGTCAGAAACTACAACAATTTTTCTAGGGAAGAATCAGAAAAATGCAGCAACTCATAATAAAATCTTGCAAAGAACTGGGCATATATTCTGAAGATGCAACTCCGCACTGAATAGATGCTGAGACACAGTATAGTTCAGTGGTCAAATGTGGGCTCTGGGTGAATTCCTGGCTCTGCTGCTTATAGACCTGTGACCATGAGTGTTAATACCCACATCTACTATTCCTTTATTTGCAATGGCATCTGCCTAGCAGAGATCTTATGAGAATAAACTAAAATGCTAAGCATAGTTTCTGGCACAGAGGAAGCCGCACTCCATAGGGGTTAACCTTGATTATCAATGAATGCATAGATCACCCCAATTTTAGCTTTTACTTTTTAAGTTTGGGAAACTGCGCTTCTTTCCAAAGCCTCAGTTTCACCACCACCTACATCATCACCATCACCTCCATCATTACTGCTTCCAGCACCACCACCATCATCACCTCCACCATCACCACCACCTCCATCATTGCAACAACTATCACACTCACTACTACCATCGCTACCACCTGCAACATCATTACTACTATCGTTAGCAACATCACTCCACCATCACCACCACTACCACCACCATCACTAATACCACCATCACCACTATTACTATTACAGCCACCTCCACCACATCACCCCCACTATCACCACCAACTCTACCACCATCACTGTCATCACCACCACCACTACCACCGTTATCCCTAGCACACAATTACACAATTCTCATTTTGTTATTATTGCAAAACCAAATATCTGTAGTTGGACAGCTACTATTCCCATAACAGCAAAAACCACTTCTACTTTTCTCTACTCCTTTTCAGACTCACCTTTCTCCAGAATATTTGAGAACATGAGATTTTTGTCACACTTGCATTGTGATGTTGATCGCGATTGCCCCAGCTTTTCCACTGGTACTTATTGATCTATGCTGCACTCAACATGCTATATGTCACAGCCAGAAACCCAAGCAATTCTACATGTTCCTCAATGCTATAGTAATAGGCCTATACTTGTGTCTACTTGTCACTGCGAATGTCACTAACTGTCATCTAGTTTCCTAGCACAGCCCAATACACTAGAATACATGGCCTCAAAGTCAGGCCTAGATTCAAATCCTGACCTTGCCTCTAGCTTTATGAACTTAGGCAAATAAATTTACTTTTCTGACTCTTGGGTTTATTTATCATGAAATGGCATTTACAATATTCATTTCATGGGAATTAGGAGGAATCATAAATGAGGTTATGTCTCTCAAATACTTAGGACTCTATTTAGCATAAAGCAGGAGCTGAATAGGAGAAAGTTTCCTTCCTTTCTTTCCTTTTTCTGTAACACTTCTTCAGTCAGTCCATAAAGCTGTGATTCCCAAGCTTTGAGCAATATCAAGATCACCTTAAGATCTTGCTAAAATCTGGACTTCGGAGTCCCACTCCCAGAGTTTCTGATTGAATAGGTTTTAAATGAATCCTAAGAAGGTGTATTTCTAACAAGTATCCTCACCCATTCACCCACCCGTGATACTTGTTCTTCTGGTCCAGGGACAACATGTTGAAAACCACCTCTGTATACAAACAGCAAAAAGAAAAAGCAAAATGATCACTAAAATTTGAAGATAAAAGCCTAATACACATGAAAAAATTTTGTTTTAAAAAACCATAAGAGGCCAGGTGCCGTGGCTCACGCCTGTAATCCCAGCACTTTGGGAGGCCGAGGTGGGTGGATCATGAGGTCAAGAGATCCAGACCATCCTGGCCAACATGGTGAAACCCCGTCTCTGCTAAAGATACAAAAATTAGCAGGGCGTGGTGGCGGGCACCTGTAGTCCCAGCTACTCCGGAGGCTGAGGCAGGAGAATCGCTTGAACCTGGGAGGTGGAGGTTGCAGTGAGCCAAGATCATGCCACTGCACTCCAGCCTGGTGACAGAGTGAGACTCCATCTCAAAAAAAAAAAAAACCCATAAGAAATATTTAACCCACCTTTTTAAGGAAAGTAATAATAAAGCATCTCAATAAGTGATTCAATGACAGAGTGTACAAGTGTCATTTTCACACTGTAGTGAATGTTGTTAATGCTCCTTCATGCCCTTTTTCCCTCTTGTTCACAGCAGCTCCCTGTGCACTTTCACTCCCAATATGCAGCACTTGAATTTTTATTGTCAGCTTTGCCTAGAAGCCCTGATAGCTGAAAGTGCCTGGGGTTTACATGTTTCTGGGTTAAGCCTTTGACTAATGACTGGTGTATACAGCTAAACAAACACTATAGCTCCTTGCCCCAGCTAGGGATGACTTTCAGGTGTGACCTGCCCTGTCTCCTGTGAGAACAAAGCCAACATTACCCTTCACGGGACTTTGACTGATATCGCTCTGTTTCTTTGTCCTTCTTTTCCAGCTCTCATCTCTTTAGTTCTCTACAACTTTTACTTGGGACCACTTCTTTTTGTATATTTTTATTTATAATTAACACATAATAATTGTGCATACGTATGGGGTGCAATGCAATGTTTACATAAATGTGTCATAATCAAATCAGGATAATTAGCATATCTATCACCTTAAACATGTATTATTTCTTCATGATGAGAACATTCAAAAACATCTCTTCTAGCTTTTTTGAAATACATAACACATTATTACTAACTCTAACCATCCTACTATGTAATAGGATACTAGAACTTGTTTCTCTTATCTAAATGTAGCTTTGTACTCATTGACCCATCCCTTACTATCCCTCTCTCCTCCATCCTATCCCCATTCTCTGACAACCACTATTCTACTTTCTACTTTTATGAGAACAACTGTTTAGTTTCCACATATAAGTGAGGTCATGCAGCATTTGTGTTTCTGTGCCTGGCTTATTTTACTTAACATAATTTCCTCCAGGTTCATCCATGTTGCCACAAATGACAGGATTTTATTGTTTTCTATGGTCAAATAGTATTTCACTGTGTATATATACCACATTTTCTTTATCCATTCATCTGTTGATGGACATTTAGGTTGGTTCCCTGTCTTGGCTAAAGTGAATAGTGCTGCAATAAACATATGAACACAGGTATCTCTTCAACATACTGACTTCACTTCCTTTGCATATGAAATCCCACTACCTAGTAATGGGATTTCTGGATCATATGGTAGTTCTGTTTTCAATTTTTCCTCTTTTCCATAATGGCTGTACTAACTTACATTTCTACCCACAGCGTATAAGGGTTCCCTTTTCTCGTATTCTCTCCAGTATGTGTTTTTTGGTTTCTGTTTTTTTATAGTAGCCATTCTGATTGGAGCAAGGTGATATCTCTTTGCAGTTAGAATTTGCACATCTCTTGGTCATCTGTATGTCTTCCTTTAAGAAATGTCTATTTTTTTGCCCATTTTTTGAGTTTTTTTGACCATTTTTTGAGTTTTTTTGTTGTTGAGTTGCTTCAGTACCTTATCTATTTTGATTATTAATCCTTTAGCAGATATATAGTTCACAAGTATATTCTCTCATTCTGTAAGTTATTTCTTTGCTTTGATTATTTTCTTTCCTGTGCAGAAGCTTTTTTGTTTGACATAGTCCCATTTGTCTATATTTACTTTTATTGCCAATGCTTTTGAGGTTTTATCCAAATAATCTTCATCTAGACCAATGTCATTGAGCTTTTCCTCTATGTTTTCCCTTAGCAGTTTTGTAATTGCAGGTTTTAAATTTAAGTCTTTAATACATTTTGAGTTAATTTTTGTATCTAGTGGGAGATAAAGGTATAGTTTCATTCTTCTGTATGTGGCTATCCAGTTTTCCCAGCACCATTTCTTTTGAAGAAGCTGTCCCTTCCCTATTGTGTATACTTAACATCTTTGTCAAAAATCAGTTTGCTATAGATGTGTGGGTTTATTTCTGGGCTTTCTAGTTTGTTTCATTGGTCTCTGTGTCTGCTTTTATACCGGTACTGTGCTGTTGTGGTTTTTTTGTTTGTTTGTTTGTTTGTCTGGGAAAGTCTTTATCTCTCCCTTGTTTATGAAGTACAGCTTTTCTGGGTACAGTATTCTTGATTGGCCAGTGTTTGTTTCTTCAGCACTCTGAATATATCATCAGGCTCCCTCCTGGCCTGTAAGGTTTCCACTGAGAAGTCTACTGCCAGGTGAGTTGTAACTCCCTTATGTGTTATTTGCTTCTTTTCTCCCACTGCTTTCAGCATCCTTTCTTTGTCTTTTACATCTGAGTCCTTAATTATAATATGTCTTGGAGTGCACTTATTTGGGTTGAATCTGATTGGTGACCTTTTACTTTCCAGTATTTGGATAGCTGTATCTTTATCTAGGTTTGGGAAATTTTCTTTTATTACCCCTTTGGCATTCTCAAGTCCCTACTGAATCTCAATAACCTGAATATTTGCTCTTTTGATGCTGCCCCATAGTTCCTACAGGCTTTCTTCATTCCTTTTCATTTTTTTTCTCCTCTGACCATGTATTTCCAAATAGCCTGTCTTCAAGCCCACTATTTTGAAATATGTAACATATTATTATTAACTCTAACCATCTTCTTTCCTTTGCTTCTTAACCAGTTCTTTCCTTTGCTTTATCAATTCTGCTGTTGATGCCCTCTATTGCATTGTTCATTTGGTTCATTGTATTTTTCAGCTTTAAGATTTCTGTTTGATTTTTTATTATTATTTCAGTCTGTTAAGTTTCTCTGATAAATTACTGAATTGTTTCTCTATATTATATTGAAGTTCATTGAGTTTCCTTAAAGCAGCTATTTTGAATTCTCTGAGAGACCATGCTACTTTAGGGTGTCTTATTGGGTTCATTTGGTGAGGTCATGGGTTCCCCAAATGTTCCTGAGGCTTATGGGCATGTGATAATGCACAGACATTGAAGATTTAGATATTTATTTCAATTGTCACAGTCTGGCTTTTTCGGTGCCTATCCTTTCAGAGAATCTGTTGTTTAACCATAGAGGCTAGCATTGTGCCAAGAGCAAAATTGTTACTCAAAAATTAGTTTGTTAAATTGATGAAAGAATGAATTATCGTTCTGCCACTTACAAACTATGTGACGTTGGGTAAGTTTTCTTATCCATTAATGTTGGATAAAAATACCTATCCTGAAGGTTCTGCTGTGAGAATTAATTTTTTTTAAAGATCTATAGAAGCATCTAGAATATGGTACCTGCAACTTGATAGATCCTCAATAAATTTTGGTCACTTGTTCTGTCAATTTCTCTACCCTCATGTTTTAAGCACGGGGCATGGGATAGCCCACGGGCACTTGGGAAATACTGTCAGAGAACCCTGGAATCCATGTCAAATAAAGTGAAATGGAAGAAATCAAACACCTCACCGTAGTTGTGCGGTAACAATAAACCAACCAGCCGATTTGTGTGGAAAGCCCACTCACACACCGCTTTCCAGAAGTACCACTTTATCCACACCCCCACATGTAGAGAAACCTGGCTTGCTATTCCCAGACAACATGCAGTTTTTCCAAGGACTGCTAGTCAAAGGCAAGGTGAAAATCACTGTCATTAAATATTTTTAAAATACTTGAAACTGAGAAAAAAAAAGAGAAAAAGAAAAAAATACTTGAACTGAGATTCTTGCAAGGGAAAACAATATTAACATGTTCCCTGAAATGTTTCCATGCTATTAAGAAAGGAAGGAACTCTACATTACCATATTTATTACCAAAGCAACCTCCTTTTAATCTATTGTTTTGTTCATCTCTGATTTTCAGCAATTCACATCTCCCTGATGAAGACTAATTTCCATAAATTCTTTACAGAATTCAAAGAGGACAGATCTTTGGATCATTCTAATATTATTAATAAATGCTAAGAGGGTGTAACAAAATTAATGAGAAAATTTAATAATTCTCCTATTGGAATTTCCTTTCCCTGTCATTCCCAGGGGGAACATGTTAGTGAGCACTTTCTGTAGACAATGTTGTTTAATGGAAACTTTGCAAAAATTAGAATTAGGCCTTTGGTGAACAGGGATCTTTAATTTAATTTGTTTTTACTGCCAGAACACAGGGAGTTACTCACAGCGGATTGCACCAGCAGGCAGCCTGTTAGAATTAAGTTTTGTTGTGATCACCAGGGTAATGACTTCTCCAAGGCCTGGTGTTTGGAGAACAGTGTGGTTTAGTTATTACGGGAATCGTAAATGGCATTAATAAAGTCCTGGAGGAGCAATCGCATTGCAGAGCAGCCTTATAAACATGGGAGGCCAGTCACTCGTCACATACTTGAGAGGAGAGAAGGGGATGGCTGTAATGCGTTGGGGGAGGGGGAGAGGCAGAGAAGTCAGAGAGGAATAAGAAGGAAAAGAGAAAAAGAGGGAAAAATGAGATCCCTTGCTTTTACTTGGATTTTTTCCCTTAACGTGTGTCTCCAGTTTAAAACACAAAATTAAAACCCTTTGTTACTAACATCCAGTTTTCTTTCCTGTTATTGATGCTGTTACTGCCAGCTCATAATATAGAGCCAGCCTCTCTAGAGATATACTGAAAAAGTAAGGCTTAAATGCAAAACTGCCACTGCTCAGTATCTACCCAAAGGAATGGAAAGCAGGGACTCAAACAGATATTTGTACACTCCTAGGCAGAGCAGCACTATTCACAACTGCCAAAAGGTGGAAATAACCCAAGTGTCCATCAACAGGTAAATGGGTAGAGCAAATGTGGTGTGTACACACAATGGAACATTATGCAGCCTTAAAAAGGAATGAAGTTCTGACACATGTTACAACATGGATGAACCTTGAAGACACTATGCTAAATGTAGTAAGCCGGTCACAAAAAGACAAATAGTGGATGATTCTGCTTCTCTGAGGCACTTAGAGTAGTCAAATTCATAGAGACAGACAGTAGACTAGACACTACCAGAGGGCAGGGGGAGGGGGATTAGGGAGTCATTGCTTAAGGGTTACAAAGTATCTGTTGAGGTAATGAAAAGTTTGGGAAATAGTGGTAATGGTTACACAACATTGTGACTGTAAACAACGCTACTGAATTGTACACTTAAAAATGGTTAAAATGGCCCAGCGCAGTGGCTCACACCTGTAATCCCAGCACTTTGGGAAGCCGAGGCGGGTGGATCACCTGAGGTCAGGAGTTCGAGGCTAGCCTGGCCAACATGGTGAAACCCTGTCTCTACTAAAAATACAAAAATTAGCCAGGCATGGTGGTGCAATCCTGTAATCCCAGCTACTCGGGAGGCTGAGGCAGGAAAATCACTGGAACCCGGGAGGCAGAGGTTGCAGTGAGCTGAGATTGTGCCATTGCACTCCAGCCTGGGCTACAAGAGCGAAACTCTGTCTCAAAAAAAAAAAAAGTTAAAATGGTAAATCTTATATTGTATATTATGTTAGATATTTTATCACAATAAAAAAGGGTGGAGAAGGAGACCCAGGCTTTGGAAATCTCTCTTCCTCTTTTCCCCCTCTTCCTTCTATCCCCACCTCTCATATGCAAATCTCAGTTTCCCATGCCTTGATTATATAAGGTGAAATGAGCAAAAGTGCATGGCTCATAGTAGATGCTCAATAAAATAGGCATCCTGCCTCTCCCTCAGATTGTCTGTCAATGAAATTATGTGGATACCAGTTCAGTATCTTTCTCCTTTTCTTTATCTTGTCGAGTTTATGTTTTTCTTTTCTTTCTTTCTTTTTTTTTTTTAAAAAAAAAGTTTTTAAAATTATTTCTATCGAAAGAGAGCCTGGTTCTTTCAGAAAGCATTTTTTTGGCCTTCACTGAGATGTGTGAATTTCAGGCACAGGGTTGGGAGCAGGCTTTTAAAATGACCACTTGTTCAGAGAATGATTTCACTTGGAATTCAGTTCATAAAAAATAGCAGCAGAAAGCCAACAGAGAATCAACTCATTTGACCCTATTCCCAAAGACAGGGCAGCTTCTGATTGGCAGTTGCCACCACAAAGGCCGTGGGATGAAATTGAATGCTGGCATGTTTCGGGATTTCTTGAAGTCAGCTCAGAGTTAATATGAAACATTACCAAGGAAAACTAGGTTTTTCCGTCTCGCCTGCAAAAAGCATCATCAGGTAAACTCTTATTCCTAGGAGAGAAAGTGAAGGCCCAGGTACTTTAATAATTTCGATTTAGAGATTTAGAGCTGTGGAAAAGCTTTCTCCCCAAATTAAAGAAGACTCTAATAAAATTTGTGCCCATAGTTAGGATTACAAAGGGACCAAATTGTACCTACACGCTTTTTTGATAGCTTACTCTCAATTATCTTATCTTACAGGAAATAAATAAGCCCAAAATATAGATTTAATTTGATTTGTTTTTCCCACCCCTTCCCAAAGAAAATTTAAAGTGGATAATAACATTATTTGGCTGGAGAGGCTCTGGGGATTTTTCTTTTCTTTTATTTATTTTCCAAATTTGGTGCGGGTATTTTCTTTCATAACAAAAAAGCATTACTATAGTATACAATGTGTTATTTAACATTGCTGAGATTAGCAGTTTTGATAAAGAGTTCTATTTGCATTTGCAGCTTTTCACTGAAAAAACCAGCTCTGGTCTGTATCTCAGACCATCATGCAATGCTTGCTATTTAACCACATGGCTCTATCTTACACCTGGTGGTGGATCGTGACCAAATTTTAAAGAAATTAACCAAGAGTTTCTTTGGTAATGTGTTTAGGAGGGATGGGCCTATAAAATAACGACAACAAACACGCATACCACTGTCTTTCCAGGACTGGATTAAGACCTTTAGAGAGCCGAACCTCTTAAAAAGATTATGCTGTTCCCATCCCTCTGTGATCCAAAATGCAATAAAAACAAGAGTAAACTATCCTCATTGCTATTGCTATTGAAGTGTACTGTTTGCTTTGCCTGGGCTTTGCCCAGGGTTAAATGGCACACATTGGAAGTCCAAGTCACGCTTCGGCCACCCAGGTGCTAAAATGAGACATGAGGCATGAAGACGTTGCTGGGCACTTCCACAGCTAAGCCTGCACTGAATGAAAACACGAAACCAAAGCAATTGATCCTGTATTTTCAATCATCCTACATGACCTAATTGGATCGACCATTTTAATGGAACGGTCTCATCAATTCGAGCAGCCAGTCAATTAAATCTAACAATCCATTTAACTGATCTCCTCCTGCCCCCCACAACACTAGCAACGATTTGAACGGATGGAATTCACAGGTTGTTTTCACATCATGTACACACGGCCTTAATGACGAAACTGGACCCGTGCCACTGCTGAGCTCATCGATTATACAGAAATCACTCCCTAATATGTGATCTCCCCACCTTCTTTCAAAATAAAATAAAATAAGAATCAAGTGGTCTGGTGGCCGAAGAGTGCCTTGGCCTGAGGCTGTGAGGATCACAGAACCCAGCCTTTAAATGTCTTAGTATGTCTAAGTCTTATGTCTTATTATGTTAATGTCTTGGTATGGCTGGGTGCGGTGGCTCACACCTGTAATCCCAGCACTTTGGGAGGATGAGGTGGGTGGATCACGTGGTCAGGAGTTCAAGACCAGCCTGGCCAACACTGGTGAAACCCCGTCTCTATGCAAAATACAAAAATTAGCTGGGCGTGGTGGCACACACCTGTAATCCCAGCTACTTGGGAGGCTGAGGCAGGAGAATGACTTGAACCAGAGAGGCACAGGTTGTAGTGAGCCAAGATAGTGCCACTGCATTCCAGCCTGGGCAAGAGAGCGAGATTCCATCAAAAAAAAAAAAAAAGTCTTAGTACGACTCCTGCCAAAATGGACTTGAGGCAGCAGACACCCACTCAGTACATTACAGGTCTCTGCATGCATTTCCATGGGTGTCTGAGCCTGTCAATGTGACCACAGGTTCCAGAAAATTCACAGCACTCTCCAGTATAAATATTCTGTCCTGTTTTCCCCATAAGTGTACCTCCCTGGGTCCTCATTTTTTTTATTTCAAAACTATGGTCACTGCAGCATTCAGAACTTTAACAGTCCCCTTCTGGCCGCCTACAAGGTCTCAAGTGCCCATTAAAACATGGTTATAGGGCTCTCTCATAAATTGCCAGAGTGTGTAAATTGATACAACTTCCATAGTAGGCAATTTGACAAAAATCTATCAAAATCACAAACACATATATCCTTTGTCCAGAAAGTCCACTTCTCAGAATTTGTCTCACATAGAAACATATTCTCAGACTTACGGAATAACCTAAATATAGGATTAGTCGTTACAGCTTTGGCTGTAATAGCAGAAGATTGCATGCTATGTCAATGTTCATCAGTCAGTCACTGGTAAAATGCAGTATCATAAATCCATACCACGAAATAATATACAGCCATCAAACGAGGAAACTCTATGCATTGATATGGATCAACCCTCCAGACAGAATATAAAATGTCTAAACTTCAAGATGAAAACAATATATATAGCAAGCTTCTATTTATTTATTTTTTAAAGGAAACACTTATTGATGCATTTGCTTTTTTATGCGTAATGTGGCTCTGGAAAAATGCACAGGAAATAGTGAATGCCTTAAGGGAGATCGCTGGTAGGCCAGGGGTTGGAGACTTACAGGAGTGGGAGGAAGACATTTGATCATAGTCTTCTTTTTTGCTTTGAATCTAGAAGCACAAAAAGCTTTAAATATTTAAAATTTTGTATTTTTTTTTTCAGTGGTTTGGCAAGCCTCCCAGGCCCCCAACATCCACTTAGACCCCAAGTCCCCAGTCTTCGTCTAAAGGCTATCTATCTATCTATCATCTATCTATCTGTCTCTCAGGTCTGGGTCTCTAGGTATACTTTTTTTTTCCTCTCTGGAGTCCTCCTTTCTCCCAGGACCTTTTGTGTCCATGACTAGGGGACAACTTGCCTGTCTGAAACACTTGAGCAACTCTCACTCACCTCACTCAACTAAGGTGCTTATGACCCCTCTGTGTCCAAGGCCCGATAGGGACAGTGAGGGGACCCCAGAGCCAGGCTTGACCTATCACACACCCTTAGGTGTTGGAAAGAACAGGCAGCTCCTCAGCTGTGTGTAGTAGACAAAGGGGAGGTTCAGTGTCTTCAGCTGTGCATGGCAGCCCCATTACTCCAGGCCTGTGTTCTCTTTTTTCCTTTTTTTCGATAGAGTTTCACTCTTGTTGCCCAGGCTGGACTGCAATGGCGCGATCTCAGCTCACCACAACCTCCGCCTCCCGGGTTCAAGTGATTCTCCTTCCTCAGCCTCCAGAGTAGTTGGGATTACAGGCGCATGCCACCAAGCCCAGCTAATTTTGTATTTTTAGTAGAGACGGGGTTTCTCCATGTTGGTCAGGCTGGTCTTGAACTCCCGACCTCAAGTGATCCACCCGCCTTGGCCTCCCAAAGTGCTAGGATTAAAGGCATGAGCCACAGTGCCCGGCTGTGTTCTCCTCTTTCTGACTTCTGGGATGGTCTCAGATCTGAAGCCCAGGACAAGAGCATTACAGGGTTTTATTGAGGAAGGTGTGAGGTAAGGCCTGAGGATCTTCCCACCTCCTCTTTCTTGTAGCTCAAAAAACTAATTTTCTTTCTTACTAAAAATATACTTAGTGATAGGATACATTCTTGCTGAGTGATAACCCCACTCTGTCTCATTCAATTAAAATAATAATGTGTTTTATTCATTCAGTTTTTCATTTATTTAGGCAAAACATCATGCAACAGCTAGTTATTTGGCAGAAAAAAACTGAAACTGACTCCCTCAAGTCTGGCAGCTGTGCAGACAATCATAGGAACAATAGGTGGCCGAGGTAACTTTGGGAATATGTCTCTGGCATTTGACAAAATTCGCTGTACCTTTCCATCTCCTATTCCAAATGTCAGTGATAAAGCCTAGTACCCTTCACAGAGCCTTCCTTTAAGGATGCACATATCGGCCAGGCACGGTGGCTCACGCCTGTAATCTCAGCACTTTGGGAGGCCAAGGCAGGTGGATCATTTGAGGTCAGGAGTTCAGGACCAGCCTGACCAACATGGTGAAACCATATCTCTACTAAAAATTCAAAAAATTAGCTGAGTGTGGTGGCACATGCTTGTGGTCCCAGCTACTCGGGAGGCTGAGGCAGGAGAATCGCTTGAATTTGGGAGGTGGAGGTTGCAGTGAACAGAGATTGCGCCACTGCACTCCAGCCTGGGCACTCCAGCATGGGCAACAGAGGGAGACTCGTGTCAAAAAAAAAAAAAAAAAAAGAATTCACATATCTGCTTTATCACAAATACATAATATCTAAAAGCATCCCATTCATTCATTCAACAAATATTTATTGAAATGCCATCGGCGCCAAGTGCTGCAGAAACAACAGCAAACAACAAAGGGCCCTGCTGTCATGGGGAGAAAGTCATAAACACATAAATCATAATCACATGGAGAAAAGTCTATGAAGAAAAATAAAACACATGCTTCTGAGTGATGAGTACCCAGCATTTTCTCCTTTTTGCCTTAGAAAGTACAAAAGGGAGAGAAAGAAACTAAGCCGTTGGCCATTCAACGACATCTAAATAAACCACACTGAACCAAACGCCTGGTAAATTCCTGGGTGCGAAAGTTTCGGTTTCCAGCAACACAGACTATTTCCGTGAAATGACAGGTTAATTCTGCTAACAACCGAGTTTGAAATGGACAATGGCTGTCAGTGGTCCAGGACAGACCTTTAGAGATTAATAAAATAAACAAAAGTCCCTACCAGTCTGAAGATAAATATTCTTCCAGATTTAAAAATATGCTAAACCTAGACAGCCAGGAATAAAGCAAGAAGGATAACAGGAATGAATGGAAGCCCTTCGCACAGAAATGGAAACCTGGGGAGTTGAGAAAGAGTGGTGTTATTAAAGCAAGCCTCCAAAGTCATTGCTGGTAAAAATAAACAAATAAATAAATAGCATCGTTTACAAAGAGAAGCAAAAAGTTGATGTTGTGTCCAGTGATCTATCCTGAGGTTAGGTAGAAGGTGCAGAATATAAAAAGGTGCCTGTTTATCCCATACTACACACAGCAGTATCAGAATAGCAATATCACACTCTAACACTTGGTGTAATTTATGAGAGTTGTTTAAAAAATGCTTTCATGCCGGGCACAGTGGCTCACAACACCTGTAATCCCAGCACTTTGGGAGGCCAAGGTGGGAGGATCACTTGGGGCCAGGAGTTTGAGAACTGCCTAGGCAACATAGCAACAACATCCAGTCTCTCCAAAAAAAAAAAGTTAGCCCAGCATAGTGGCGTGCACCTGTAGTCCCAGCTATTTGGGAGGCTGAGTTAGGAGGATTGCTTAAGCCCAGGAGTTCGAGGTTACAGTGAGTTATGAATCCACCATTGCATTCCAGCCTGGGCAACAGGTTGTCTCAAAAACAAACAAAAAAATGTCTTCATATGCTTTCCCATTTCCCCCGATTTTTGTGGTCATCCTATATCTGCATTGTCAGATCGTATAACCATCATATGCACTGTCCTGCCTCCGGTTTAGCCCTCATTTAATCTTAGCTCTAGAGTAACTATCAACCCCAGCCCTGTGTCACTGTCCTCTAGCCATTTTGCTTGTCTACAGCTAGTTCTTTCCAAGAGTCTGTAGGAAGGGGCTGTCTGAAAGATGTTACTCCATTTTTTTCTAGCATAAAACATCGTTGTCAAAAATCTGATGATAATCGAATTCACTTTCGGGGTCAGGTTCTTGCCCAAAGGATTTCTTTTCCTTTTTGTAAGCCCCCAAATTTTGCTAGAATATGTCTCAGTGTTGATCATTCTGGGTCAATATTCTCAGGAATATGGTAATTTTCAAAATGTAGTTGTTGTATTTCAGGAAAACTGTCTTGAGTTAGAGTTCTTAGTTCTATGCCATTGCTTTGCTTCTTGGGGGGAGACCACTATTGTGTTAGCTACCATCCACATAGACCCTGCGTCTTGGACTTCCCAGCATAGTCCCCACCCTCTCTCGCTCTTCCAGGCACTTACGTAGCACTTACTGACTGGGCTGTGGCACTCACTCCTCCATTTTTTTCTCTCATTCCCTGCTTTTTCTTTACTTCATGCACTTTTTTCTCTTCTCCCTAAAAAAGACCACAAATCCTTAAGAGCCAGTACATTGCCTTATTCATCTTTTCCGTATATCCAAAACTGTTCTCACCTACCACAGCTCTGAGTTCCTTGTAGATACTCATCAGATTTCTTGTAATTGAATCAAATAACCTCTGTGCCCTGAGACTCCCCCTGAGTGGCTCCCAGGGGACTGTAATAATCTGCCTCTTGCAGGAAAGTCGAGGACGTGATAGGGATCTGAAAGCAGAAAGCTCCTTTAAATTTTCAGTAGGTGGTTGGGAGCCCAATCACCGGCTGTACGGTCCCTGTAGGCCTTACCTAATCCGCTGTCATAATCCTGGATGAAATGCATAGGCTTATTCTGCTAAATCTGATTGCTTGGTTCAAAAAGTAATGCATAGCTTCATATATCACAATAACAAGGAGGAAAGGCCGTTAAAATATTTACTTATACTTGCTGGGCATGTGGTCATTTGGGTGTGATCCACTTTGCCTGCCTTACACACTTGCTTTGTTTAATAACATTTTTCTTAAAACAGAACTATTCCTGATTCTGTTGTTTATAAAGGAAATAATTTTCATGTACTATGATGAAGGCAGTCTCTTATTTTGTGTTTGACTGATATTCCATTGACGTATTCCAGACAATTAAAGTGATCTCCAAGGTAGTGGAGTAGCTTTTTACCTACTAGGTTTAAATAATTTTTAATCTTTTCTCATTTCTAATAAAATCAGATTTAGCATAATCATTCTCTTCCAAAATCATTTGTAGGCTAGAAGAGAGTTTTCAAATGTTCTTACTTGCAAAGCCCCCAAAAATATTTTCAAAAAAACATTTTTCAAAAAACTTTTACCATAGGTTTATATTATCACAAAAAAAAATCACTTCTAGTGTTTTCTATTTTATTACTATTTTTTAGGTAAAAGTGTTATATTATTTTTTAAAGGTTTTTTCTTCAACAGGCCAATCTAATAAATACTCAGCCATCTGTTGAGAGATAAGGAATCTTAGGATAGGCTTATGAAGCCCCAAAGAGTCTGGAATTGGACTGCCTGAATTCAAATCCTGCTCCTTCACTTCCCAGTTCTGTGATTTTAAGAAATTATATAACCCTTCTCTCTTCTGTTTCTGCACTTGTTAAAATAGCACTAATAAGAAGCACCTCATAGCATTTTTGTAAAATGGGATGAACTGACACACTCAATAAACGTGTGCCTGGCACAGAGCAAGTCATGAGTGGAAGTCAGAAGCACCTGCTACAGGTCCTCCCTCTTCTACACAGGCAGCCTTCGACATCTATACGGCATCCTCTGCAATCCTTTGAGTGTTCAATTTTTTTAGACTTTCTTGATAGTCTAAATTAATTTTAATAAAGAATTGGAATGCTGGGCAGGCATGGTGGCTCATACCTGTAATCCCAGCACTTTGGTAGGCCTAGGTGGGTGGATCACCTGAGGTCAGGAGTTCAAGACCAGCCTGACCAACATAGTGAAACGCCGTCTATACTATAAATACAAAAAAAATTAGCCAGGCGTGATGGCGGGCACCTATAATCCCAGCTGTTAGGGAGGCTGAGGGAGAAGAATCGCTCGAACCTGGGAGACAGAGGTTGCAGTGAGCCGAGATCACGCCATTGCACTCCAGCCTGGGCAACAAGAGCGAAACTCCGTCTCAAAAAACAAAAGAATTGGAATGCCACTGACACAATGCTTTAGGTTGTGGTGCTTATACCACCCTCAAATTTCTACCAAGACAAAGTCAACTCTGCAACATTCTATCAGAACAAGAACAGTTTTTCCAAACTGGCCATGGAAATGAGGAGTCCTTCAGTCTTACAGGAAGGGTAAAGACAATAAACTGTCAGTGATTCTAAAATCCTCGTGGTCCAGGATATTGTACTTCTTGCCATGAAATGGCAAGAAAATACATGCCTGAAATTCTGGTTTTGTTCTTCTTTACATAGATAGACATTCACTGACAACCTCATTAATAGTGATGCTGTGCCATTTCTTCTAAAAACTCATTTAGACAAATTATCCCTTTCAAGAGCAATAACAATGTTTATACATCCCCTTTCCTGACCAAATTTACTCAGGAATGTGAAAATCCTGATGTTATCCATTTGAAACACACTAATCGAACCATCCTGGTGCTGGCTCATAAAAGCAGAATGTTAAAATCAGTGGGCCAATTATGCTAAGTAAAATAAGCCAGTCACAAAAAGAGAAATATTGGGTGATTCCACTTGTATGAGGTACCTAGAGAGAGTCAAAAACTAGAATAGAAATTACCAGGGGCTGGGAGGTGTTTAATGGGTATATAGCTTCAGTTTTGCAAGATGAAAAAGTTTTGGAGATGGATGGTGGTAATAGTTACACAACAATGTGAATGTACTTAACACAACTGAACTATACACTTAAAGTGGCTGAGATGATAAATTCCATGTTATATGTGTTTCACCACAATCAAAAATAATATTAATAAAAACATTAGAAGGCCATAATCAACTCTACCCTCTTTCTGCAAGTTTGATACTCAACCAAATTGGTCAAGTCAGAAAATGTTAGAGGAAGTTGGTGCAGGTTTAGCTTTCTTCAAGTTAGATGAGTTTCTTTCTTCCATGCACCAAGTTCATTACTCAGCCAGACCCAAGGTCTTACAGTAAGCTGAAAAGTGAGGCCCTGGCATGTGGGGAAGAGAATCTGAAGTTACAACTGCTGGAAATTGTAGTTGTCTGTGTCTTTCATCGGATTGGATCGTCAGAAACCCAAACTTCGGGAGTAGGAGACGATGACGTTTCAGCAACACAGAATAAATAAGTGCCCTCCTGCAAGGCTGATCTGGGAAATGGGGCCCAACAGCTCTGCCCTTTCCTGTAGATCAAGGTGTGTGTGTTAGAGGTGTGGGGTATCACACGATTGCACAGGAAATGGGCCATGGGCACACACCATTTGAACAGGTCCTCCCTCCTTAGGGAACGCACAGAGATAAACACTCCATCACAGGAACAAGAACAACCTGGTGCACATCAGAGGGCAAAGAATAGCACCTGGACCCAGGCCCTCTACGGTCCTATGGGAGAGTAGGTTGAGACAACGTTTTGGAGGACAATTAGACAACATCCATATTTATTCTAAAACATAAAGATTCCATGATCTACAGGATACTACTTCTAAAAATTTATAGTATGGAAGAAAATAGTAATAAATATCTAATAATTTAGTTATAAGAATGGTGGGTGTGGCCAGGCACGGTGGTGCATGCCTGTAATCCCAGCACTTTGGGAGGCTGAGGTGGGTGGATCAGTTTGAGCTCAAAAGTTCAAGACCACCCTGGCCAACATGGTGAAACCCCATCTCTACTAAAAATACAAAAATTTGCCAGGTATGGTGGTGCAGGTCTATAATCCCAGCTACTCAGGAAGCTGAGGCATGAGAATTGCCTGAACCCGGGAGGCGGAGGCTACAGTGAGCCTAGATCGTGCCACTGTACTTCTCCAGTCTGGATGGCAGAGTAGGACTTCGTCTCTAAAAAAAAAATAAAAAAATAAAAAGTGGTGGGTGAAAGGGCCAGGCATAGTGGCTCATGCATGTAATTCCAGCACTTTGAGAGGCTAAAGCAGGCAGATTGCTTGAGGCCAGGAGTTTGAGACCAGCCTGGGCAACATGGCAAAACTTCGTCTCTACAAAAAATACAAAAATTAGCTGGGCACGATGGCATGCACCTGTAGTCCCAGCTACTTGGGAAGCTGAGATGGGAGGATCACATAAGCCTAGGGAAGCTGAGGATGCAATAAGCTGAGATCGTGCCAGTGTACTCCAGCCTGGGTGACAAAGAGACCCTGTCTCAAATTTAAAAAAAGAAAAAAGAAAAAAGAATGATACATGCAGAATTTTTATAACAAGTAACTCCTGGCTTTGGTTAAAATAAATTTTGAGACCGGGCGTAGTGGCTCATGCCTGTAATCCCAGCACTTTGGGAGGCCAAGGTGGGCAGATCACAAGGTCAGGAGTTCGAGACCAGCCTGGCCAATATGGTGAAACCCCTTTTCTACTAAAAATACAAAAAAAATATAGCCGGGTGTGGTGACACATGCCTATAATCCCAGCTACTCGGGAGGCTGAGGGAGGAGAATTGCTTGAACCTGGGAGGCAAAGGCTGCAGTGAGCCAAGATCGCTCCATTGCACTCCAGCCTGGGCAACAGAGTGAGACTCCATCTCAAAAAAATAAATACAAAAATAAATTTTGATATAGCCATATGATTCAATGTAAAGCCTTTTCTTAAAAAGTATCTTTATGATAATGTTTAACAGCATGGAAGATATTTATCCCATATCATTATACAAACAAAGCAGGTTACATAATAATTTGTTTAATAGGATTTTATTTTTAAAAGGTAAATACGTAGATAAATAGATATAGGTAGCTATCTGGAAACACAGGTAGCAAATTATTAAATATAGCTATTTCGCCAGGCGCGGTGGCTCACGCCTGTAATACCAGCACTTTGGGAGGCCGAGGCGGGCCGATCACGAGGTCAGGAGATTGAGACCATCCTGGCTAACACGGTGAAACCCCATCTCTACTAAAAATACAAAAAATTACCTGGGCGTGGTGGCGGACGCCTGTAGTCCCAGCTACTCGGGAGGCTGAGGCAGGAGAATGGCATGAACCCGGGAGGCGGAGCTTGCAGTGAGCCGAGATGGCGCCACTGCACTCCAGCCTGGGTGACAGAGAGAGACTCTGTCTCAAAACAAACAAACAAATAAATAAATAATTATAGCTATTTCATGGATGATGAGATTACTGCTGATTTTTATTGTCATATGTTTGCTTCAGTGAATTTTCACTTATAGATCTATGTTATTTTTGAATAGTGAAAATAAGTTTTCTTAACAAATAAGATACATACTATACATATGTGTTTAGTATGTGTATGAATTTTCAGCCAAGCAGCATTGTATTTACACAGTGGTTCTCAAATGACAGCTCATAGCCTCTGGCCATCCGCAAGACAACTTGCAGGAAGTCTGTGAAATCCAAACTATTCTCAAAATAGTTTTTTCCTACCCCTGTAGATATCATTATTACTTAAAAAACTACAAATTATCGTGATTAGGACTTGAGTAAGTGTTAGACACATTCTTGAAAATGAACAAAGTGAGGCTGTCACTTCAAGGAAAACAATTGGCAGCATTTGTTGCCAAAGATAAAATACACGCTTTCAAATAAAAATCAGAATTGTATCAGCCACCATGAACTTAACAGCTTGCAATACTTTGAAGATTTTTCTGATGATATGAGGGGCAATATTAATGAATCTGATTGTTTTATATTATATTAAAGATGGACTGTTATTTGGAAAAGCTACATAACTCAGTGAACCAGTCTTTTTCAAATGGCCCATACAAACTGAAGAATCATGTGTGGGTTAAAGATTTATTCAATGTGCAAGGCAGACCAATGAATTTTAATGTAACAGGTCACAAAAGTTCATTAATATGGTTTCAGATTCCACATTGCAACTAACCTTTAAGTAATTACTACTTAAACGTATGGCAATTACTCAAAAAACTAAAAATAAAATTACCACACAATCTTAGCAATTCTGCTTCTGGGTGTATAACCAAAAGAAGTAAAAGCAGGGACTCAATCAGGCATTTGTGCAACTATCTTCACAGCAGCAATATTCACAATAACCAAAAAGTGGATGCAACCCAAGTGTCTTTGAAGGAATAAATGAATGAATGAATGAATGAACAAAATGTGGTATATACATGTAATTGGGATATTATTCAGCCTTAAAAAGGAAGGAAATTTGGACACATTCTACAACATGGATGAACCTTGAAGACATTATGCTAAGTGAAATAAACAAGTCACAAAAAGATAAATACTGTATGATTCCACTCGTATGAAGTACATAGAACAGTCACGTTCATAGAAACAGAAAGTAGAACGGAAATTGCCAGGAACTGGGGGAAGTCAGGAATGGAGAGTTGTTGTTTAATGGATACAGTGTTTCAGTTTAGCAAGACAAAAAGAGTTCTGGAGATGATGGTGACGATTGACAGCGATGTGAATGTTCACTTAAAAATGGTGAAGAAGGCCGGGTGCGGTGGCTCACACTTGTAATCCCAGCACTTTGGGAGGCCGAGGTGGGGTAATCACAAGGTCAGGAGATCAAGACCATCCTGGCCAACATGGTGAAACCCTGTCTCTACTAAAATCCAAAAAAAAAAAATTAGCCGGGCAAGGTGGCGCATGCCTGTAGTCCCAGCTACTGGACTACAGGCTGAGTCAGGGAATCGCTTGAACCCGGGAGGTGGCGGTTGCAGTGAGCTGAGATCACTGCACTCCATCCAGCCTGCTGACAGAGCGAGACTATGCCTCAAAAAAAAAAAAAAAAAACGGTGAAGAAGAAAAGAAGAAGAAGGAAGAGGAGGAGAATGGAGGGAGAGAGGAAGGAAGGGAGGAAGGGAAGGAGGGAGGAAAGAAAAGAAAGATCAAACAAACGATTTGTCAAGTTTGGGTATCACATCAAAGAAAAATATATACAATTATCTGAAAGGCTATTAAAATACTCTTCGTCTTTCCAACCATATATTTGTGTGTGGCCAGATTCTCTTCATGTACTTCTACCAAACAACGTATTACAACAAATTACATGCAGAATCAGATATAAAAATTCAGCTGTCTTCCATCTAACAAGCCAGACACAAAAGAGATTTGCCAAAAGGTAAAGCACTGACACTCTTCCTGCTATATATTCTTTTGTTTGAGAAAATATAATTATTTTCCATAATATGTTGTTATGTTAATATATAGTGGTTTTATTATTTTTAAATAGATTAATAATAATTTTTAACATGATTCTCAGTTCTAACTTCTAAAATATGATTAATGTCAGTAGATATAGCCCACATAAACAACAGCACTTGGTGGGTTTCAGTACTTTTCAAGAGTATAAAGTGTCCTGAGACCAAAAGAATCTCTGATTTAGCACGTAGTAAACCCTCAATAAACATTTGTTAAATGCTGCTCCTCTTCCCCCTTCCTCATTGGGAGTGTACCCTACAGGATAAGAAGTCAGAACTTCTCAGTCTCCATGCTTATCAATACATTACATTTCTCAAAAAATCTGCAGGAGATTTGTCTCACGCCCTGGGTCCCCTCCCAGCAGCATGTGCTGGGAATCTTGCTCTGTCCTGTTTGTCAAAAACACAGATCCTACTCTCTTAATAACCATTTGCCAAAAGTGTTGTCAAACAACTAACTGCACATAATTGAGCTTCTGAAAGAACATGCCCTCTGGTGAGTTTAAAAGAAATGTTACAAATTAAGATAATAGATGATTATGTGAAACATACATCAAAATTGTCAGAAGGCTGCTATCTCAAAAATTATGAACTTGGCAAATGGATATAGGTGGTTCCATGACTGTCCATTGAGCTTTCCCTCTTGATTCCTTTATCCAGGCATTTGCTGCCTCAGAAGTTGTTCTAATTCATATTGCTTTTCATTATAAGCCTGGACTTGTACAAAGGAGTGATTAATTAAAAAAAAATTCTCATTATTTGAGATACATTCCTGAAGTTTATAACAAAAACAACCAAACAGATGGAAGGGCTGGAGACCCAGCTGCCAGAGGAAGTGTGTTCCTGTCTCTTTTGATCCATGAAATTGATGGGATGATCATTAGTGGGGGAGTAAATAATAAGGACTCTCCTGGCTGAATCTTAGATATCTCTGTGAGCGCAATACTGAGCTTTCCTAGCAACGGAGCACACCGACTCACCTTTTGCAGCACACATTCTTGATGCTCTGCACATGGGCCAGAATAGCTTCTGCCAATCCGCACCCTGGCTCTTTTCCTTTGGGTTCTGTCTGACCACTGGAGGCCACACAGGCAAAGTGAGGACAAGCCTGGGAGGTAATGCCTCTTGGGAAAATCCCTCCACCAATAGCTTGCAACAGCTGAGAGATGAATGATTCAGCTCCCTTTTCCCTTGGATGGCATAATTCTGGAATTTACTCTACACTGTCTCTGGGGGTTCCCCAGAGATACTGAGCCTAGTTGGTCACAGGGGCCATCTGCTCAATAACGCATATTTTATTGGCTTCCTTCGACATTTCAATTTTCCACTTCCCTTCTGGTGTTTCCCAGGATCGCCTCCCAAATAAACTGTTGCACTAAAATCTCTGTCTCAGGGACTGCTTCCGGGAAACCCAAGCTATGACTGGATTTTACATGTCAAAAGTTGAACCTTCAATCACCCTTTTTAAAAATTTTTTGTTGGCTGCCTTGGAGCAGTGAGTGCGTTCTTACAAACTGAGGATCCTGCTCCCAGCACCCTGCACCTTCTCTTTGGGGGAACCCAACTCTTCCTAAAACATAGTATAGTCTGACAAGAAGCAATAAAGCTCTTTTTTTTTCTCAGAATAATATCAGGGCACGTTTTCACTGTCCGCCCACTACCTGCCAGCTGTATTCCATTTTCAGCACCTACAGGGTCCTCAGGCAGAACCGAAGGAAGGCTGGTTCTCACCAGGGTGAAAGAGGAGAAAATGCAGCTGGGCTGGGCTGAGCAGGCAGCTGCCTCCACGCCAGCAGCCCCTCACCCAGCTGGGTGGTCACATTCCTGCCCTGCTTCTCCACACGGCCACTCTCCTGGTCACCGAGTATTTGCATGGGCTATGCCCCCAGTTATCTCTGTCCCTTGATCTCGGTTTGCTTTTCTGGCCTCTGACCCCTCTGTTGGCCAAAACTTCAACTGTTATCACGCTCTTTTGTCCTAGTCACTGCTCTGTCCTGGCCATCTCAACTGACTGTCAACAGTACAGGCACAGAATGGGAGGGGATGAGGGGGAGAATTTCATTTGGTCAATTGAGTGGTTAAAAGAAAAAAGGTTGCTTTTATTATTTTTTTTTCTTTTTAAGCAAGTAACTTGTTTAACTTGCATTGACCAACCATTTGACCTAATCGACTCTTCAGTTCCAATGGTCAGGCTGATAGAAGTAGGTAAATAAATGAGAAAGAGCCCAACAGTTCAAGGCCTCCTGGCTTTTCCTCCTACTTCCGATCTGAAAGTAAGAGATTCTGCAATGAAAAAACCAAGTTTCTAAGCTTGGAAGGGAGGGCGGCCTGGCACTGTTTATTTCATGAGAGAGTCGTGGTTGAGAAAACAGAAATTCTCATGCCGAACTTACCTTCTTTGAAGTTTTAAAAACGTTCCGTAGAAAGCAAAAACATTCTAACATTTTTGTTTAGAAAACAAAAATAAATTCCTCCCTAAGGCATCCATGCTTTGGTTCGTATATTAGGCCTTCACAAATTATCTCATCAAGAATATAAACATGTCATTCTGAATGAAATGAAGCCAATTCAAATTCCTGGTTAAAAAGAACATCAGCTAGGCATGATGGCTTATGCTGGTAGTCCCAGCTACTTGGGAGAGTGAGTAAGGAAATCCTGAGCCCAGCAGTTGGAGGCTGTAGCAAACTATGATGGTGCCTATGACCTGCGCTCCATAGACAGTGGCAACATAGAGAGATCTCATCCCTAAAATATAAAGTAAAATAATAACAAAGAAAAGCCTACCTGCACTAAGAGTGAAAGGCAAAAAATGGAGGACATGGCTAGCATTTCATTGTTCCCCCGAAACACACGCACACATATATGTACACATATTTACATGCTTCCCATGTATACTCATAAACAAGGTTCATATTGTCAGTGATCTATAAAAAAATGAAGAACTTGCCAAAAAGAAAAGAACCAGAAAATACTTGACAATTATATTTTGGCTGGACGCAGTGGCTCATGCCTGTAATCCCAGCACTTTGGGAGGCTGAGGTGGGCGGATCACCTGAGGTCAGGAGTTCGAGACCAGCCTGGCCTACATAGTGAAACCCTGTCTCTACTAAAAATACAAAAATTAGCTGGGCATGATGGCAATCCCCACTACTCGGGAGGCTGAGGCAGGAGAATCGCTTGAGCCCGGGAGGCAGAGGTTGCAGTGAGCAGAGATTGAGTCACTGTACACCAGCCTGGGCAACAGAACGAGACTCTGTTTCAAAAAAAAAAAAAAAAAAAGAAAAGAAAAAGAAAAAAAAAGGAGGACATGGCTAGCATTTCATTGATCCCTCAACACAAATACACACATATATGTACACATATGTACATCCTTCCCATATATAGTCACAAACAAGGTTCACATGTCAGTGACCAAAAAAAAATAATAATAATAAAAATCAAGGACTTGTCAAAAACAAAAGAAACAGAAATTACTTGAAAATTATAATATCTTCGCTGGGTGCGGTGGCTCACGCCTGTAATCCCAGCACTTTGGGAAGCTGAGGCGGGTGGATCACCTGAGGTCAGGAGTTTGAGACCAGCCTAGCCAACATGGAGAGACCCTATCTCTACTAAAAATTCTACAGAAATTAGCTGGGTATGGTGGTGCGTGCCTGTAATCCCAGCTGTCAGGAGGCTGAGGCAGGAGAATCACTTGAACCCGGGAGACAGAGATTGCAGTGAGTCGAGATCATGCTACTGCATTCCAGCCTGGGCGACAGAGCAAAACTCTGTCTCAAAAAACAAGAAAAAAGAAAAAGAAAATTATAGCATCCTTTAGTTACGTCTATGTAAAAACATTGGCATTCTATCTGATGGGATAGGGCTCAGGCAATATTTTTCATTCTCTCTTTTCCCAATAATGAAAATAAAAGCATCTAAAAACCCTGAATATAAAACCAGATTGATTGTTTTAACAAAAAGATTAATCGGCCAGGTGCGGTGGCTCACCCCTGTAATCCCAGCACTTTGGGAGGCTAAGGCAGGCAGATCACGAGGTCAGGAGATCAAGACCATCCTGGCTAACACGGTGAAATCCTGTCTCTACTAAAAATACAAAAAATTTAGCCAGGCCTGGTGACAGGAGCCTGTAGTCCCAGCTACTCGGGAGGCTGAGGCAGAAGAATGGCAGGAACCTGGGAGGTGGAGCTTGCAGTGAGCCAAGATTGCACCACTGCACTCTAGCCTGGGTGACAGAGTGAGACTCCGTCTCAAAAAAAAAAAAAAAAAAAAAAAAGATTAATCAATAGAACCCAAGTGTTTGAGTAATTTTTAAAAAAAATTTGTATCACTATTTCATTTTTTCTGAAAAGTAATTTAATAACACATATTAAAAGCCTTAAAAATTTTATTCTGTTTGACCTAGAAATTGGAATTTTATAAATCTATACTAAAAAATTTTCCAAAATTCAGACCCAGTTTTATGCTCAAATTATCCACTAAAGTACTGATCATAATAACGTGAACCTGGAAGCAACTTACATTCTAATTATAGAATTGGACATAAAAGCAAATTATGGTATATTCATGCTGTAGAATACACCACATTCTATATTTGCTCATCAAAAGTATCCTAAAAATGGTAATGCTTTAAAAATAACATCAACTAAAAATAAGATATAAACCTGTATGTTTGGTGTAATTTTGACTATGAGAAGTGTATATATATATGTATATATATGCATGTATTTATACACAAATACATATATGTTTCTAACATTTACAGGAGGTATGTGTGTGTGTGTGTGTGTGTGTGTGTGTATGCTTTTGCAAGAGACAGATTATTACTCTTACATTTAGTAAACACATATTATTTCCAAATGCATCCATGCATAAACCACTCCATCATACCTGCTCAATCAGTTCAATTAGAACAAACTAACCACACTCTCAGGCTGCCAGGACCTCCAAAAGTTTCCAGAATGAGATTGTCACCTGGTACTCTATATTCTTGGATAATCAGGATGAGCACAAACATTTATAGGAATTAGTCACAACACCAAATTTTCCAGTTTTCTTACAGCATACAATTAAATACTCTGTGCACCATACAAATTAAGACTCCATTTATTTGGAATTAGAAATAATCTCATTCTGCAGACTAGGTCAGACTCCCCCTAATGCACATACCCAGGACATCTCCCGTACGGCATTTATCACAATGTGACTCTCACATCCACTTCTTTGTTTAGAGCCCGTCTTCCCTCATGCGTGAGAGCAGAAGCGGTATCTGTTTTGTGCCTCCCTCTATCCCTAGCCTCAGCACCAAATGGGATAGCAGATGTCAGCAATCCCCAGCTCTGTGTCATCATGCCTCACCTTTGGGTTCACCTGCCGGGAAGGAGGACAGGTCCCAGCAAACCAATGGCCTCCTACCTCAAGTCTCTGCCTCTTTCTATTTAGGAATTTGCTGGAGATACGCAGACACATTAATGTCTCCAGGGGTTCATCTCAACCAATGAGGGGCAGGAAGTAATGCCCCACCCCACCCCCATCTTCTTTATGGACAATTCTCCAGACGCTCCACATGTTTTCTCAGAGTGTCCACAGCAGGACGGAGCCCTCCTCCTTAACACGACCTTCGTGGGCTCTCTGTCCTTCCTTGTCTCACTTTTCTCCTCCCTCATTCGTGCATCCTGGGGTGACCTCACAAATAAACTACCTGAACCCCCATTCCTTTCCTCAGGCTCTGCTTAGAGGTAAGCCCGACTGAGACCTGTGGTTCCTAGTAGGTTTTTGTTTTTTTGTTTTCTTTTTTGAGACGGAGTCTCGCTCTGTTGCCCAGGCTAGAGTGCAATGGTGCGATCCCAGCTCACTGCAACCTCCGCCTCCCAGGTTCAAGTGATCTCCTGTCTCAGGCTCCTAAGTAGCTGGAATTACAGGCACCCACCACTGCACCCGGCTAATTTTTGTATTTTTAGTAGAGACGGGTTTTCGCCATGTTGGTCAGGTTGGTCTCGAACTCCCAACCTCAGGTGATCCACCCGCCTCGGGCTCCCAAAGTGCTGGTATTACAGGCGTGAGCCACCACGCCCGGCCAGTTCCTAGTAGGTTTTTGATCAATACCCTTTGAACAGGTGGATGAGTGACTAAACTCTCACTGTGCCTCATCTGGGGCTAACAGTATGTAGTGAACCATTTTCTCATAAATAGTTTGAAAGTATTACAATAAATAAACCTATGAGAGGAATCAATAAACCAAATTTGATGGCAAATTTGCGTCTTCTGATTTTTATAAAGCAATTATGTGCTATTAACAAGTTGTTTGCATGGCTAAATAAAGCAGGTCTCTGAGAATCTATGCCTTTGTATCACAGCCATATTTTTCAGGTAAAGGAAACCCTCATTGCATCCAGGAAGAAAGCTACCATTTTGAAGGGGTCCAGTAGTCACAAACTCCCTCATTTCTGAGCAAATAAAGGTCATGGATTAAACTAAATTTAGGGTAGAAACCAAATAGTTCATTTTTTGCTAGTTACACATCATTAGGAAAATATTCTCAGCTTCACTGTTCATGAGCCTCCTCGATTTTCCTGATGGCTCCTTTCAACATCTGGGAACAGCTGGACGAGCTCGCTGTGCTGCCGTCGGTCCTTGTATGGCCCAGAGTAAACAATCATCAGGACACTGATTAATTTCTCAAGACTTTAAAATAATTAAGGTAACAATCATCCCTCACCCACACACTCCCCCATTTTTACAACCATTTAGGAGGGAGGTGGCAGAGGGCAGCCATAACATTCAGCCCAGAGTTCCCATTACTGCCCTGTAGCTTGTAGTAACGTGCACTCTTGACAGTCATCAGGGGAAAAGGTCCTCTGGCCTCCTGCACCTCAAAGGGAGGAATAAAACCCTTAGCCCCATGTAAACCCTGGAGAGTTGTTCACCCCAATCAGTGTAAGGCACTTCTGCCTCTACTTTGTGAATTAAGAGAGATCAGTATGACTGTGAGTTTCTCCTTAAGGGGAGAATTTACCAGTGTGAACCCATACAAAAGAATATTTAAGAGTGTACACCCAAAAGAACGGAAAGCAAGGTCTCAGATGATTACATGCCCATGTTCATAGCAGTAATACGCACAGTAGCCAAAGGTGGAAGCACTGCAAATGTCCATCAGTGAATGAACGAATAAACAAAACATGGCATATGCATGGAGGGAATGTTTATCAGCTTTACAAAGGAAAAAGGCCAGGGGCAGGGGCTCATGCCTGGAATCCCAGCACTTTGGGAGGCTGAGGCAGAAGGATAGCTTAAGCCCAGGAATTCAGACCAGCCTGGGCAACATAGTGAGACCCCGTATCTACAAAAAAATACAAATACAAATAAAAATAAATAGCTGGACATGGTGGTTCACAACTGTAGTCCCAGCTACTCAAGAGGCTGAGGTGAGAGGATTGCTTGAGCCCAGGAGGTTGAGGCTGCAGTGAGCCATGATCATACCACTGCACCCCAGCCTGGGTGACAAAGTGAGACACTGTCTCAAAATAAATAAATAAATAAATAAGCTGTTCAAGGTTTCTGGGACAGAATGCAGATCCAGGGCCTACAGAAAGCAATGATGGATCCCTGAGCATCAGGAATGCATTCACTTTTTCCTCGGTTCTTTGAGACCCTCCCTGAAATCCTCCCACCAGTTATGCCCTGGTTTCTTGTTTCTCCTCTGGCTTCAATTCCACTTTGCAAGCATAGCCTTCCTGACCTCTCTAAGCCACCTGCCTGCTCCTAGTCATGGTAGAGTGCTAACTCCTCCACTGCTTGGCCCTATCCTTTGGGCCTCTTGCTTGGCTCTTGATTACGTATGAACTGTGGACTTGCCCCCACTGTTGTACTGAGTATTAATTTCTGGTATTATGACTGTATTGTAGTGGAAGGGTGATATGGTTAGGCTTTGAGTCCCCACCCAAATCTCATCTTGAATTGTAATCACCTTAATCCCCATGTGTCAAGGGAGAGGCCAAGTGGAGGTAACTGAATCCTGGGGGTGGTTACCCCGTGCTGTTTTCATGATAATGAATGAATTCTCACAAGATCTGATGGTTTTATATGGGGCTCTTCCCCCTTCACTTGGCAATTATCCTTCCTGCTGCTTTGTGAAGAAGGTGCATTGCTTCCTCTTCACCTTCTGCCATGATTGTAAGTTTCCTGAGGCCTCCCCAGCCATGCTGAGCTCTGAATCAATTCAACCTCTTTCCTTTATAAATTACTCAGTCTCTGGCAATTCTTCATAGCAGTATGAAAAGGGACTAATACAAAGGGTCTCTAGACAAAGAATCAAGAGACCTGTGTTTCAGCAGCTCTGACTTCATGTCCTCTCCACCACCCTTCTTCCCACATCTCTGGACCTCGGTTCCTCCATCTGCAAAGTCGAGGAGGAGGCTCTGGGATCTCCAAGGGCTTTTCAAGTTCTAACATCTTATCCTCTTGCCCTGTTCCTCCAAAGAGTACACAAATACCTGAGTGGATGACCAGGAGCATGTGCCACTCTATAACCCCCCGGAGATTCCCATATGGTTGGCACCAACTAGTTGATGGGCTAAAGTTTACTTACAGAGCTGATGAAAGCACATTCAAGGACTTTCAAATGAAGGTAATGTTACAGGTCTGACTTATGAAAAGGCAGCACTTGGGTTGTGGCTACACAGTGCTCCAGCTCAGCCCATTCAAACTCCCCAGTTCAGGAAAAAAATCTAATGTTCTTATTTAATTCCAAAGAAATTCCATCAGTCAATACTGTGGTTTCGTTTAGTGAATTCACATGGGCTGTGGGGGATGGGGAATTAGTGAACGAGTCATTTGATGCAATAGAGATCAAGTAGCTGGTTGGTTTGATGCAATTGTCTTCTCTTATTGTAGATATTCATAATGGCATCATGAATATTCCAAACCCAGTTAATTTTAGAATGCATTAAGTTATAACTGAAAACACGAAGGGATTATTGACTTGACAAATGAAGACCAATTGTCTTTGGCAGTAGAGCTTTGAAGCAAATCTGGAAAATAAGCTACTATGGTTTGAATATTTATCTCCTCCAAAACTCATGTTGAAATTAAATTCCCAATGTGACAATATTGAGAGGTGGAGCCTTTCAGACATGATTGGGTCACGAGGACTCTACTCCCATAAATGGATTAATTCATTCATGGGTTTATGCATTAATAGGCTAATGGATTGATGGGTTATCATGGTAGTGGGACTGTGGGCTTTACAAGAAGAGGAAGAGAGACCTGAGCTGGCACGCTTAGCCCAGTCGCCATGTGATGCCCTGCACCTCCTTGGAACTCTGCAGAGTCCCCACCAACAAGAAGACCCTAGCCTGATGCAGCCCTCGATCTTGGATGTCTCAGCCTCCATAATTACGATAAATAAATTCATTTTCTTTATAAAATACCCAGTTTCAGGTATTCCATTATAAGCAACACAGGCCAAAATTTCTACCCTTTCCAATGCACTCAGCAGGTTTGCATTTGTATTGTGAGCTCATTGGAGGAAAATAAACCAGGGGGTGAGGGGCCTCCTTTGGATGGGGTGGTCAAGAAGGGCCTCTTGGAGACCTAAAGAATGAGAATGTATTGCTTCAGGCAGGATACAAAGGAGAAACAAAATCCTGGAGACAGAAAAGGACTTAACCTGCTCAAGAATCAAGAAGACATACCTGTCAAGAGATTAGGAGCAAAGGGGGAGGCATGCAAAATGAGGCTGAAGAGGCTGAGGGATCTACAACATAGGGCCATCAAGGTGACCACACAAGGTTCAGATTTGACTCTAAGTGTAATGGGAATGCATTGAAGTCAAAGAGTGACATGATCCTATTTCTATTTCAAAAATATTGCTGTGGCTATATTGTGGCAATTGCACACATATTAGCAGGCCTGCTTAGCTCTACTAAGTTCAGTGTTTTCTAAACAAGTTTGATCCTGGAACCGTTTTTCTTCCCAGAGAGCATGTTGAAGTTTTATGATTCCATTCAGATAGGACACAGCATAGAGCATAGTATAGGGTAGATCATTAGTTTCCCAAAGAACTTTTTTTTTTTTTTTTGGGACAGAGTCTCGCTCTGTCACCCAGGCTGGAGTGCAATGGCATGGTCTTGACTCACTGCAACCTCCGCCTTCCGGGTTCAAGCCATTCTGCTGCCTCAGCCTCCCAAGTAGCTGGGACTACAGGTGCATGTCACCACACCTGGCTAATATTTTCAGTTTTAGTAGTAGAGATGGGGTTTCACAATGGATATGCCTATATATAAGAATCCTTAGTGTTTAAACATTTAAATGTCTAGCAAAGTGAAAGATAATCTGTTCCTCAGAGGCAATCACTAGAATATATCATTCCAATATTTTTACGTGTTTTAAATCACTGAGATAACAATAAAAATTTAATTTTGTATCTTACTTTTTTCACTTGCTACTAGAGCAGAACCACTTTTCTCCATGTAGCTATTGCTTGCAAAGAGAGAAAACAGTGACTTGAAGTCTTCATAAAGATTACAACCTTTGAATCTGTATCCATTCTACTGATTCTATTTATATCTAGACTAAAAAAAAATTCCGGCTGGGTGCAGTGGCTCACGCTTGTAATCCCAGCACTTTGGGAGGCCAAGGCAGGTGGATCACAAGGTCAGGAGTTCAAGACCGGCCTGACCAACATGGTGAAACCCGTCTCTACTAAAAATACAAAAATTAGCCGAGCGTGGTGGCCGGCACCTGTAATCCCAGCTACTCGGGAGGCTGAGGCAGAAGAATTGCTTGAACCCGGGAGACAGAGGTTGCAGTGAGCCAAGAGCGTGCCATTGCATTCCAGCCTGGGTGACAGAGCTAGATTCCGTCTCAAAAAAAGAAAAAATTCCAAAATAGAAAAGTATGTATACATTTTCATTAAAACATGATTTAAAGTAGTAAAAAATTGGAAACATCCAGAATTTCAAATAGAGGAAGGGCCAAATTATGATAAATCCATAAGATGAACTACCTTGAAGTCATTAAAAATTCTGTTTCCTTGGCTGTGAAATGAGTTGAAAGAAAATAAAATTTAAAAAATTATGTTTTCTGCAAATGTTTACTGGTAAAGGGTAATAATTTACACTGTAATGTTAAATAAATAAAACAATAGGCTGGGCGAGGTGGCTCACACTTGTAATCCCAGCCCTTTGGGAGGCCTAGGTGGGTGGATCACAAGGTCAGGATTTCGAGACCAGCCTGGCCAATACGATGAAACTCTGTCTGTACTAAAAATACAAAAAATAGCAGGGCATAGTGGCAGGTGCCTGTAGTCCCAGCTACTTGAGAGGCTGAGGCAGGAGAATTGCTTGAACCCAGGAGGCAGAGGTTGCAGTAAGCCGAGATCACGCCGCTGCGCTCCAGCGTGGGCGACAGAGTGAGACTCTGTCTCAAAAAAAAAAAATTAAAAAATAAAAAAATTTTAAAAAAAGCAAGACACAAACTATGTCTTCTTATCCAGTTTTATTATATACACATATAAATGCACATACAATTATACACAGAAAAAAAATTTGAAATATTACCCTAAAAGTGTTCATCATGATTATTTCCAGGTGGTAGGATTCCAGTGATTTTTACGTTCTCAGCATATTTCTCTATAATTTCTAAATTTCCTATAATAAGTAGGCGTTAATTATTTTTATCCAGAAGACGAAAGATATGATTTTTAGAAAGCCTCTTGATTGAGTTAATGCATAAAAATCATTAGAAATTTTTTTAAAACTTAGATAATTCTACTCTACATATGAATGATAGCTGTAAATAAATTATAATTGTGTGACAGTCCTTAATTAGGTGGAAATAGCGGTACTTGAAAAAAGTTTCTTGGGTAAAGTTTTAAAGCTTTGGATTCATAAATTCCAAGCTAAGTGCCAGAGCTGTCAGGCCCTTCATCAGTCACTGCGTATCCAGGCCAATTTCTGGATGACATTTTGAAATGTTATTCCACCAACTTTGGGATTGGCAATGATCAAGAAGATAAGGAATTGGATTTTACAAACTCTTCAGTTCAGAATTTATTTTTTTCAGAGACTTAAAATATTTCTATTCTCTAAAACAACACAGTCCAGCCCATTCACAGAACAGCAAGCAAAAAAATAAATAAAAATTTAAAAGATGGTAATGGTGCAGAAAGAGCTTGAATAGATGGCATAATCTGCAGTATAACTCTCAAGTAACAGCCCAGCCCACAAGGCCATGGGAGAGAGGAGAGGAGAGAAGACGGGAGGGGAGGAGAGGGGAGGGGAAGGGAGAGGAGGGGAGCATGGATGTCCAATCTTTTGGCTTCCCTGGGCCACATTAGAAGAAGAATTGTCTTGGGCCACACATAAAATACACTAACAATAATGATAGCTGATGAGCTAAAAAAAACAAAAAACAAAAAACAAAACAAAAAAAAAACCTGCAAAAAAATCTCATAATGTTTTAAGAAAGTTTACGAATTTGTGTTGAGCTGCATTCAAAGCTGTCCTGGGCCACATACGGCCCATGGGCTGCAGTTTGGATAAGCTTGGAAATAGAGGAACAGGATGGGGGTGAGCTGCCCATGAAGAATAAAGCAGCTCCAAGAGAAGACAACTGGCCCCAGGGATCCACTATTCTTGTCCATATTTGTTTTACCAGTTGAGGCAGAGTATTGTACTGGAAAAAAAGTAGACTTCAGAGCGAGACAGGAGTCTAAGCCCTGGTTCAGCTCCCTGGAAATTGCATAACTACTTTAGATATTTACCTCTGTGAGACTTCAGTCTGTGCATAATATGCTGATAAGAATTCTTACCCTGGTGGGCCAAACTGAACACACCTATGGGTGGGGCTGTGGGAGCAAGTGTGTTGCTGGGAGTAAGAACCTGGCTGGACACTTAGTCACTGCTTTGACTCCTGCCTTCTCAACTGTGCGACCTTGGACAAACGACTTAGCTGTCCTGGGCTGTACCATCTGCCTCTGTAGAACCACAGTTGTTGTTAATATCATTGCTGTTGTGGAAAGTCTGCAGGGAGAAATTGATGAAGCCCTCACCCAGAAGGAAATGATTGAGGAATGCCTCAAAGAGCCAGAAAATGTTTGTCAAGTAAACATTCATACTTTCAACACATATTTTGAGTGCCTACTATATTCTAGTCACTGTGTAGGTTCTGGGGACCCAGGATTGAACAAAAAAGCAACCTTTCTCTCAGGCTGTTTACATTCAGTTTGAGGAAGATGAACTTTAAACAATATGCTTAATGGCTGGAAAACACTATGAAGAAGAATAAATCAAAGGAAAACCTCAAATGTCCATTAACAGTGATGTGGATCAATCAAATATGGTTTATTCATGGAATGCAAAGCTCTACAGGAGAGAACAGGAAAGAACAACAGCTGCATACTCAACAAGCAGACGGCTGAGTGAAGGAGGCAGATACAAAAGAATATGATTGTAGCCTGGGCAACATGGAGAGATCACGTCTCTACAAAAGCAAAAATTAGCCCAGCATGGAGGTGCATACCTGTAGTCCCAGCTACTCCAGAGGCCAAAGTGGGAGGATTGCTTAAGCCCAAGAATTTGAGGCTGCAGTGAGCCATGATCATGCCACTGCACTACAGTCTGAGTGTCAGAGCAAGATCTAGTCTCTTAAAAAAAGTATATAAATATATGTGTGTGTGTGTGTATGTGTGTATATATATATGAGTGAGATATATATATGTATATATATGTGTGTGAGATATATATATGTATATATGTATATAAATTTTTAGAAAGAATATGATTGCAGTCATATAAAGTTGAAAAGCAGGCAAAACTAATCAGTGTTTAGGGATCCATATTTGAATGGACAAAACTCAATAAAGTCATAAAATAATGATCACAATTGTTAGGATAATGATAACCACTAGGGAGGTAGGGAGGGGAGACATCAGAGAAGAGCAAGCAGCAGGCTTCTGGGTGTTGATGATGAGCTACTTCCTCACCTGGGTCGACATAAATTAGTTGTTAAACTGTCTCCAAATGCTTCATGCATTTGTCTGCATGTATATTTCACAAATTTTAAAATGTGGAAAAAGGAAAAACGAAATGAACAGACAATAAAAGTTCATGGGGGAAAGAATTTCAGAAAGAGGAAATGGTTTATGCAAAGGCAAGGAGTTGTGAAGGCACACGCTGTATTCTGAGAATCAAAAGATATTTGCTGTAGACTAATTCCTGCAAGTGGTGGGACCCACCGAAAATATTTTTGACAGCAAATTAGAAATATCCCAACTTGCACTCTGTGACAAGGAGGCAGGGAGACCAAGGTGATAGGAAGTGAATCTTTGCAGGCAGAGACCCAAGGAAGCCTGTGAGATCCCTCAGTGGATGAAATTGTCTGAGAGAATAGACTAATGGATAGGATTAGAGAACAGGCAATAGTACTGCATCACTGTGATGGCTGACATTATGTGTCAACCTGACCAGGCTGAGGGATACCCAGATAGCTGGTGAACATTATTTCCGGGTGTGTCTGTGAGGGTGTTTCTGGAAGAGATTGGCATTTGAATCCACCAACTGCATAAAGAAGATTCACCCTCACCATGGCCGGGCGCGGTGGCTCACACTTGCAACCCCAGCACTTTGGGAGGCCGAGGTGGGCGGATCACCTGAGGTTGGGAGTTCGAGACTAGCCTGACCAACATGGAGAAACCCCATTTCTACTAAAAATACAAAATTAACTGGACATAGTGGCGCATGCCTGTAATCCCAGCTACTCCAGAGGCTGAGGCAGGAGAACCCTGCTTGAACCCTGAACCCGGAAGGCAGAGGTTGCCCGGGAGGCAGAGGTTGCCCAGGAGGCGGAGGTTGCGATGAGCACTCCAGCCTGGGCAAGAAGAGCGAAACTCTGTCTCAGAAAAAAATAAAATAAAAAAAAAAGATTCACCCTCACCAATATGGGTGGGCATCATTCAACCCATTGAGGATGAAATAGAACAAAAAGGCAGAGGAAGGGCGAATTTGCTGTGTTTGAGCTGGGACATACATCTTCTCCTGCTCTCAGATGTCAATCCTCCTAGTTCTTGAGCCTTTGGACTCAGACTCGGACCTACACTACTGGCTCCCCGGGCTCTTAGGCCCTCAGGTTTGGACTGGAACCACTCCACTGGCTTTCCCAGGTCTCCAGCTTGCAGAGGACAGACCGTGGGGCTTCTCAGCCTGCATATTCACATGATTTACAGAGCCAATCCCTCACAGTAAATCTCTTTCTGTGTATCTATGTACATTCTGTAAGCTCTGTTTCTCTGGAGAGCTCTGAGTAACACAACTGCAAAATGCTAAAGAGTGTATGATAGGGAAAATAGGCAATCGATGTTCAAAACAAGGAGATGACAACATGTGGACTTCAGTCTCCAAAAATGAATTCGAAAAGGAAACAGAATTTGACCTGGGCTGCAAAAGGAGGGAGGGACATGGAGAAAGGGGAAGAAGGCTTGGGGCTTCAGCCGGGGGCTGGTGAAGGAAACAGAATTGCATGTAAGGGAGGCAGCCAGGGAGGAGCTAACTGTAAGTGTGTCCTTTTGCAGGGTAAAGCAGAGTCCATTGCTTGGGAGAGATCAGACTGCCTCATATTAGTCACTGGCTCCTAGTTCTTCCTCTGTGACCTCAGATTTAACAACTATGCTTCCTCTTTCACAGGCACAGATTGAGTCCCAACGTGCATCATCTCTTCACACCTGGGTGACTGTGTGACCTTCTTGCCCACAACATCCCCACCGTCCTCTCAGTGGTGGGAGGGGAGTGTAGAAGTGAGAGATGCTGAGGGTGCATGGGGTGCATAGGCTGGGGAAACCCACCTGGCCGAGAGCTGGCCTCCAGGTGCCGCTGTGAGGCAGTGCCTCACCAACGCTCATGGGGGTTTAATCCTCAAGAGGTGCTCTGCATGGAGAACAGATGGCTCAGAATGCACAAAGCTGACAGGCAGCAGGATGAGGATTGCAAAGTACCAACTGTCTGTTCAGAGCTGGGCTCAAATCCATGTCTGTGGAGGAACAGAAATCACAGTGGGTATAAGAGCTGTCCAGGGCCTCAGGGACCCAAACAGATTGAAGTCTGGGAAATCTCTAATTCCAGGGGAAACAGGAAATCCCAAAGCAGGTAAACTGAGGCAAAATCTCATTCAGATGGTAAGCCAATGGCACAAGGGCAGAAGGGACTTCCACAGCTCTGAGCCTACAGAGGTTTGAAGGACTTACCCTGGACCATCAAACACCAGGTTTATAAAAATGGGACTGCTTTTAGATACTACCAAAAATGAACCCTAGGCTTTTAATATTCATTTCACCCTGATCAAAATTAACTCAAGAGGAGTGAATGAAGGAAAGCAATGTCTATCAAATATTAACTATGTGCCAGATGGTAGGGGAAGTGTTTTGCAGATGAAATCTCGTTTAATCTTTTTATACTTGTTAGACCTGTATTATGGACTCCAAGCTACTGTTAAGGAATCTTGGGTTCAGAGAGCTTCAGTAATTTTCCCAAGGCTATGCAACTAGTAAATGACAGTGCAGAGCTTCAAATCTGGAGTGGAATGGACTGAGTCTGTGGGTAGAAGGTATAAGGATCTCAGGCCCGGCGCAGTGGCTCACGCCTGTAATCCCAGCACTTTGGGAGGCCGAGGCAGGCAGATCACGAGGTCAAGAGTTCAAGACCAGCCTGGCCAACACCGTGAAATCCCATCTCTACTAAAAAAAAAAAAAAAAATACAAAAAAATTAGCTGGGCGTGGTGGTGTGTGCCTGTAATTCCAGCTACTTGGGAGGTTGAGGCAGAAGAATCGCTTGAACCCAGGAGGTGGAGGTTGCAGTGAGCCAAGATACAGTGCAAGACTTGGTCTCCAAAAAAAAAGGAATCTCATGTTGGGGGAACTGAAGCAACAACAGTCCCTTATTCTTAGACTGTGCATAGATCCCATCCTTACTGGATTCCCTTTCTCCTATTTTCTCACAGAACCAACTTTCAGACCCCAACATGACATAAGTAGAGGGTCATTTGAACCAAAGACAAAGACTCATATGGACATCCACATTCAGGTCTTTAAAATGGCACTTGCAGGCCTCCAATAGAGCTCATTACTCATACATAAATACAGATACAAAAGATAGTCCATCTTATTGAAAGAGCTTGACAGATTTTAATGAGTATCAACTAGATGCCTTAAAATCACCATGTTATAAACAGGGTTAAATTAAATTTGAACCGCACTATACCATGTCAGCAATCACCAGTTCAAATCACTTGACACCCACAATAATTAATTTTATGTGTAAGTTTGACCAAGCTAAAGGATGCCCAGATAGCTGGGACATTATTTCTGGCGTGTCTGTGACCACCTTTCTGGAAGAGATTATCCCCTAAATTAGTAGGCTGAGTGAAGAGGATCTGCCCTCACCAATATAAGTGGGCATCAACCAATCCACTGACAGCCTAATAGAACCAAAAAGTGGAGGAAGGGTGAATTTTCTCTCTTCTTGAGCTGGGACATCCAGCTTCTTGTGCCCTTAAACATTGGAGATATGGATTCTTTGGCCTCAGACTTGGACTTAATTATACCAGCAGCTCTCCTGGTTCTCCAGTTTACATGCAGTAGATGGTGACTTTATGGCCACCATAATCATGTCAGACAATCCCTATAATACACGTGTGTGTGTGTGTGTGTGTGTGTGTGTGTATAAAAATATACCCTGTTGTTTCTGTTTTTCTGGAGAACTCTGCCTAATACAACACCCCATGTAATATGTTGCTTTGATGTACAAATGCCAGGATTTGTAGGAGTCCAAGAATCACTGAAGAATAAACACTTGAAGTGGAAATGTTCTGCAACTATTGAGCATGTTATCAATGTTTATATATTTTCTGGTCCATGGATCATTAATGAGAAAAAGCTAAATTGATACAACATCAGAGTAAAATTTTATAACAAAATAAATGATTATTTTTTAAACTTAATAAAATAATACAATTTTTTCCCCAGAGTCCTCAGTTCAGCCAAGATTTTCTCTGACTTCTAAAGGTTCAACCTGATTTTCTGGGTTCCCAGACACTTAAGGACCTCATGCAATCTAACAGTGGCCATGTTAGAACATTGGGAAAGCAAACCAACTGGAAAAGCAGGGGTTAGTGAGCATGTCGGAACCTTTTCCAGCTACCATCCTGTGTAGGCCCTCATTCTTTTTTTTTTTTTTTTTGAGATGGAGTCTTGCTCTGTCACCCAGGCTGGAGTGCAACGGTGCAGTCTCAGCTCACTGCAACCTCTGCTTACTGGGCGCAAGTGATTCTCTTGCGTCAGCCTCCCGAGTAGCTGTGACTACAGGCATGGGCCACCACACCCAGCTATTTTTTTTTTTTTTTTAATAGAGACAGGGTTTCACTATGTTGGCCAGGCTGATCTCGAACTCCTGACCTCATGATCCCCCGGCGTCGGCCTCCCAAAGTGCTGGGATTACAGGCATGAGCCACCGGGCCCGGCCAGCCCTCATTCTTAAGTGAGTAATGTTGCAGTCTACATTACTGCAACAATGTGTTCCCCCTTGTTAGTTTCCCATCAAAGCTTTAGCATTAATATTCACCCAAGTGTTGAACCTATAAGCCTGTTTGTCCTCCTTCCTGCCTCCTTACCCCCTAAATTCCTTCAGTTTGCTCTATATGGTTCCCAAACTCATTGACTTCCCTCCATCTTCAACACATTACCATAGTCCTGGCCACCATCATTGCCCATCCGGGTCCCTGCAGCTGTGCCGCCAAGGGACCCCTTTGTCTCTACTCCTAATTCTTCCAATCTATTCTCCCCAGAGGCCAACATCATCTTTTAAAAGTGCTAATCTGATAGTAACTTGGGTTTTTCCTAAATTCCACAGCCTTCAGCGCTCATGCTTTTCTTTCATAAACAAATAAAATAACTAGAGCGGAACCGCAGGAAGCCCTTGCTTATCTTTCACTTCTGAGGCTCCCATTTCCTGGGGTTCCATTGTGATGGATCCCTTCCCTCTCTTACACGATTCCCAAATCTTCTCTTCATTTCCCAAGAGCAGAGCCAAGGTCTCCAAAATTCCACTGTCAAGGTTCGCAAAGCCTGTAGCGATTAAGACAGACTTTGGGGTTGCATACCAGAGTGGAATGAGAACACCTCCCAATAACAACTTAACTTAGGTGTCAGGCTGTTATGGGTTGAATTGTAACCCCTAGAAAGATACAATCAAGTGCTAACCCCTAGTACCTGTGAATGTGGGCTTATTTAGAAATAGGATCTTTGCAGAGGTAATCAAGTTAAAATGAGGTCATTAGGTGTCCAATATGATTGGTGTCCTTCTAAGAAGAGGGGGATTTGGACACAGCCCCTGGGAGGAGAATGCCATGTGAAGACACAGACACAGAGGGAAGACAGCCCTGTGACCACAGAGGCAGAGGCTGGAGTTTTGCTGCCAAAAGCCAAGGAATGCCTGGGGCTACCAGAAGCTGCCTCCCTAAATGCCTATCACCAGAGTTCATCACAAGAAAATGAGAATCCCTTAGTTTACTTTTTTTCTGCCCAAGGAAGTCACATTTTACATTATTTCTAGTACACTTTTAACCTCTCTCTGTCTTATCCTTTCTCACCCAAACTATGCCCAAAGTCTTCTCATTTCAGACCCCAATGATCTTATTGTTTCTAAACCATGAGAAAAGCTCTCTTAGAAGCATTGTGCCCTCATTAAAAGCTAGCTTTCCAAATATCATTTTTTTCCTTCCCTGTAAAACTATCTTGTCACTCATCTGTTTAAAACTCTTATCCTTTCCCCCCCAGGATATAATCTAAACGCCTTATTCTTTCATTCAACAGATAATTAAGCAACTCTTAGGTGCTGTTGAAAATACCTTGCTGGCTAATAAGAAGCCATGATCTCTTCCGTCATGGAAATTGCAGACTAGTGCTGAAGAAAGACAATAAGAAAACACACAAATACATACATAACCACAAATGTGACAATTGGTCTGAAGAAAGGGGATTGGATTTTCTGAGCTAAAAAAAAAGAGCAGAAGTTAATTTGACTGGGGATTGTTCCAATTATCTATTATTTGAATTTCAAACCACCCCAAAATTTGGTGGCTTAAAAGAAAAATCAGTTATGATGTCTCTTGATTTTGTTGGTTGCCTGGGCTCAGCTGGGTGGTTCTTTTGTTCCATATGATGGAACCGCAGTCAACTGGGTGCTTAACAAGGCTAGGACACCCAAGAGGGATGATTAATATGGTGGCAGTTGATGCTAGCTGCCAGCTGGGAGCTCAAATGAGACTATTGACCAAAATGCCTATACGTGGTCTCTCTATGTGGTTTGGGCTTCTCAAAGCATAGAAGCAGGCTTCCAAAAGGGAGCATCAGAAGAGAGGAAGCAGAAGTGGGCAGGCCAATTAATGGCTTGTCCAGGAGTGGGCTCAGGAGTGATTCTGTTGTCTTCTGTCACAAGCCCAGCAACTAGATCAGTGTTGGAGAGGGTTACCCCAGGGTGTGAATGCCAGGAGGCAGGGTTCATTGGGGTAGCAGTCTACCATAGGGAGTTAAAGAAGTCCACACTGAGAAAGTCATGGGCAGGCGTGGGGAGGTGTCAAGATTGGAAAGCAGAGTATAAGTTAGCCAGGCAAGGAGTTGGAAGAAATGCATCCAACATGGGAACGTGGCTCCTTCTAGGAGCTGAAAGAAATGATGTGGCTGGAGCAGGGGGACCAAGGAGGCATAAGTATACAACAATGAGCCTGAGTCGAGCCTTCCCAGACACATTAAGGAGTTGACATTTATTTGAAACATAATGGGAGGCTATTTAAGGGCTGATAGCAGGAGGAATACACAGCCCAATTTGAGTTTTAAAAGATCCTTCCAGCTGCTGTGAGTAAACTTGGTTGGAGGAAGTAGGAGGAGGACATCATGGGAGGCTGGGGTAGGCTACCGCAGTGGCTCAGCATATAGGACCATAGCTTATACAGAGCGATAGTGTCAGGGGAGATAGAAAGAAGTGGATGGATTTGGGAAATTTTCTGGAAGTTGTCTTGACAGCACTCAGTGATGGATTGGATGTAAAGAATGTGGGAGAAAAAATGTCAAAAATGACTCCAAGTTTTCTAGCTTGAGCACTCCCAGAAGGAGAGATTAGTGGAGATTTAGGGACGAGAGCTGAGAGTTCAGTTCAGGGCATGTTTATATTTCAGATGCTTAAGGAGACATCCAAATAGAGATGTCAGGTGGGCAACTGGAGAAAGAAGTTGGGAGCTCAAAAGCAGCTGGATTGCTCTTAATTTGCCTGCAGTACGATTTTCTGGGTTTTGTTTATTGGTTTGTGTGTTTTTTGAGACGGAGTCTCGCTCTTTCGCCAGGATGGAGTGCAGTGGTGCGGTCTCGGCTCACTGCAACCTCCAACTCCCTGGTTCAAAGGATTCTCCTGCCTCACCCTCTCGAGTAGCTGGGATTACAAGCGCACACCATCTCGCCCAGCTAATTTTTGTATTTTTAGTAGAGACGGGGTTTCACCATGTTGGCCAGGCTGGTCTCAATCTCCTGACCTTGTGATCCGCCCGCCTCGATCTCCCAAAGTGCTGGGATTACAGGCGAGAGCCACCGCGCGACCGGCCACAATCTTCTGTTTATCCCCTCCAGAGCCGTCCTCCACCCCTCCCACCATCCGCTCCAGGCTGCTTCCCTGCTGAACGGCCTGCAGTTTCCTACAGGCAGTATTTTTCTCACATCTAGATCTTTGCATGGGATAATGTCCCTCTACCACCCCATCCCATGGCTACATCATACCAGATTTATAGGTTTGACCCTTCCTCTACTGTGCACCCCCACCCCCCACCTCTCACCCCACGGCACCTCTTCACGGCCCTTGTCACACTGCATTGTGGTTGCATCTTCCCTTGTCCTTCAACTTCCCCATGGAATGCAAATTCCTTGAAGCAGGAAGTGTTTCTTGTTTAGGGTTGTGTCCCTAGCAGCAGCAGACACTCGGTAAATAATGCTGGATGAATGAATTGACCTCTGACTTCAGCTTCTTCGTGTTCCAATTCACAGAGAATATCATAACGAAAGTACACTACTTTGGACATCCCTCTCCTAAGATGCCTCCCTTCCTCAGCAGCTCTGGAGGCTTCCTGTTGTTTACTGCTTCCAAAAGAGGCTTCATGCCTCTCTCTTCTCTTTTCAAATATATGGAAACAGAAAGCCTGCAAGGCCTGTTTGTTTTGAGGTTACGGTTTCTTAACAAGTGAGGAATTATAGACAGCTTCTACACATCCAAGGAGCCACCAGAGCAGGAGGCGCTGGGGATCAACAGAGAAAATGTAAAGGAGCCTCTAACACCTTCTTTTTTTTTTTTTTTTTTGAGACAGAGTCTCGCTCTGTCGCCCAGGCTGGAGTGCAGTGGCACAATCTCAGCTCACTGCAACCTCCGCCTCCTGGGTTCACACCATTCTCCTGCCTCAGCCTCCCGAGTAGCTGGGACTACAGGTGCCCACCACCACGCCCAGCTAATTTTTTGTATTTTTAGTAGAGACGGGGTTTCACCATGTTAGCCAGGCTGGTCTCGATCTCCTGACCTCGTGATCCGCCTACCTCGGCCTCCCAAAGTGCTGGGATTACAGGCATGAGCCACCATGCCTGGCCCCCTCTAACACCTTCTTGTAGGTATAAAGTCAGGTCCAGGGGGAGGAACTTCAATTCCTCATATGCACCTTTCTCAGGAGACATGGTACGTTGACATCCTTGAGCCACTTTTAGTTCATTAACAAAAGTCTGTTGCGTAGAAGCAAAACTTCCCAAACTCTCAAATGGGGAAGGCTGTCTGTGAGACCACAGATATGTCATTACAGCTGACTTTGTGCAATAAGATGATTACTTAATCATCTTTTGTACATAATAGTAAGTATGAATGGAAAAATGAAACTAGATGCTAATGATAGCAACTGTAGGTTCACATGAGCTTGTTATAATTGAGAACAAGATGGCCAGATGGCCAGGCTAAATCTTTGACCTTGAATGGCCAGCCAGTGTGCTTTAGGTAGCCAACTGTGGGTTCGGTTGTGAAGGATAAGAAGAAATAATGGTTAATCAAGTGCAAAACATTGGGAATACATTGTTGGAAGTTGAATCTACGTGAGGGGAAATTAGGGATGTAAAAGATTTTTTAGCTCTCTTAAAAGAAATGCCTTATGATATACAAGTCTATCGTTTGATTTTCAGGCACTTCCAGAAACATATTACAGATGACAGTTAGAGGCTGACTGATAAAAGTGGGCCCAGCGTCTCGGAACTATTTGAAATGCTGCAACAGCAACTACGCAGGAGTTTCCTTAAAGGAGATCTAGCGTTATATGAAGAGACAGCTTCATAGCTGATCTTACTGGTGAGAAGCATGGTACAGAGGAAAACAGCTGTCATCAGCAGTCCAAGCTCTCTAATTTTAAAAAAATAGGAAGTCTACGCTCTAGCTGGGTGGTTCTCAAACTAGGTGTGAGTCAGAATTACCTAGAATGCTTGTTAAACCCTGTGTTTCTAATTCAGTGGGTCTGAGAAGGGCAGGAATTTGCATGTCTACCAGGCTTCTATGTGATGCTCTGTGGTTCAGGAACCACAATTTGAGAACTACTCCAGACTAATGGCTTTTAACCTTGTATATACATTAGAATCTCTTGGGGAGCTTCTTAAATATACCCAGGTTAAGGCCTCAGCCCTGGTGATTTTAAATGTAATTGGTCTGAATTGTGTTCAGGCTTCAGAATTTTTTTTTCTTCTTTTTTGAGACAGGGTCTCCCTCTGTCACCTAGGCTGGAGTTCAGTGGCACGATCACAGATCACTGCAGCCTTGACTTCTAGGGCTCAAGTGGGCGCCTCAGCTTTATAGGTAGCTGGGATCATGGGTGTGCCACCACACCCGGCTCGTGTTTATATTTTTTGTAGAGATGGGGCTTTGCCATGTTGCCCAGGCTGGTCTTGAACTCCTGGACTCAAGCCATCCACCCACCTTGGCCTCCCAAAGTGCTGGTATTACTTGCGTGAGCCCCCCAGCCAGGCTTTGGAATCTCTTGAGGTTTCTTCAGGTCATTCGAATATTTCCCCAAGCTTGATGACCACTGCTCTAAACTGTGCCATCAGATTAATAAGTAGATTTGTGCCAGGTGTGGTGGCTCACGCCTGTAGTCCCAGCACTTTGGGAGGCCGAGACGGGTGGATCACTTGAGGTCACGAGTTCAAGACTAGCCTGACCAACATGGAGAAACCCCATCTCTACTAAAAATACAAAAAATTAGCCAGGCATGGTGGCACATGGGAGCCTCCCAGCTACTTGGGAGGCTGAGGCAGGAGAATCGCTTGAACCTGGGAGGTGGAGGTTGCGGTGAGCGAGATCACACCATTGCACTCCAGCCTGGGCAACAAGAGCAAAATTCCATCTCAAAAAAAAAAAATAGATTTTAGGTCCATTTTAGTACCTTTCTGTAGAAAAAGCATAAAATTGATGAGTTGGGGTGCAAAGTAAAGTCAACACTTCTATTTCACACACCTATTTCACTAAGTGGCAAATTTCTAGCTTTGAAGAAACTGATCTCCGTAGAATGCTAGCTTTTGAAAACCAAATCTTAAGTAAGGCTTGTTTTCTGACTGACGAACTTACACCCTGTTCTAGTTAAGTCAGGGTTTTCTTTCCACTGCTTTCCCACAATGCTAGACTAATTTTCAACTCCATGCCTCTCCGAGGCATTTTCTTAGTATGAGGCACTGTGTTTCCAAAAATGTCAGAAAACCAAGAGAACTGCGAGAGATGATTTGGAGGTGGGGAGTGGGCGCCCACATTTTAGGCATACATAGAACTAACAATAAATAACATTGAGTAAGTCATTCCTTCACCAAGTCCCATTTATTCTTCATGGCAAGATGCAAATCTCACTTATGTGCCAGTCTTGAACAGTAGAATCTTTGCCAGGAGCAGCGAGTGAGCCTAAGGTAAGGCTAGTGTGGCTTTAGTGATACTACCTGGGCTAGAAATTAACAGCATTGCTTTGCTTTCATTGTGCCTTTTAAAAATGATGATCTCCTCCTGTTGGCAAGACATCATGGCTTTTTACTTAAAATATGTTTCCTTTTAAAGTTAAGTAAAATCAGAGAGTGAATCAAATGGTTAAAGTAGCAAATACTAATTGTACAGATGGTGTGCCAGGTAAAAAGTAAGCAGAAGGTAGTTTGAGACGGATTAAAGACACAGAAATGCTGCCTCGTCTGAGTCCTTTCTGTCTCTGTCTTACAGATAAGGATCTCCACCTAATAGGAGAACACTCTGCAAAAGTGAGAAGAGAAGGCACCTATTATCAAAATCCATCCAGCCATAGGTGCTGTGCTCACATTGCACCTGTCGTGTGACATGTGGCTGCCCATGCACACGAACCTGTGGCACTGAAAGACCGGGGCAGGCAGCGGCTTCAGTATTCTTGGAATCCTGTGTAATAGACAGCACTTCCTGGGGGCTGCGGGGAAGCTCCACCAAGACACACGAGCCCCTCTCGCCGATCTTGTCTTCAGAGTCATTTATAAAAAAAAAATCCACCCTAAATGCTTGTGGATTAGTTGTATATTGGATTGGACCCTTTAAAATCTGAAAGATCAGCTTGCCCTCAGAATGACTCTGTGTGTGTGTGTGTGTGTGTGTGTGTGTGTGTGTGTGTGCGCATGCACGCACATGGGATTATTAAACAAAATATTGCTACCTTGTCCTTCTGTAATACTTAAGAAAACATAAAGGTACCCACATGTTGGCAAAATATATTTTATTTGTTCATACAAAGAAATAGTATGAATTACCAGAATTTCACTTGCCTAGAAACATCTTTCTCTGTGTAAAATTAATTTGTGTTATACATAGGACAAAATACTTGATTTAATTTTTTGTACATATTGGCTATCCTAACATCCAAGTTATCGAAGACATACTGCTAGAATTTGCACAGTATTTTAGATTACTTGGTTGAATGAGACTCAGTGATAAATTAATGTCACAAAAGTGAGAAAACATCTAACCACACCTTTAAGTTTTATTGGCCATCCTCTTGATAAGCTGAAAAGTCACATTAGCTTCTGTGTCAGCATCTTAGATACGTACTGTTTCTAGTTTATTGGAATCTTCCATTTTCCTTTTTTACAAAAATATCCTGGCAGGATCTGAAACTGTTTCTCCAAATGTCTAAAATATATCTGTCACACAAAATGACCCCCAAAGAGAATCCTGGGAAGAAAACAATTTCTCCTCCTCCATCATCCAATTAAGTATTTATTAAACAGTCACTATACTTAAAATACCTTTCCAGGTACCACCTACTAAGTTAACAGACTACTGTTCAAACACCGCAAAGAAAGCATGAACTAGATAGAAACAAGAAAAACCTCAATTTTTTTTTGTTGACCTTTTTGTTTGTTTTTACATGAGAAAAGAAACAAAACTGAGGAAAAAAAATAAAGTACTCCAATGAATATCAGAGCTTTTCGTGTAAATCGGAGGAAGTCCAAAACACGTGCCAGGACAAATTGCCGAAACAGAAAAGGGGGTTTGTCTTCTGGCAGCTAAAAAGTTAAGCCTGGTGGTCTTGCAGATTGCTAGAACAGGAAGAAATCTAAGTCTTATGTTACCTAACTTCTGCAGCAGGAAGATGACCGTCCGATGATGGGGTGCAAGCTCCGGCAGATGCTGCAACCAGATCTGTTAGGAACTTTAAACCATCAGACCCTTGCAGACCCTTATGAGGAGATGCACATGATGTTTGATTTATTTGTCTTACATAGAAAAACTTGCTCTATTCCATCAGTACTGATTATGGACATCTGTTTGAATTCAAGGATTTGACCCAGAATAGAATTTTGACCCACTTCAGTGTTCGTGACTAAATGACCCTCCTTCTACCAGAAAATTTCCTGTTTCAGTTTTAAGGCAGGGAATAAACAACTTAATAAAAAATTGTCCAGCTTGGAAAGAGGGCGGGGACCTGAAGGGGAGGGAAAAGCTCCTGTGTGTTTTCCTATGGCTTTGTTGCATACTCTTCTCTGAACTCTTCTGCAGTTCCACATCAACAGCCACATCAGACCATCAGAATGATCAGAAAGTAGACAGGGCAAGACCAGGTGAAGGACTTGGATACTGCCTTTTACTTCAAGCCATGTTATGCTGTAAACCGAAAAGAGGTGTTCTCAGTTTGATTTCAAATAAATGAAAAAATACACAACCAATTAGCACCCTTATGCAGGTGTTTTTCACAATCACTCATCAAGAAGGCAGAACCACGCTATGATTCTGGTATTCCCCTAAGTGCAGGTCCCACACTACTTTCTGGAGACAGTAAAAAAGCTACGAAATGGATAAAACATTGGAGAACAGGGAGAAACCTAAGAAATACACAGATCCCCCATGAGCTTCCTCCAAAACAGAACCTACACAATGATGGTTTGGCTGCTAAGTGTAAGCTAGCTAGATGTAGGCTAAAACTTTTGGGCAAATACATACTGGATTTTCAAGACATCACTTAAAGACCAGTGACATCTCTGATCAGTTTCTAAAAATGAAGTATCTTTTCATCTTTTCATACAATGTTCCTTATACTATCAGGCAAGTGATCCCATACAACATACAAAAGTGTCCTTTGTAACTATCCCATCCCAACCATTTTGACAATATGTATATCTTCCCACATATTCCTTGATGGAAGTATAACTGAAATCACAATTCTTTTATGGTAGAAGCATTCTGGTTTAAAAAACTGAGGTTAAATTAAACATATCATTATGTGATATTGCTATATGTTTAACCAACTGCCCCTGTATTACTATATGGCTACTCAATTGCCACTATATTGCTATCTGGTTACCCAACTGTTATAAATCAACAGAGAGGCACGGGGAGAGCATTCTGTAGAGCAGTGACAGTGCTGGTAACCCTTCTGTCAAGACCTGGCTAAAACAAGGGACAGCTGTATGAGCATCAGGCTCAAGGGTTTACAGGCAATATGGGCCCAGCTTTCCCAACCTTTTTTTGCAAGGGCCACTCTTAGTTCTTGCTGTTTGGCCACTGGCTACCACCCATATTATCACTCTAAGATATAATTCTGAGATGAGCTAGGAATTCCAAAGACGCATCAAGCTGAGGTGTCAGACTCCTTCCTCTGTCAGGCTGCCTGTCATTTTGAGGCCTTTGTCTTTTCTCCCTATTGAGGCTGTGAGCCTGCTGCCCAACACTGGCTGGCTCTGTACCTAGCAGCACCTTGGTAGACGCTGATGCCGAGGGACACAGCTGACCCCTCTGAGTCTCGACACCCAGCGCCCTTGGTTTGTGCTGGTGGCTCTGCTAGCCTACGGGATTCTTTGGTGTGTCAAAGCAGAACTGTCTGCCTGGGGAACGCAGCATGGTGTAGTTTCATGCAAATTAAAGGAGATCATCTTGATTTCTGAAGCAGCACCCAGGCATCTCACACATGTGACCTGGGAAAGACGGGGCAACAATCTACATACACTTCAAACTGGTTAATGAACCAGGGAATGGGGCAGAGGAGGACACAGGGCCATCCTGCAAAATCAAAAGCTGAAGTCAACAGACCCTACCATTCTGACTCTAGAAGGATGTGGATAGCGGGCGCAGTGGCTCACGCCTATAATCCCAACACTTTGGAGGCCAAGGCAGGCGGATCACCTGAGGTCGGGAGTTTGATACCAGCCTGACCAACATGAAGAAACCCCGTCTCTACTAAAAATACAAAATTAGCCAGGCATGGTGGTGCATGCCTGTAATCCCAGATACTTGGGAGGCTGAGACAGGAGAATCGCTTGAACCGGGAGCCAGAGGTTGTGGTAAGCATATATCACACCATTACGCCCCAGCCTGGGCAACAAGAGCAAGACTCCATCTCAAAAAAAAAAAAAAAAAAAAAAGAAAAAAAAAGGATGTGGATGTCCCTGTAAAGGGAGTGAGAAATTTCCCCATGTGCTGAATGGAGGGAGGGACAGAACCCTAGGGCTGTGGCTTTCAGGCTACATCATTGGACGGGACACCACATCTGCAAGGAGGCTGCTGCATGAGGCCTGCCCTTCAGAATACAGCCCTGTTGAGGCAGCTCAGCGTTCCTACGAGGTACACAGGCAGGAAGAGACAGGGAAGCTGGAATGGGAGACCCAAGACAAGACAAGGAGGCAGCAACTGGAGAACTCAGACGGTGACTGAAGGCTGAATACCCGTAACAACAAAAATCTCAAGTTGTGCTTTTCTTTGTTTTAAATATAACAGGTAGGGGAGAAGAAAAAATAGAAGCACCATCAATTGTGAAGAAGAGAACGAAATACTAGAGTTAAACACTTTGGAATGTTAACAGATTATGAAGCTAACTCTCTAAAGAGTGTGGCTAGGCAGCTTAGTGAATTAATTGCTTATGAATTAAAAATAAATTATTATAAAATAGATTTCTGTACATTTTACATACATATAATCTCTGTCAATAGATAAGCCACGTGGGTAAGGTACATAGCCCGGGTCTGCTCAATCCCAGCCAAAGTCGTGCCCGGTCATCTGGTAGAACTTGAGGTTGAAAGGCCGGTAGAACTCGCGCAGCCTGCGCACCACCTCGCGGTCGATCTCAGGATGGGTCCTGCCCTTGGTCTTGCCCAGGCAATGGGGCCGGCTGCTGCCCTCCGCCTTCTTCAGGCAGGGGAAGCCCTTGGTCTTGTTGAAGTAGAAGTGCTTGTCCGTGATGATCCTCTTGAGGCCCAGGAAGTCTTGCACGCGGCCCAGCTCCCCGGCCGGGTCGCTGATGAGCCGCTCGCCGCTCACGAAGAGCATCTGGCGGATGGGGAAGTGGCGCAGCCAGTGCTCCAGGTGCTTGGCGTAGATGCCGATCTGGATGGCGCTCCACGACGTGTCGATGAGGCCCGCTGTCCTGTTTTTGAACGTCAAGCTCTCGAAGGTGGGGATGTCGGGCCGCTTGGACAGCGTCTGCGTGTAGTCCGAGATGGCCCTGGTCACCGGGTCCCGCACCACCACGATGAGCTTGGTGTCCTTGGACATGGCCGAGATGCGCGCAGGGGCCTCCCGCGTGACGAAGTAACTGGGCGTCTTCTCCATGGTGATCTGCCCGTCCAGGGTTCTGGGCATCAGGTCCCTGAGAAACGCAAGCAAACAAACCGGGATCAGAAGGTGACGCCTCTCTGGCCACACGTCTTAAGGTCACGACTTCTAATCCCAGCTCCCTCTTATTTCTGGAAGCAGTGGTAGAAACATGTAAAATGCAAGTAGAACTTTAGAGCTGAAAGGTAGATTAGCATCCCACCTGGTTTGGAGGGCAGGTACCATCTACCGGAAAACACGAAGGCCCCTTCATGCAAGGTAGAAAGGGCAAGCTATCTGTTTCTCTAAGATCCTCTTGTGGGTATAACCTTTCCCTTATTTTCCCAGCTTTCAGATTGCCCCAAGCATCTGAAGCCAAAATACAAAAGCCTTTGGCCTCTGATAAGTGCCTTTCCTAAAACTATAGCACCCGGGACTCCCAGAGATTTCACTGTCCATGAGTCCTGCCACTAGTCTGCCTTCTCACACTTACCAAACCCAGGCAGATGTGCCATGGGCACTGGAAGGAAAACATCCCTCGGGTCCCGCCCAGTTGTTCCGGCTTTAACACAGTGACTGCTGACAAAGCCTTTACTTCACAAAGCAACAAAGCACACAGCAGCCAAAAAATCCAGTGAAATCAGGTAAGTAAACTGATACAAACATGCCACGAGGAAATTCCCAAGACACAACTCTAGAAGCCTCCAAAAATACTTTAGAGGGGTACTATGCTCACTACCTGGGTGATGGGATCAACGGTACCCCAAACGTCAGCATCATGCAATATACCTATGTAACAAATTCCTGCACATGCATCCCCTGAATCTAAAATAAAAGCTGAAGTTATAAAACAACAACAACGATAATAATAATAAAAAAACCAGGCTGGGCACAGTGGCTCACGCCATTAATCCCAGCACTTTGGGAGGCAGAGGCGGGTGGATCACCTGAGGTCAGGAGATTGAAACCAGCCTGGACAAAATGGCAAAACCCCGTCTCTACTAAAAGCTAAAAAACAATTAACTGGGTGTGGTGGTGCATGTCTGGAATCCCAGCTACTTGGGAGGCTGAGGCAGGAGAATTGCTGGAACCAGGGAGGCAGAGGTTGCAGTGAGTTGAGATGGTGCTATTGCACTCCAGCCTGGGCAACAAGAGGGAAACTCCGTCTCAGAAAAAAAAAAAAAAGAAAGAAATTAAGTGAGGTTAGATCCAGCAATCCCATTTCTGGATAGATATACACAGGAATTGAAATTGGTATGTCAAAGAGATATCTGCATTTTCCTATTCATTTTATAATAGCATTATTCAAAATTGACAAGATATGGAAGCAACTTAAGTGTCTATCAATGGAGAATAGATTTTTTAAGTGTAGTATATATGCACAATGAAATATTATACAGCCTTTAAAAAGAAGGAAATTCTGCCATTTGCAATAACATGAATGCAACTGGAAGACATTATGCTAAGCGAAATAAATCAGGCACAGAAAGACAAATCCTGTGTTATCTCATTTATATGTAGAATCTAAAAAAGTTGATCTCACAGAAAAAGAGTAAAAAGGTGGTTACCAGAGGCTGGTTGGGGGATTAAAGGGAAGATGATGAAAGACAAGATGTTGATCAGGGGGTTCTAAGTTTCAGTTAGACTGGAGAAATAAGTTGTAGGGATCTATTTCACTGCACAGTGACCACAGTTAATAATAATATGTTGTGTATTTCAAATCTTCTTCAAAAACAGATTTTCCAGTTTCTTACCACACACAAAAAATGATAAGTTGGTGAGGTGATGGATATGTTAATTTGCTTGATTGAATCTTTCTTTTCTTTTCTTTTTTTTTTTTTGAGACAGAGTCTCGCTCTGTCACCCAGGCTGGAGTGCAGTGGTGCGATCTCGGCTCACTGCAACCTCCGCCTCTCGGGTTCAAGCAATTCTCCTGCCTCAACCTTCTGAGTACCTGGGACTACAGGCGCCCACCACCACACCTGGCTAATTTTTGTATTTTTGGTAGAGATGGGGTTTCACCATGTTGGCCAGGATGGTCTCAATCTCCTGACCTCGTGATCCACCCGCCTTGGCCTCCCAAAGTGCTGGGATTACAGGCGTGAGCCACTGCTCCCGGCCATTGATTAAATCTTTCTAGAATGTAAACGTAGATCAAAATATCATATTGTACCCCCAAAATATGCACAATTATTTATCACATATATTCTTTTAAAGGAAAAAAATTAAATGAAATTCATAAAGCTGACTCAGTTTAGCTTAAATTAGCTTCTTAAATTAGTTAAGGAATTTGGGATCTAAAGTCAGACTGCCTGGGTTTAAATTCTGGCTCTACCACTTATAAGTTATGTCACTTTGAATACTTTATTTAACTTTTCTGGGCGTCTTTTTCTCATCCACAAAAATGGAGCCACCAATACGTATTCATGGAAGTTTAATGAGGATTAAACAATTAATAATTATAACATGCTTAGAATACACCTGACATATGGAATATACTTAACAAATATCAGCCACTACTACTGTCATTATTATTATCATTATTAAGTTGCTCAATACACAGTTTACGGCATATCATATGACCAAAATTCAGCATATGTGTATAAGCGCTAGTTTGTATACACCAAAAGGAGGTGTGTTAACTAAGTGGATACTAAGCTTTGATCACAGATCTACAATCAGAAAGTTATTATTTACAAGTCGGACAATTTATTGGGTGCCTGCTATTATTCTAGATACCATGTTAGAGGCTATATCATCTATTAGCTATCTACTATGGAATAGAGATTTCCAACTGATTCCTGCCTAGGCACAGGAATTAAAAGGAAAAAAAAAAGAGAATTTCCACATTATTTTTGACCAAATATTTACCTCTCAGTAAGGCATTCTAAGCTTCAAGCCATCTTAATCCACTGAGACCACAATTCCCCTATCTAGCACCGATACGGAAACCATAGAAACTTGATCACAGGAGCCAGAAAAGGCAATTCCCTAGAGGGCGGGCACTCCTTCTTGCAGACTGCCAACAGGGAGTTAGAAGAAGAGTGCTTTTCCCTTAAGGAAGACTGCCTCAGCAGCACTGGAGTCAGCCTTGATTTAAGCTAAAGCTGGATTGACCCACTTTGTCCATTAACCACTTAAATTAATGTAGCAGTGTCATCAGGCTAATGTGATTGAGGATTAAAGAGAGTCTCGGCTCGCAACTTATTTTGCATTTGACTAAAAAGCAGGTCAAGTCAGATAAAGCCCAAGTTCTTTTTCCCCTGTGTTAAGCCATCTGCAACTAGACAGTTTACAAGACATTAATATTCAGAATCAAAGCATTATCACCACGATTGAAGGAATACCAAACCCCAAGGTTCTTCGGGGCCATTGCAGAGAAGGGGGTTTAGGGGTATCTCGCTGTCAGTCTGACTTAGCCTGGGCTTGGAAGTCAGGCCACCGAGTCTGACTCTCAGCACCTCCATTTACTAACGTGTGTGAACCTGGGGAACACATCACTTAATCTGTCCATGCTGCAGTTTTCTCATCTGAATAATGAAAAAAAAAAAAGATGATGTCTGCCTCCTAGGGCTTTTGAAAGAACTGCAAAGTTAGCTTTGGTACCCAGCCTGGTACCTAGTAGGCTGTTACAAAAATGTTATCAATTATCTTCTGTTGACAGGATCTTGGAAAGGATGTAAGGAAGCAAGACTTGTGCACAGGGGACTTGTCACTCATTCAGTTCTACCCCACAGGGGGGCAATGAGGGAGGTTTGGCTCCTGGAAGAGGCTAAGTGCAGGAATGCTGGATTCTGCTCTCAGCCTGCCTGGGGTCCACAACCTTCCCTGAACTCTGCAGCCGGAATTTCCTCACTGGCCCTAGAGAAGGGCTTGTCAGTAGCTGAACAGAATGCTAAATCGGCAATTGTGTATAGGAAACCACATAATAAAGCTAGTAAAAAGGAAATGAGAGATCAACCATAAATAAAGATTCCCTGAGCCGTGGGCAGATTTACTGTGCTCGACCGCCTGCTGGTCCCACAACCCATATGAGGGCCCCTCTCCCCAGGACAGTCTGGTGTTTGTCCACATGTGTCAGAAAGCACTCAAGGAGCCTCAGAATTTATTTTGATTATTGTCAAAATAACTGAGCCAGGGGAACTACTGCTGTGATAAAGAGACTTGGCATCTCCCAAGATGCCAAGAAAAAAATTACTCAGCCGGGCTTGGTGGCTCACGCCTGGAATCCCAGCACTTTAGGAGGCTGAGGTGGGTGGTTCACTTGAGGTCAGGAGTTCAAGACCAGCCTGGCCAACATGGTGAAACCTCGTCTCTCCTAAAAATACAAAAATTAGCTGAGCGTGGTGGCACATGCCTGTAATCCTGGCTACTCGGGAGGCTGAGACAGGAGAATCTCTTGAACCTGGGAGGCGGAGGTTGCAGTGAGCTGAGATCGCGCCACTGCACTCCATCCTGGGCAACAGAGTGAGACTCTGTCTCAAAAGAAAAAAAAGAAAAGAGTAATTAATCACGCTTGTTAAATCACAGCAGCAAAGACTTTATTCAGGACCATCATGATAGGTATAGAGACCCACTGCAGTGGAGTCTTGCAGTGATGGGGAGACAGATTGGCCTCAACTCGGAATACAGCATGGGCAAGTGGGGTTTAGAGCCAAGGAGCAGGGTGGGGGTCAGTGGATAGAAACTTACTACGAGGCGCCATGAGGGGTAAGGGGAATTCTGGCTAAACCGATCTAATAGGACTCTCCCTGAAGACTGGCCAAAGTGACCAGACATCACCTGGGGGCTGGTGGAGGCTGAGGAACCTGATAAGATATCAAGGGTGAGGAGTTCATGCCAAAATGACTTATCAGGGGCCTTTGCTAAGATTGGGTTTTACAAGGAAGTGCACAGGAGGTCCTGGGAGAAGGTTCAGGAGGCGGACTGAAGTTTGGTCAAGCAAAGAACCTTTGTGACCCCAAGTGAGAAGCATGGCAGGCCTGAGAAGTGTGTGAGCGGCTCCTGGCACAGAATCATCCAGGCAAGTCCCTCTTTGCCCCTTTGGCTGCTCTTCTTCTGCCACCCTCACCCTACAACCGCGCAGTCCTGGAGTCAAGTTCTTTCCATTCACTAACTGGGCACACCTTCCTCTTCCTCTGCCCCTCCTCTGGGCACACTTTCCTGCCCTCACTCTCAGAAACCTCTCTGATCTCAACAGTGGCACACAGAAGAAAGGATGAGGATGTGGCCGAGGGTAAGACCCCCTCACATGGAATCTGTGTGCCCATCCCAGCAACCTCAGCAGCCTGTCCAGCCCCAGGCTGGCCTCCAGAGTGAGCACATGATGCAGGTTAATTGAGTCACTCATTATGAAAACCAGTTTCTCAAAGGGATAGTCAGAGCTCATAATTATATAGCGCCCTGGAGCTTGCAAACTTTCACCTGCTTTATCACCTACTTTAACGCCTTTGTGGTAGTTATTGTAATCTCCAATTCAAATGAAGACACTGAGTCTAAAGGAGAGAGGGTGACTTGCTTGGAGATGGGTCACCAGCTGCAGGTCAGAGAGTTGGGACTTGTAGTCAGCTCTCCTGATGGGCCTTCTTCCATTCATGATGATCCTCTCTTAACCCTCCTTTGCTTCTTCTTAATATGATTTAGAACATGTAGAGCTACACACCTGTCCTCTCTTTAAATAGATTCCTGTATTTTTTTCTTTCATTCATACATTAGTAGCCTAATAGGTATTTCAGTGTTAATCAGATCACTGCCGATCATAATTGTTCAAATAGGCGTCCAATTTCGAAACAATAAGGCTCTTTGGTTTACATGATCCCATTGTTAACTGCCTTCTATGAGGCCTGGAAAATCACCAATCATTGCAACAGCACCTCCCCTCCAGCAACCCTGGCCCCGCCTCTTCTTCCCCTCTTTACCACGTGGGCAGGAAGGGATACCTTTTTGAAAAGCACGTAAACCTGGCACATATCACTAATAGATGTTTGTGAGGCTGATGGGGCTAGACAGCATCTCCAGTCCAAAGCTAAGGAAGACACAATGCTCACAGCCCACAAGAGTATTCCTTGGGACAAGCCTAGGAGATACTAACCAGGTATGTGTGCCCACATGAACACAGGGTGACAGAACCCAAGAAAGATCCTACTTCTTTAATTAAACCTAAGGGCAAGGCAGGCTTGTCACCCCATTAAGATTTGGGGATGACAAGCACAATGAACTTCCAGGACCACCAGTGGCCTCAAAAAACTGGGCCACAGTGCATGATTCTGAGAACCAGGAGGATTTGGAGTATTTCAGGCTTTCAATTTGTTTAAGGATATTTCAAGAAAGGTATAAGCCAGGCTGGGTGTGCTGGCTCACACCTGTAATCCCAGCATTATGGGAGGCTAAGGCAGCTGGATCACCTGAGGTCAGGAGTTCGAGACCAGCCTGGCCAACATGTAAAAACCTAATCTCTACTAAAAATACAAAAATTAGCCAGGCGCAGTGGCACACACCTGTAATCTCAGCTACTTGGGAGGCTGAGGCAGGAGAATCACTTGAACCTGGGACGCAGAGGTTGCAGTGAGCCGAGATGGTGCCATTGCACTCCAGCCTGGGCAACAAGAGCAAAACTGCATCTCAAAAAACAAACAAACCAAAACAAAGAAAGGTATATGGGCTGGGCGTGTTGGCTCACATCTGTAATCCTAGCACTTTGGGAGGCCAAGGTGGGCAGATCACAAGGTCAGGAGATCGAGACCGTCCTGGCTAACATGATGAAACCCCATCTCTACTAAAATACAAAAAATTAGCCGGGCGTGGCGGCACGCACCTGTAGTCCCAGTCACTCCGGAGGCTGAGGCAGGAGAATCACTTGAACCTGAGAGGTGGAGGTTGCAGTGAGCTGAGATTGCACCACTGCACTCCAGCCTGGTGACAGAACAAGACTCCGTCTAAAACAAATGGTATACGCCACCTCTGTGGCACTCAGTTCCATCCCTGGAAGCATTTTAAATCATGCAGGGTGCTTTTAACTGGCGTTATATGCCTGGCCCCTCCCCACACCCATTGAATCAGGCCCTGGATGGGTGGGGCTTCAACATGGGATTCTTTTAGATGATTCTAATGTGCAAGCAGGACTGGAAACCATTATGCTGTGGCATCTGTGGGCCTGGAACTTGTCATAATCTAGTCATGTATTCTGCTGATATTCATGTGCACCTAAGTGGAGATACTATGTGGGTATAGAGGTCCACCTTCGTGGGGGGAAAAAATGAGAAGACAACATTGTCAGCAGAACTGAAAGTTGTTCAGCTAATCCAAGACTAGCTATTTGAGTCATGGCTAGAGGAGTGAAGGTCACACGCTCAGCTGCCTGTAGATCACCTCCCAGGGCCAGTGAGGGCTTGTGTCCTGATGGTCTACAAACTGCAGAGAAAAGAACAAATCCATTCCAATCAGGCAGGTCAGGTGCAATGGCTCACACCTGTAATCCCAGCACTTTGGAGGCTGAGGTGGGCAGATTACCTGAGGCCAGGAGTTCAAGACCAGCCTGGCCAACATGACGAAACCCAGTCTCTACTAAAAATACAAAAAAAAAAAAAAATTAGCCAGGCATGATGGCGGGCTCCTGTAATTCCAGCTATTCAGGAGGCTGAGGCAGGAGAGTCACTTGAACCTGGGAGATGGAGGTTGCAGTGAGCCGAGATCCTGACACTGCACTCCAGCCTGGGCAACGGAGAGAGACTCCATCTCAAAAAAAAAAAAATCCAATCAGGATAAGATACTTGTTGCCCCTAAACACACACACACACACCCCTCTGAGAGTTGGTTACCAGATATGAATCAGGCTACCAGTAAAACAAAACAAATGAAAGGAAACTAGAAGAAAGATAAGTCCACCTCTACTGGTGTGATAAAGAAAAGCTAACAGAGGTATCTAATTCTTTCATCATCAAAAGTTAAATAATATTACCCTAAGCAGAAGAAAAACAGACAGGTAAAGAATAATACTAGTATTAGATTGTCTAATTTATGCTTGTATAAGAGTTTGTGGCTGCAAATGAATCTCAGTGCTCTTTTAGAGCATATGAATGCACTCAGCCTCTCGCCATCGGATGCCTTAAGCAGCCTCAGGACTCAACAGAGTCCCCACCAGCAAGAAGGCCCTCACCAGATGTGTCCCCAAAATCTTGGTCTTGTCAGCCTCCAGAACTGTAAGAAATAAACTCCTTTCTTTATAAATGAAAGAAAGAAAGGATGGAAGGAAGGAAAAGGAAAGAAAGACACTAAGTTCTCATTTAAAAGAAAAAAATTCCATGAAAGTAAGATGAATTAATGGCATAAATTCCTGTTTTCCTTTTTCCCAATATTGAGGCAGGATGCTCAGAATCACATTTGAAGATTTAGAATTTTCATCTGCAGTCGGAGATAGCCTCTGCCCCTTGCCTTTCCTCTCCAGAATAGAGTGGTCAGCTGAGAAGATGAGCTGACTTCCTGCCAAGTCAGTTTCCCACTGGGGAATGGCGGTCCCAGGGCTTTGGAGAAACACGAGACTTTACCACTGAACATCCCCACTCTTGCTGGGGCTCTTAAATACTGCAGCTAGAAGTGGACTATTAAAAACCAACCTTGAAGGCTAAAGGCGTAGGAAATTAAAATGAACCAGAGCAGTTCTAAAAAGCCCTATAATTCTGATGTTACCCAGTACCAAATGTTGCCCTAATATCTTCTTCTGCTTCTTCCTTTCCTCGGGTGATATCCCTCCTCCTATAGCCCAGCAATTGAAGTTACTGTTTGAACTGGTAAATTACACAACAATAAAAAAGATTATTGAAATGGGCGTAACCTAACTCACAACAGGCAAACAGATGCCTGGAAATTTACGTAAAACAGATGATGGAAGTTAATGTGCTTTAGAGAGGAGAGCAAGCTGCAGCCCACATTGAGTTGGGGTAGGCCCAGTCTTCCAAGTCAATTGAGGAAAACTGGGAAGAGCAAGGGAAACATTCACCCCACCCACTTCTCCTGGCCCGTTAGGAAAATGACTTCCTTGTTTAGTTGCAGAAATACCCCACGTTTTCTGAACTCCAACAAAGACTCTTTCTCGTTTTTTAAACTTACTGTTTAACTTAGATATAGTAAAAATCATTCTTGGTGTCCAGTTCCAAGAATTTTGACAAATGCATAGAATTGTGTAACCACCACTATCATCAAGATAGAGAACAATTCTAGCATTCCCCCAAATCCACTTATTCAGCCTCTTCCAATGAAGATTTTACAAGTTCCCTTTGAAAGGGCCAAAGGTTGCCCAAATCCTTGTTTTGACACTGCTTTGGGGAAAATATTGATTGACATGAAAGAATCATCAATAGAGACATAGAAATTTTTTTTCCTTTTTTTTTTTTGAGACAGAGTCTTGCTCTGTTGCCCTGGCTGGAGTGCAGTGGTGCGATCTCGGCTCTCTGCAACCTCCGCCTCCTCGGTTCAAGCAATTCTCCTGCCTCAGCTTCCAGAGTAGCTGAGATTACAGGTGTCGCCACCATGCCCAGCTAATTTTTGTATTTTTAGTAGAGATGGAGTTTCATCATGTTGGACAGGCTGGTGTCGAACTCCTGACCTCAACTGATCCACCCTCCTTGGCCTCCCAAAGTGTTGGGATTACAGGCATGAGCCACCGCATCTGGCCAAATTTTCATATAACTGATATATTTACTGTTGCTTTTTTTTCTTTAAAGACAAGTTATTTTTTTGAAGATATCTGCTCCTAATCGGCATGTCCCAGTGGTTACTTTTCTGGGCTTCAGCTTCCTCATCTGTAAAATTAGCTCAGCAGTGGAGTCTCCAGAGGTTTTGCCCATTCTGATAAACTGTTCTCACACCAATCCCAAGAGCTTCAGCTTTTCTGGGCCTTTCTGGGCCTCAGCTTCCTCATCTATAAAATTAGTTCAGCAGTGGAATCTGCAGAAGGTCAGCCCATTCTGATAAACTATTCTCACACCAATCCCAAGAGCACGGGACAGGAAATTGTGACGTCACATCTGCATTACCTTCCAGGAAGCCCAGGTCCAGCCTCTGAGAATTCACAAATCAAAAATGTGACAAAGAGAAATCTTTACAAGATTTCCCCCCTCCCCACTCCAAAGCAAAACATGTTCCCAGCATCTACACAGTCACAAATCTGTCTAGGAAATAAGGATGCCCCCTTAAAAAGAGCAAAGGGAATAGAGAGTGCAGTTTTTTGAGTGCCTGATAAACCGACAAACATCAGCAGCTAAACTCAAAAAGAAAACACTGGGATCCTGGGGGTTGGGTGAGGGGCATAAAGAGATGATTCACAGAATATTTTAGGGCAGTGAAACTACCCTGTAGGAAAATATCATGTAGCTTCCATGTCATTATACGTATGTCCAAACCCATAGATTATGCAACACCACCAGTGAACCCCAGTGTAAACTATGAACTTTGGGTGATAATGAGATGTCAATGTACGCTCATCTATTGTATCACTTTGGTAGGAAATATTGATAATGGGGGAGTTTATGCATGTAGGGGTTGAGTAGGAGTATATAAGAAATCCCTGATGAGCCTGGTGTGCTGGCACGCCTGTAATCTCAGTTCCTCAGAGGCCCTGAGGAAAGAGGATTGCTTAAGCCCAGGAATTTGAGGCTGTACTGGCTATAATTGCTCCTCTGAACATTCACTGCACTACAGCCTAAGCCACATAGTGAGACCATATCTCAATAAATAAATAAATATCTGTACCTTCCCTTCAATCTTGCTGTGAACCTATAAATGCTCTTAAAAATAAAGTCAATTTAAAAAAAAAAAAACCATGAAAAAACACTGGAATCTAGCAAAGATTCTTCTCCCAATCAAACGACTCAGGCTCCCCCAAACTTTTCAACTACGCCTCAACTTTTGTCATTCTCTTTGCCTCTGCAATGTCCCATTTTAGCAATAATTCTCCTGAGTTGGTTTAGCTAGAATACCCCATCCTCCATAGCTGATCACCATCGATATTTAAAGGTTCTCAGCCTTGGCCGGGCGCGGTGGCTCACGCCTGTAATCCCAACACTTTGGGAGGCTGAGGCGGGTGGATCACCTTGAGGTTAGGAGTTCAAGACCAGCCTGACCAACATGAAGAAACCCCTCTACTGAAAATAGAAACGTTAGCTGGTCGTGGTGGCACATGCCTGTAATCCCAGCTACTGGGGAGGCTGAGGCAGGAGAATCGCTTGAACCCGGGAGAGGTTGCGGTGAGCCAAGATCACACCATTGCGAGACTCTGTCTCAGAAAAAAAAGGTTCTCAGCCTCTACTATCCCCCAGGTGATGTTGGGTCACCCTGGCCTGTCTTCAGTAAGAATCTGGCTAGGTGGGTTTAGCCAGAATCCCCCGACCCCTGATGATTCCTCTTAGTAATTTTCCAACCACTGATAACCTCTCACCCCCTGCCCGAAGACATCCCCTACTCCTCCCAACACCCTACCCCGCCCCCTCACCCACAGCACCTTGGCTATAAATCCCCACTTGTCTATGCTGTATTAAGAACTGAGGCCAGTTCTGAGGTCTCTTTTCCTTTGTTGCAATAGTTGTTGAACAAAATCTGTTTTTTTTTGTTGTTTTTTTTTTGAGTCGGAGTCTCACTCGGTCACCCAGGCTGGAGTGCAGTGGTGCCATGTCAGCTCACTGCCACCTGTGCCTCCCCGGGTTCAAGCGATTCTCCTGCCTCAGCCTCCCGAGTAGCTGAGACTACAGGCGCCTGCCACCATGCTCGGCTAATTTTTTGTATTGTTAGTGGAGACGGGGTTTCACCATATTGGCCAGGCGGGTCTCAAACTCCTGACCTCGTGATCCGCCCGCCTCGGCCTCTCAAAGTGCTGGGATTACAGGCATGAGCCACCGTGCCCGGCCTAAAATCTGTTTTTATACCGCTTTGACTACTATGGCTCTGGTTTTCTTTCACAGATCCCATCTCTCTTTAGTTTCTTTCCTACGAGAACAATCATTTTCTCCTCTGGGGACGCACAGGGTCTCACTCCTTAACCAAGACCAACATCATGGGTATTATTCTCATCACCTGGTTTCTTGGAGCTGCGGGCTCTTCCTGGGGAGCAGGGAGCATGCGCAGCTTTGCTGGTCTCGAAACCCCTAGCAACCACCGCCAAGCACTCAGGAAAAAGAAAAACCCTTCTCAGTTTTACAACTGAGATTTGTCAGTTAGCACGTCTTAACCTACGACATTAAAAAAAAAAAAAAAAAAAAAAAAAGATAAAAGGTCCTCTTTTATGAAAGGATGCCCATCAGTTATCAGGGACTCTGCTCTGTACCCTCACCGTGCTGAATGGGGTTGCCCAAGCCGCTCCTTGGCCTCAGCTGCTTGGAGCTGGATCCTTAGCTCCTGCTCTGTTCCTTGGGGAAGGAAGTGCGATAATAAGGGAAATGAGGGACCCAAGAACCGGTGGGATGGAAGCTGAGGGCTTATTTCAGTCTCCGCATTCCGTGGACCAGTTGCTCAATCTTTCCATTCCAGGAAAGATTTCCATTCCACCTACTCAGGTGACCAGCTTGAACGGGCGGTGGGAGCGGTTGCAGACTTTTAGGTTAGCTGCGAATGGGGGAGGGTAGAGGATGCTTCCAAGAAGCAAACTTCCAAGCTGCCAGGCAAGTCCTAGAGGTGGAAGACGCTGGCAGGTTATGGGGGGAGGGCATCTGGTACTTCAGACCAACGTGTTAAAGCATTTTCAAAAGAAAATCCAAGGGAAAAAGAAAGAGTAGGCCGCAAGGTCATTACAGTCCTAATCACAGCATTTTCTGTAATAGCAAGCATGGCCTAAACTACTGTCTTCTCCGAAAGCCAATGTACTAACCTTAAGTATTCACCCCCCAAAAACAGCCTGGGCTCTTTCTACATGACCTTATACATCCCAGGGAACCTCAGGGGTCAAAAAGACAAAGGTTACAGTCTCTCCTCTCCCCTTTCTTCATCTACTGAAAGATAAGACACCCAGCCAGGGATGCGAAAAGGAAGTTTTCCCAGAAAACTTAACATAGACATGGGGACAATGACAGAGGAGAGCTGTAATTTGAACTGCAAGTTGTAACTCCGGGAAGTTTCTTCTTTAAAGCAGCTTTCATCCCAGGGAGTGGGGTTTGGCGGGAGGAGGCTGGGCAGAAGATGTGTATCAGCCCTGCCACTCCTTATCTGGAACCTCCTTCCTTTCCTAGGAAGCCTCAAAGCCACCCTTTCTGAGAACTCCCTTCAAAGGCCCACATCTCCATAAATAATTATCTCCATTTGGGGGAGATGTTTGCATATCAAAGAACTCCTTTGGGAGGGTTTAGAATAATTTGAACTGAAATTGTAAATAGTTACTGGCTCTCAATTTCAGGTTTCGCAGCAGGATCCGTGGGGCTCCCGGAAGTGATGTCATTATTCATTAAAAGTTTACTAGGCCTTTCTCTTTCCTTTTTTAAATGTTTTAAAGGTAATGGGTAGGAAAGAAGAAAAATAACAAGGGATGGACTCCCGAGCCCTCCTCCTCTTCCAGGCCCTCTCTCCTTTCTCCACGCCCAGCCCCCAACCCCCACCACAAGGATTTGGCCTCCATTGTCCTAGAATTTCAATACTGCTCAGAAAATGAAAAGCCCTTGAATACCATAAGGGGGTGGAGCTCAAAAGAGCATCTCGCTTCTCTGGGTCAACTCAAGATCCCTTTCATTGGGGCAGAATCCTCGGTTATAGGCCCCGCTTCACAATGGCCACCTGTTCCTGTTCCTGGAAGGGGCTGGGGGTGGGGGTGGAGGGAGGGTTTCAATTAAAAGCTAATAGTCTTTTGCGGGTGAGCTCTCTGGGGTACTGCTCCTGTTTACAGGACCTTACAAACTCCTGTTTATGCCGGGACAAATCCTGTGAAATCAATGATCCTGTGTCCTATTTCCTAGGGGGAAAAAAAAGCAAAACAAAATCCAACTTAAAAATAAAATCATTATAAAGAAAGAACAAGAGTTTTCTGGGAAGCGGACTTTTTAGAAAGTAAAATCAGTGCTGCCAATGGGCAGGGGCGGGACAGAGCTGAGTACCCAGAAAGAAGGGGAGGAGGGTACCAAAATCCAGCTGCAGTTGAAGTAGTTCTGCTCTTTCCTGCTTGGACAGATTCTTCTCTGCACACGCTGGGCCAACGTTTTGTCTCTGATGAGTCCTAGCTTCCCGGTCTCTAACACCGTTCTTTTTTCTGGGTCGGTGGGGCTCCAGCCCTATGTGGGTTACTTCCCTGGCAACAAAGGGCCATTCCTCCAGCAAGCAGCTTGCAATTCTCTTTTCTTTTTCGCATGCCTCTGTAGTCCCCTCCCTGCTCCCAGCTTCATTCCCAAGAAAAGCAGCCTTCCCTTGTACCCTTGGTAGCACAGTGTAAATGTTTGTAAACTGGCCTTCACCCAGAGAGCTTGCAAAACACTCTGCAACACCAGTCAACACAGAGTTGATGAAAATCACTAAACCTCCACCCGCAAGCAACACACACACACACACACACACACACACACACACCGGGAAACCAGGAGAGAAACAGGACAAGGGGAGGGGCTGCCCAATGCTCAGAATGAAAGCAGAGTGGGCACTGGGCATATGAAACTCTAGGTTCCAGTTCCTGCCCTGCCACAGACAACAGGTACTTGGACAAGACACTCAAAAGCTTGTGCTCAGTTCTCCGCGTGTAAAAATTAATGGATTGGTTTAAAAGGGTGTTCCTCAGCTCTAAAGTTATTATAACCACCCTTTCTCCCACCCCTCCCCACATACCACTTCCTCCTACAGCCAGCAGTAGGGTGGCACAAGCTGGCAGACATTAAGTAGAACCTCTATAAATATTTGGTGTTTGAATACGTACAAAACGCACCCCAAGGGCATTGGTACAGACCACCCCCAGGAGGTGTCATCAGATGATGCTCAATGTCAAATGTACCTTAAAATGAGGCACTCAGCCTGGTGAATCAAAAGAAAAGTGGAGTTCAAGGTCAGGCTGTGTGGCCTCAGGCAAGTGCACAACGTCTCTGTGCCATCTTTCCTCATCTGTAAAAGGATAACATTTGTCCTGCCACTTTTACAAAAAAATTCTTCCAAGAATCCAGTGTAGTTTGTAGATGAATACACTCTGAAAGCAGCAAATTCCTACCTAAGGGTAAGGTGGGATGAATCCCACTTGTGCCCCCTCTTTATGTCTCCGTTGGCATTTGGCTCTGGATGAGAGAAATGCTGTTAAGGAAGAAGAGACATAAAATCGTTTTTTAAATTTAAAGGTTCAAGTAACAACAAATATTTAAAAGAGTTTGGATTTCTTGTAATTTTTCCCTTGTGCTATGAAGCATTCCATTTTTGGTGCCCTCCTTCTTAGTGCCCCTGTAGGATGTTGGAGACAAAGAAAAACTGAGTCTCCTTCTGGGGTTGACATCACTGAATGAATTAGATGATCAGCCAAGGAGGAATGGGAAATTAGGCAGCTTTTAACACAAGCTCTTTCTTTTCTTTTCTTTTCTTCTTTTCTTTCCTTTTCTTTCTTCTTTTCCTTTCTTTTTCTTTCTTCTTTCTCCTTCTCTCTTTCCTTCTTTCTTTTCTTCTTTCTTTTTCTTTCTTTCTCTCTCTCTCCCTCCCTCCCTTCCTTTCCTTCCTTCCTTCCTCTCTCTCTTTCTCTCTTTTCCTTCCTTCCTCTCCTTCCTTCCTTCCTTCCTTCCTTTTCTTTCTTTCTTTCTTTCTTTCTTTCTTTCTTTCTTTCTTTCTTTCTTTCTCTCTTTCTCTCTTTCTTTCTTTATTTCCTCATGGCACACAATTAGGTTGAGAAGGAGAGAAACAGCCCCAGTTTAGGGGCAGGGATCCATCTGAGGCTGCTAAAAAGAAGCAAGCACTGTGGAAAAGACTCAGTATCGTCAGCGACCTTCCCTATCTCCTGAGTGCAGGACCACTAGGAGTTTGGGACAAGAGAAATTTCAATCAGCGCTTGACTTAAGTCTGAGATAATGGCTCCATCCAGCTCTCTGCTTCCCTTGTGCTCAACCAACAGAACCCTACTTCACGGCAATCCACTAAAAACAGTATAAGGTAACTAAGTCAATAAAAATCTGAAGACATAAGCTTGAATTCAACTAAAATGAAGGGAAGTAAGTGCAAATAAACCCCCGTTATCATAGGCTTTAAATAGCTCAACAACGTTTTAGAAAAGCAATGAAGCAGTTGCTCTCTCTTTTTTTGCATTATTTTATTTTATTTTGTAGAGACAGGGTTTTGCCATGTTTCCCAGGCTGGTCTTAAACTTCTGGGCCCAAGCAATCCACCCAGCACAGCCTCTCAAAGTGTTGGGATTACAGGTGTGTGCCACCTTGCCAGGTGGAAAAGAAGCACTTTCTAATCAGAGAGAAGATCCCAGAGACTATAAAACTTGAGATGCTACAGACAAAGAAAAGGCTACTGTTTCTCATCTCACACTCCTTCTTGTCATCAGTACTTACTTCTTCCTAACTGGCTTGTACATATGCTTGAGGGTGACCAAGAGATGTCTCAAGAAAACAAGAGACATGGCAATGTCAATGGAAACTCTAATTGGACATCATCAATTAAAGTCCACACCCCCTTCCCTAGGGGAATTCTTTTTGTGGATTTATTGGAATTCTCAGCTTGTGAAGTTCAGATGCTACCCGGAATCAACTTTCAGCAGGAGAAAAGTAAGCCCAACCTCCCTACATTCTCATCTTTTCATTGTCATGGTCAACCATTTATTCTAAAAGCCCGATACCTTTGCAACAGATCAGTATACAGAGTCCAACCTGCCTTGTGCATTTCACATCCAAAGAGAGAAGGAAAGCATTGGAGGCCTGAAGCTATGGACAAAGGTTCTGCATTATTTGAGTAGGTTCCATGATTATTTGTTACATTCTATGAGAACTTTTTGATAGATGATGTTGCCTGACTGGTGAGTCTTAAAATTTCCAGCAACTCTTCTGTGCTTTAGACAAAGCATTCCCGTTCATCTCCCATTCTTCACCCGTAAGGAACGACACAGTAAACACCAAGGAGATTAAGTAACTAAACCATCAGTGAGAGAGCTGCTAAGAATTACAAGTGAGATTAGCCTTTTACCCTGCATTGGCTTCGTGAAAAACTGACCCTGTGACTATTTTTAAGCCTAATGACCATTTCCAAAAACAAAATCTTTAATTGCAGCTTATTGCCTTCCATGTTTTGTCTCGTATTTGTTTAGACTGTGAGTTTTAAAGACTATCTTTAAAAAAATACAAGAAAAACAGCAAAACACCAGGCATCGCAAGCACTTGAAAATATTTGTTGAATGAACAAATAAATGAATGAAAGAAAATGAATCAACTAGCAAGGCTTAAAGCTAATGACTGGAGGTCATGATGCAAATATGTCAAGAAACTCAGGGGTGAATCAAGGGCAACTTGGAATAATAAACAGGTGGGGCCAGGATTCAAAAGGGTGATGGTCCCAGTATCCTGATGTCCAAAGATGTCCAAAGATGACACATACATGTATCATCACACCCATTACATTAAGTGACGCAATGACATTAAGTGGCTATACCCATAAAAGTCTTGAACTTAAATGCTAAGCAAAAACACACAACAAATGTGATAAGATCAGAGTTCCTTATTTTACCTGTGGATCACAGCAAACTCTGAGCCCATCTCCCCCCATTGAACTTGGGATGCTTTACCTCTGGTGGCCAGTAATCAACATCTGTTCAGACTAATAAATGGTTACAGTTAATAACAATGAGAAAAATTGCACTAATTAGCAGATTTGTGTTAATTATTACTTATTATTTTGCCTTAATTATTATTAAAGTTAGTTTGCATTCCCAAGCATCCCTCAAGTGATGGCAAATGCCTCCTAGGTAGCAGCAAGAGGAAAGGAAACTCGAATTCAACTTTAATATTTGTCATAATGATGAAGGAGTCAGTGATATGGCCAGTGTGTGTTGTTGATCGGGATGATTCTTGCCCTCCAGGGACTTACCGTTTATGTTGAGAGAAATTCCAGACACAGTCAAGAGATATTATACACTTGACTCGAAAATGAGAAACGTGAAAAATTGGCACCCAGAAGTTGTGCTCGGGACAACTGAAGCTTCTTCTTCTTCTTCTTTTTTTTTTTTTTTTTTTTTTTTTGAGACAGAGTTTCACTCTTGTTGCCCAGGCTGGAGTGCAGTGGCACGATCTCTGCTCACTGCAACCTCCACCTCCCGGGTTCAAGCGAGTCTCCTGCCTCAGCCTCCCAAGTAGCTGGGGTTACAGGTGCACACCACCACGTCCAGCTAGTTTTTTTGTATTTGTAGTAGAGATGGGGTTTCATCATGTTGGCCAGGCTGGTCTCAAACCCCTGACCTCAAGTGATCCACCCGCCTCGGCCTCCCAAACTGCTGGGATTACAGGCGTGAGCCACGGCCCCTGAGCCTGCCCCAAGAGTAGGTGGAAGTGAAGAAATCAGGAACAAAAGATGCTCCTATTTAGGAACATGAACAAAGCCTACTCAATGAGACAGCCATTGGGCCACTTAGCCTGGACTGAAGTTTTTGTTTTTTGTTTTTGTATTTGTTTTTAAGACATGATGGCAAATAAGGTTAGAAAAATGGATTGGAAAACAGGCTGGGAATACCCTCATCCACTCTGTCCATCCCTCCATCCCTTGCTTCCACAGACATCTTTCCAAAAGCCAAATCTGGAAATGTTCATAGCTTCTCGTTGTGTTGAGAATGACCTGCAAACTCCCTGGCAGGGCATATATGAATTCACTCCAAGGGAATTCTAAGTTCCTCCCTCGCTCTTTCCAACCCTCCTTCCAACTCTGCTTCACCCCAGCTATCAGGAAGCACCTGTGGTTTCTCCAGTGGATCATGAGGTTTCTTGGCCCCCATGGACTTCCCTCCTCCTGGACTATTCTTTCTGGACCTCCTTCTTCTAATATATTTCTATACACTCCTTGTTCCTTTTTCATAACTATTACATTCCCAACATCCTTCCTGAAAATGCACACACACACGCACACACGTGCGTGCACACACACACACGTACACACACACACACAGAGTCATCATAACCTCTATCCATCTACTATAGCAGTCCTCCAAGGGGGTGAGGACTGGCTTATTTGCACTGTGGCAAAAATAAACAGTTGCTAGATAAAGGAAGAGTAAACAAATGCAGGAACAAATGCTAAGACAGATTTTGGATTTGACCTCTGAGGCAATGAGAAGCCACATAAAATGTAGGAGGTTGGCGGCATCAAAATCTTTTGTTAGGCGTCAGGGAGCCAGCACTTACCAGCAGCGTATCTTAAACAGGCTTAGGCTTTGAGCTGATTATAAACTCCGCGAGCCTACTAAGACCAGTATTTTTAAAATGTAAAGAAATTTGGAATAAGCAAAAAAAGATCACTAGGTGTCTCCAGTGGAAAACTTGCACTGTTTAGAGCACGCTCGCTGATTATCTGACTCCAGCCTTTTATTGCTTTTGAGAGACTCTGCAACTTTCTAAATTATATAGACAGCAATATAGCAATCCAATATAATTCTTGATTCTTGACCAGAGATATACAAATAAGTTCTTTCTGGTGGGAGTTCTCTGGACTTTTTTCTCTACCTCCTACTCAGTGGAAGAAGTCAGTTTCTCATCTATTTGTTAATTAAAGTCCAAGTAAATTTGTATTCTTTTGACTTCTCCTTTGAACCAATGGTAACATTTGCCTGGTTCCATCATTAATAATGAGCGAAATAAGGTTTTTAACACACTCATTGTATACCTTGATGAGAGCATGATTTTACCTTTTTCTAAGAAAAATATCCTTTAACAAAAAGGCTGGATTAACCATGTGCTTCTTGGAGGGGCCCTATCTGTGCCAGTAGCCATTGCCCCATGGCAATCTCTTTATGCCAGCCCCTCGGCTTAATACCAAGAACAGTCATGGTTCCCTTTCAGCAAACAGCTTGTTTTTGTGATTTGTGTAATTAAGGTTTTCTTTTTTTAAAAGCTGTGAGAAAGCTGTGGATCAGGTCCATAGTCATTTGGGGTACATTTCTTAGGACAATTCCTGGGTCCACCTTATATTCCCACTTTTGGTTTTCTTCTTTAACTGTCATGTTTTATGTGCTCTCTGTGCTTTATGTATCATTTTTAAGAATCGCCTTAATGGTGGCTCACACCTATGATTCTGGCACCTTGGAAGGCCAAGATGGGAGGATTGCTTGAGCCCAAGAGCTTAAGACCAACCTGGATAACACAGTGGAGACCCTATCTCTACAAAAATTTTTAAAAATTAGCCAGGTGTGATGGTGTGCCTGTAGTCCCAGCTACTCAGGAGGCTGAAGCGGGAGGATCACTTGAGCCCAGGAGGTGGAGGCTGCAGTGAGCTATGATCACACCATTGTGCTCTAGCCTGGGCAACAGAGCAAGACCCTGTCTCTAAAATATATTTTTAAAAAACAAACGATAGATAAAAATAAACGAAATATGTAGATTTGAATGGGGAGGGGACAGTGGGGATGTAAAAGAAGGGGCAGCTAATTCTAAACATTTTGCTACTCAGGAAGCTAAGGCTGGAGGATTACTTGGGGCCAGGAGTTCGAGACCAGCCTGGGCCACATGGCAAGACCCTTATCTCTAAAAATAAATAAATAAACAAACAAACGTTTTAAAGGAAGATAGAAAGAAAAGCCACTGACAGGTTAGATGTGGAGAAAGAAGTGGGGACAAGGAGCACCCTCAATTTTTAAGCAAAGTTGATGGAGGGCATGACACTGAAGCACTCTGTGTTCACCCACAGAAGTAGCAGTAACCCAGGAAGTTTTGAGGGTGAGGGGTGAGGAAGAATTTAGGTGTTCATCCAAGAAATGTTATAAACAAATGAAGATTTACGTCCTGTCTCCATGTGTAAAAACAGATCAAAACTGAGAGAAGGTAAGAATAACCCCAGATTATAAGCGAGAAAAGGGCTCCTGGGTCCAGAAAGGCTCATTCTGGGCAGACGAATCAGCCTAGGTTGGGGTTGGGGGCAGGGGTCGGGGGTGCACCAAGAATAATTACTGCCTCTCTCTGAAAAGCTCAGCGGTGTTCTCTATTCTCTGACAAAATCAAATAAAGACCTTTAAGCTGTTACTTTCCCAAATGAATCAATTTCCAATTCCCTGGGCTGGGAACATAGGGCACTAAGCTCACAGGCAAACACCACCTGAAGGAGAGAACAAGAGCTGAGCTCTCTATTGCCCCATTAGCACGTTTTGGAGATTAATCAAGCTCAAACCTCTCCAAAGACAATGTTTTCCTGGGTTTGCTAAATGCACATCGATTCACTTGTCACTTGGAGACAGTCAGGACTATCAGGTAACAAACTGAGGAATGGAATCAACTGACCACAAAGCTATAAAGCTGGTGTAGTTATCAGCCTCCTCACACCCAATATGAAGTTATCTCAATGCATCTGGAATTGAGATAGCTTTCTTTATGAGACAAAAAAAAAAGCACATAAAACATGACGGTTAAAGAAGCAAACCAAAAGTGGGGATATAAGATGGACCCAGGAATTGTCCTAAGAAATGTACCCCAAATGACTATGGACCTGATTCACAGCTTTCTCACAGCTTTTAAAAAGGATCCCCTTTCCTGGGCTCCTCCTTCCTCTGAAGATACATGATTCTTCACTTGTTCAGAATAGAAATAGGCCTTGTTAAATATTACGACAGAATGCTACCCTTGCTGACTACAAAAAGGTATGCAAATTCCCCAGTGCAGTACCCAAGGAGCAGAGCTCTGGAGCTTTTATGAGTTGTGGAGAATCCGAGTAAAGGGATGGACCCTCTTTGCAGCAAAATGCAGATATAAGACATATACACGGCCAGGTGCGGTGGCTCACGCCTGTAATCCCAACACTTTGGGAGGCCAAGGCAGGTGGATCACCAGGTTAGGAGTTCGAGACCAGCCTGGCCAACATGGTGAAACCCCGTCTCTACAAAAGATACAAAAAAATTAGCCGGGCATGGTGGCATGTGCCTGTAATTCCAACTACTCAGGAGGCTGAGGCAGGAGAATCGCTTGAACCCAGGAGGCAGAGGTTGCAGTGAGCCGAAATTGCGCCATTGCACTCCAGTCTGGGTTACAGGGTGAGACTCTGTCTCAACAAAAAAAAAAAAAAAAAAAAAAGACATAGACACAAATCTCGCTTCTCAACTTCAGGAGATTCACAGACTCCAGAGCAACTGTGGGCCCAGATTAAGAGCCTTGGCACAGCCCAGCAGCTGTCCACCAGCCACGGGTTGGTTGTTCTGCTGGTCAAAAGCCTGGTTGACATGATCTGTGTTAGGGGTCAGTGAATGGGGGAGAGAGGACATGGACTCTTCCAGGTTTTCTAGATTTCGGCCATCTGGGAGGTTAGCATAACACTTAGGCCCACCCAAACACTCTGCCTGCAATACATACACATGGGATCTGCCTTTATATTTTATTAAGCATTGAAATGATGAGTCGGCACAGTTTTGTGAAGTCGCAAAGATACCAGTCCAATACTCAAAGTTCATGCTACAGAAAAATAAGTTTACCCCTTGGAAAGAGGCAAACCTTTTATCAGAAGATGGTTCTCCCTGCCTTGGCCATCATGATGTCAGCTCTAAGAGTTGCAGAGCGCTTTACCTGCCACAAAGGACTAGACGTTCAGGATCTCACTGGCTCAATGTAATAACAATGAAGGGTTGTTTCCTTCATTTTAGAGAATGGGACGGTGAGGCTGAGAGAGGAGAGATTAAGTGGCCCCAGATCAAATACTGGGCAATGTAACAAAGCAGGGACTCAAAATCCAGAATGTGAAACTCTGAGTCTCATGCTCATCCCACTTCTCTACATTTCTAAGAACCTCCTAGATCAAAATGCTCAAATATAGTAACCATCCCACCTCTGACTCATCTCTAATTACTCACCCCCTTTCTAAAGAGGTTTTTGTCTTCTTTTCCTATCCGACAATTAAAAAAAAAAGGTTTGGGTTTAAATTAATTTTTTGGAATTATAGGGCCTATAAATTATAATGAAATAAACAGCACTTTATATATATATATATAAAAGAGATGATGATGATAATGATAATGATGATGATAATGATGGTGATGTGTGTATATATATATATGAGAGAAAAATTAATTTAGAAAGTGGAAGCTAAATCTCTTACTAGTTCTTTGCACTTCCGCACTAATGCCTTTATTTTAGGAGTTCATTTTTCACTCAGTCCCACTGAAACAAATGATCACAAAACTGAAAATAACTAGATTAGCCTCTCCAAACCACAGCCCTCATTCCTCGTTCCCAATTCTTATTCTGTTTTATGTACTTTAGCCTGTATTTTTTTTTCAACCGCCATCAGTGTTCTATGGAAGAAAAACACCACTTACCCACATCCTGGAACTAATATTACAGGCCAGGGTTGCTCAAGGCAGCTCACCTAAAAGGCTCTGCTGGTGATACAAACCCAGCTGGAAAGAACTGGAATTTCACAATGTGCTTTACAGGTATCGTGAGCTCACGAACCGACCCAGGGCTATCCCCTCTGCCCTCCTTCTTCCCTTTAAATAAACGAAGTGTGTAAATGGAAAAGAGAGCTGATCCTAAAGGTTCAGAGGCCAGAAGTCAAGCTCAATCCATCTTTAGAAGACGGGAGATACATGAAGCTGCGCCAGGCTAAACAAGCCTCTCGAACCAGCAGACAAACAGGCTAATAAATTAGTACTGCTAAACCACTGAGCCGAGGAGCCAGAATCAATCCAATAGGCTGCCTCCTCTTCTAGCTCATTAACTATTTGAGATTACCATCATATGGGGAGTAGCCTCTCAGCTGGAAATTAAATTAGCCTAGCTATAAACCCGGAACGTAGACGGGAAAGTGTCTGATGAGTGAGCAATCCTGGGGAAAAGTCCACCACCAAATGCTTGCCCAAACTCCATCCTCAGACACTCCAAGCTGGCCTTCCTTTACACTTTCTCTTTTGAACAACAACAAAAGGAGTGAGACTTTCTTACTTTGATGTTCAGAAAAAGCACAGTAAATCAAGGTTGTACACACACATCCCACCGTCCCTGCAAATGGTCGGTGCAGAGGGCTGAGCTCAGTAAGAAGGGCGGCAGGCACTAATTGCACACTCGGAACAGGTGTGTGCCTGCAGAGCCACCTCTTAATTACCAGGTTTGGCATTTTGGCACTGGCAGCCTGGAACTGAATGCTGGAACTGAGCGGCCAATGGGGCTGTTCCTATTGTAGGTCTGCGGAGCTGAGAAATGGAATTTCTAATTACATGGCTTCAACTTAATGAAAGACTCCTTCCAGACAGGCAAAAGGCAACCAGATTCGAAGACGTGGAACCTGGAACACAACCTGAGAGGATCTCCAGCACTGGCCCTTTTTTCTGAGTGGCATCTTTTCTGATCACCAGCAAAAGCAATTTCTGTTCAATACTATTCAACAGCATCTGACAATTCCCACTTTTGAGCTGACATACTTGAAAAAGAAAAAAAAATAAGCACAGGATAACCTGTACTAGTTACCCTTCAATGTCATGAGGTTAAGGCTTACTTACAAACATCCTCGACTCCCCTCATGCGGTCACTCTCTTCTGCTGGGTCCTTCCCTGCACCAACCATATTTTTTCCTAGGAACCTCCTTGCCTTTTCACATGCATTCCTTCTGCCATGATCTTCTTTCCCACCTGGTCTGCTCATGAACTCTTATTCATCCATCAAAACTTCACTCCCATGTCACCTCCTCCCTGAAGCCTTCCCAGTGCAGCGCCCCATCCCGCCTAGATAGATTGAAATTCTCCCTCTGTAGGATTTGTTTTTGAACTACTTCTGTTTTTGCATGTATCATGCCATACTGTGTTTAGCCATCTCACCCCTCCCTTTATTCTCATGCTCTACAGTCTGTCTCTGCAAAGCAGTCAGGGTTTTTCTAAAATGTAGGACAGGTCCTGTCCCTTCCACTCATAAAGCCCCACACACGCTGGCGTCTCACATCAAGACCTGCCTCTCTGACCCTCTCAGTCCTCATCTTTCTACCTTTTCATCTTTTTAAAAAGGCCCTCCTGCGCAAAAGCATTAAGAATGATATAATGGACTTTGGGGACTCGGGGGGAGGGTGGTGAGGAATCAAAGACTAAACATTGGGTACAGTGTACATTGCTTGGGTGATGGGTGCATCGAAATCTCAGAAATCACCACTAAAGAACTTATCCATGTAGCCAAACACCACCTTTTCCCCAAAAACTATTGAAATAAAAAAAGGCCCTCCTGACTTCCAGCCTATAGTGTCCCTTTTCTCCCATCATCCTCTCCCACAAAACCGTCTACCCCCTCACTCTTGGTGACATTATATTTTTATTAATCTACTTGTTTATTTCTTTACTGCCCATCTCCCTACTAGAATGTAAGCTACAGGAGGGCAGGAACAGTGTTCATAAAATAGGTACCCAGTGATATTTGTGAAATGAACAAATCTTTGAATCCCAGAGCCTGATACAGAGTAGATGCTCAATACATTAATGTCAGTACTTAAATTCTAAGAAACGAAACGAAAATCAGTGGACATTCAGATACAGAGAAACCAAGAACTAGCTGGAATCAACCTGATTCCTCCCCCTCTTCCCTGTGTCCACTGTTGGCTTCCAAATGGATATAATCAATCCTCAGGGACTGCCCTAATGACAATTTCCTCTGGGAGGAGGGTACACGGTGCCTGTCCTCTCAATACACTCTTATTGAGTAAAGAGAAGCCAAAGGATTTTATAATGGAGACAAAACAGCACCAAATCCAAACCAGAATGTAATTGACAAGCTGCTAGAAAACTGTTTACGGAGGGAATGTGTGAGACAGAATCTAAGTCCACCACTATACTTGAGCTTGCAATCACTTAGGAGGCACCTTTACCTGCAGCCCAGACCGCTGCTGTCTGCTAGTGCCTCTCTCCGCACCTGAGCTTCTGGGACTTACGATCCATCCATCTGCCACATCTGGAGGCTGATCAACCACAAACAACTCACAGCCCTCACTGATGTGCTTTTGCACTTCCCATCCCCCAAACCCACATCCCCAAAAGACACCATCTGGGTAAAATGAGGTGGCTTCCATCAAAGTCCTCAAAACCAACGAAAGCTTCAGTCTTGAGGAAGCCAGTACATCTGCTGCCTGGCAAATGCTCTTTTCGCAGAACACAAAATAGTCATGGGCTTGTTCTGTACTTCTGTTTCCAGCTGGGACTGGAAGAAAACACCATCCCAAAAATAACAGTGAAAGACTGAACATTCCCTTGGAGGAGACAGATGGGAAGGAGACACAGTCAGGGCAGGGAGCCACCCAGCCACAGTGGCAGCCCCCTAACCAGCTGCCTCCTGGCTGTGCCCTCTTGAGTCTACCTCTCAGCCTCTCTTCTCTGTCTCCTCTAAACAGAAACAGGATCTGATCAGGGCAACCCAATTCTGAGCTAGACCTTATCAATAACTGCAGTTACTTTTATATGCTAACATGGAAGGTTCCCAAACTTAGCTGAGTTCCTCCACAGTGAGTGATGGGCCCAGGACTAAATCACACTGGGAGTACCGGCAAGCAGGAGCCAAGCATGGCTTCTTTAGACTGCTTGCAATTCTGAGACAGAGGGCGAAGGTTTGCCCCAACCCTGCCTGGTTGAGCCAGAGAGCCGTGGACACGTGGCAATTCCCTCATCCCCTCTCCCGCTGCGCCTGCTGACATGCCTCTCCCGGAAGAATGACAGGGATCCTCTCTCAGCAGGACTGGTGAAGGGAGAGGAGAGGTGGCAGGGCCCAGCCTGCAGACCACCTGCCTCTCCACACCATCGGGCTGGAGAAGCTGGCCTGGGGAGCCGAGCGGGGAGTTGGAGAAGAATGGCTCTCTTTCCCTCAGTACTTCAAACCACAGAACGAAGGTGCTTAGGACAGTCATCCAAGCTACCCAAGGAGGCAGCAGGGAGGGGGTGTGTGGATTCCGCAGGGGCAATGAGTGGGGATGAGGAAGCATGTCCCAGCCATATTTGCAAACACCATCGGGAACTGCTGCTTGTTCCTTTGGGAGCCTTACTCGAATCACCCAGCAGGGCTAAATGTGGTTCATCTTAGAAAACCATCTATGTGTTTTCTGCTTTCTCTGTCTTGAAATCACAAATTTTTAAATTTTCCCTGAAAATACATGAAAAGAATTTGAATTCACAACTCATATAAAGCTTGTGAATGTCTCTGGTATAGGAGCTCTGCTGGCCTGAAAAACTCCCTTGTCTGTAGGATAAAAGCCCTCTCTTTAATGTGCCATTCCAGCCTCTCCACCTCTGAGCCAGCCTCCTGGCTCCTCTCTCCCCCAATCCCAGGCACCCTCACTGTTTCACCGTTTTGCCCAAGCTGCAGTGCTCTTCTGTGCTTCTCTGGGCCTTTTTCACACAGAGCTTCCCAGCCCTGAATATTCTGATCAGTTTCCAGGACAACCAGCCAGCAAGCTCCTATCCGTGCTTCAGTGCCCAGCTGGATGGTGTCTTTTTCTCTGGGCCTCTTTCTCTCTCTCTGCTCCTACAGCATTTCTTACTTTGTTCTATACACCTCTCACCATGGCCCCTCGACCAAAATGGTGAGTTCTTTGAGGATTTGGACAATGGCTTAAAACCTTGTTTTCCCAATGCCTGCCTACCACCTGACCCATTCTAGGAGTTCCAAAACTGTCTGGTAGAGAAAATCATGAATGAATGAATGAATGGTAGACAAGATGACATTCCACTAGTAGTGCCATCTAGATGCTCTGGTCATACACTGGCAATAAGGCTGTCCTTGTTATTGCCTGATTTTCACAAGGCCGCACAGAAAGCGAAGGTGGGTATTAAATTTCCCTTTAAAAGATACGTAACTTTATAGGAAGGGAAGTGTGATAAGAATGAAAAGCTAGTCGAGTACATGCAATAGAGGATCCCACTCTGGTGTGAAACTATTCACCCACAAACCATGTGAAATGTCCTTGCCAAACGCCTCCTCCTGAGCAAGGGCTCAGGTAGAGGTGAGCAGGCGATCCATGCAGATGTTAGAATTTCCCCAAGTACGAAGAACCTACGGTAAGTGTATCAGGAGATAATAAGATAACTATGGCAAGCTTAGAGTGCTTGCAGGAGAAATCCAGATACTCCTGTAACTTTAGTTTTATACAAACAGGTAAATCAATCCCCATCTCTCTCTGTTAAAAGGCTTCACTAGCCTCCTTCCCCAGTGACACCTAATCTGAAAGTTTCCTTTGTTTCCGGTGCTGTGTGAACTGCAGGACACTTTTCAGTGTTCCCCTTGGCCACACAAAAGGGGGAAAATGCATTTTTTTAAAAAGTTATTGGCTTCGTTTGCAGCTCAAGGCTGCCAATGTTTACATGTGGCACTCACGTTATTTAGTGAAGACCTCAACATTACAACCAGGTTGAGCAATCATCTCGGTGCTAGCATAAAACATACTCAGACCACAAGCGCCACACAGGGCCAGGCAGGGTGGAAAAAAGCTTCACCTTTTCCAACACCATCAAACATCTTGCTCCATAAACACCACCGACACAGAACACTTACCTTTGAAAACAGACATAAGCTGCTTGGAGGAAAGCTGAACCTGCAATTAGCCTGCTTACAGAATAACAGCAAGTGGAGGCAAAGCAAGACCCGACTTGAAATCCTAATCAGCAAGTCTGTTCCCCCGGCCTCGGCCTCAGCCTCAGCCACTTTTTATCCAGGGTCCTTGATTCACTGCAACTCCACTTCTTGCTCTTTATTCTTTTTGCAGCAATCATCTGGGGCCAGGGGGAGGGTGCAGACATATTAGGTTTGAGATGACATCACAGTGGGAGATGTGTGGGAGAGGAATAACTCAAGCTATAGGAACGGGAAGCCTGCTCCAAGGGGTAAAGGTGGATGGAGAGAGAGCGGGAGCACAGGATTAGTGTCAGACTCTTAGAACTGCAAGAAACCTCAGAAACATGTTTGGCGAATATGGCCCAAGCTGGCATCTGGATAGACACAATGCCTCAGGATGCTGGAAGGTATGAATGAAAGGAGGGTTCTGTACTCATGGGGGAAATGCTAGGTGAAACAAACATTTATTTACTTTAATTTATAAATTTGTTTTGTTTTGTTTTTAGCTACAGTATTTCTCAGGGCCTCTAATATGCTAACATGGAACTCTTTTTTTCTACCCTCTACCTATTAATTTTTTTTTTTTTTGAGATGGAGTCTCACTCTTGTTGCCCAGGCTGGAGTGCAATGGTGCAATCTCAGCTCACTACAACCTCTGCCTCCTGGGTTCAAGTGATTCTCCTGCTCCAGCCTCCTGAGTAGCTGGGATTAGAGGCACCCGCCACCACGCCTGGCATTTTTGTATTTTTAGCAGAAACAGGGTTTCACCACGTTGGTCAGGCTGGTCTCGATCTCCTGACCTCAGGTGATCCACCCACCTCGGCCTCCCAAAGTGCTGGGATTACAGGCATGAGCCACCACACCCAGAAGAACTTTGTCTTCACTCAAAGAAACGTGGAATAGCGCATCTCAAAGTGTGGTCTGCAGGACTCCCCACAAACTGTCCTGGAGGAGATACATGCAAAACCTGAGAGGAAGCACTTAAAACTATTATAAGTAATTTGACATTGCGACAGCATCCAAGGCCATGATCAGTAAACTCACTAGCCAGTGTGCGTGTTGCTAATTGTATGGCAGGAGGCACACGGCATGCTCTGTGTGCTCATCACATGCAATAGGACAACATATTGAGCCACAGTGCATTGGGGGAAAACGTGGTCCTACAGGAGAGTTGGCTGAGAACTGGTTTAGGAAACACTGCTGGGTCCAATTTCTATGGTACACATTGGGTATTCTGCTGACACCAGAATGACTGAGTGACCTGACTATCCACAGCAAAAGGCTGACCCTAAGATTTGCCAACTGGGGAATCCGATCAAAGAAAAGCCAGTTAGGGAACTAAAAAAGTAAAAAATAGGAGAAGCATGTCACTGAAAATGATTTCATCAAGGTGATTTCTGATTTTAATTGGCAGCCAGCTAAGCAGACCTCCACACAGCCTCTCTTGGGATCCCTACAAAAGTGTAAAATGAAAAAGTCAAATAGATAAAAGCTCCTGCCCAACTCTAACAAGAATGCCCGTGATGAACTGGATTGGGGAAATTTAATCGTGAAACGTACATACCTGAAAAAAGTGGGAAAACTGTTTGAAGCTCCCCACTCTGGTAACAAATGAGAGAAGCTGCCCAGTGTGAGACAGGAAGGGGCAGGGAGGGCAGAATGTCGGAAGGAGAGACGATTCCCCCATTCACAAGCCCAGGGGCTCACCAGGTCCAGCCATTTGTTGCCATAAGAAAGACAGGCATGGTACTGTCTGATCCTTTATAAAAGCAGCAGGAAATCTGGATTTGTATGTGAAACCTCCCAACCTGTCAACATAGGCAGTAAATGTGCATGTTTTAAAACCCCATGAATATTCACTGTTAGGCTTCCTTTATATTAGATTCAACAACAGGCAAAACTAACTGGTGGTGGTAGAAGGTGAGATAGTGGTTGTCCTCGGGATGGGGACGGTAACCAGAAGGGGATACAGAGGTAGCTTTGGGGGTTTTTGAACTGCCACTTCTTGATCTTGGCGCTTGTTACCAACAACATACTTGTATGTTTGCCTTGTGAAAAGTGTCAGGCTGTGCACTTCTGATTTGTACACTTTTCTATAAGTATGTAAATAAAAATTTAAATAAGAAACCCAGGCCAGGCAGGGTGGCTCATGCCTGTAATCCCAGCATTTCGGGAGGCCGAGGCGGGTGGATCACCTGAGGTCAGGAGTTCAAGACCAGCCTGACCAACATGGAGAAACCCTGTCTCTACTAATAATACAAAATGAGCCGGGCCTGGTGGTGCATGCCTGTAATCCCAGCTACTCGGGAGGCTGAGGCAGGAGAATCGCTTGAACCCGGGAGGCGGAGGTTGCGGTGAGCCGAGATCGTGCCACTGCACTCCAGCCTGGGCAACAAGAGCAAAACTCCATCTCAAAACAAAAACAAAAACAAAAAAAGAAACCCAAACCCCACAGATTTATAAACAATATAATGTCTGAGATTTCTTTCAAATAATACTGAAAAGAGATAACACAGCACCTCCTTAGAAATGATGGAGGGGGCCAGGTGCGGTGGCTCACGCCTGTAATCCCAGCACTTTGTGAGGCCAAGGCTGGTGGATCAGCTGAGGTCAGGAGTTCGAGACCAGCCTGAGCAACATGGTGGAACCCCGCCTCTACTAAAAATACAAAATTAGCCGTGTGTGGTGGCGCATGCCTGTAATCACAGCTACTTGGGAGGCTGAGGCAGGAGAATCACTTGAACCTGGAAGGCGGAGGTTGCAGTGAGCTGAGATCACACCACTGCATTCCAGCCTGGGCAACAAGAGCGAAACTTCGTCTCAAAAAAAAGAAAAGAAATGACGGAGGGAAGTCTTGGGGAAGGTATAAAATAAAGCCATGTCGAGAAGTGGTTAAGAGAGTGGTGTTCATATACAGGCTGCCATCTCTCTGAGGTTTCTCCTTTTGTGTAGGAAGAGCTAAATTAAGTGGTGCTTCGAGCAAGAGGAGGTCCTGCAGAGAAGCAATGCATACAAGTCATCTTGGCACAGGTAAGGGGTGGTGACTAGCAGGGCTAGCAGCTGCAGAGTAAGTAAGGGCCAAGTTCTCAGTGGAGCGCATAAAGTTGGGGTGGGCCAGATCAGCTTTATATAAGACATTTTTGGCCAGGTTCAGTGGCTCACACCTGTAATCCCAGCACTTTGAGAGGCCAAGGCGGGTGGATCACAAGGTCAGGAGTTCGAGACCAGCCTGGCCAATATGGTGAAACCCTGTCTCTACTAAAAATATATATATACACACACACACATATATATATATATACACACACACACACACCACACACACACACACAATAATTAGCTGGGTGTGGTGTGGTGGGCGTCTGTAATCCCAGCTACTCGGGAGGCTGAGGCAGGAGAATTGCTTGAACCCAGGTGGCAGAGGTTGCAGTGAGCCGAGATCATTCCATTGCACTCCAGCCTGGGTGAAAGAGCAAGACTCTGTCTCTGGAAAAAAAAAAAAAAAAAAGACATTTTCACTCACAACTGCTGGGGATGGTACAAAACCCAGTGTCTCCATGGGTGGGGTCCTCATGGTGCTGGACAATACAGCTCAGAAGCAATGGGCCACAGAGTGTAAAATGTGGGGGTGTGTCAATGTGATCCCAAGAGCTGAGACCCTGAGTGGTGTAGTTGTGGGGGGCAGCACAAAGGGCAGGTGGGAGAGAAGGGATGAGTTGGTAGAGGAGGGGATGGGAGCAGGCCTCGGTCAGAGAAGGGGAGTCAAATGCACAGATGTTGGGGCAAGGGCTACAGGGATGGCAGGAAAGTGCTGGGTTGGCACACGGATGGCATGGTTGAAGACCGCCACCATCAACATGGACATCAGAGCAACAGAGACAGGCTAGGAACAAGTGTGGGGAGTGAAAGAGAATAGGGACAGAAAAAAGGATGAAAAAATAGAATCTTGGAAATGCTTTTAAGTGGAAAAGTCTACATCTTTGGGAGGAAAGAAACAACAGAAGAGATGGCTTAAAACTGGTCCAGAAGGAACACGGCATTGAATTTCAGGCAGGTAGACAGCCTCCAAGTTATGGAGTTTGAAGGGCCCTCAGGGAGTCGTTCCCTTCTTCCTTAGGTCCAAGAGGTAGAGCCACCTACAGATACAGCTGTATGACCTTAGGCAATCTCTGTGAGTTTCCGTTTCCTCCCTTGGAAAATAAGGGAAATCACACAGGAAGCATCGCTGTTAAGATTAAGTAAGCGCCTGGCCCACTCGCCTGCACACAGCAAGTTCTTGCATACGGAGGCTAAGACATTTTTTTTTTTAATCACACAGTTGCTGACTTTCTGGCCCCTTCTTACTTCCTTAGCTCTCTTTGGAAAGCTCCTGGAAAAGTAAAATGCAAAAATCACATTTTAAATTTGTACTATCTTATCTCATGCTTCTGCTTCCTCCTTAAATGGTTTTCAGATTTACTAGTAATTTAGTAGGACTAATGATTTCAAAAATAAAAGTAAAAACATCAGGCTTAAATTGCCTACAGATCTCCTCGAGCCTGTTTTAAGTGGTGCTTCAAGGAAGAGGAGGCCCTGCAGAGAAACGATGCATACAAGTTGATGCATACCTGGGATTACAGGTATGCATACAAGCCACCAACTAAAACAGGCTTCTCAGGGACAAGTTCATGGCTCCTGTACTTCCTCAGTGTTTTAAGTGCTGCCTTGTACTTGATAAGAGCAAGTGCACCGACGGGATTTTTGAGGTGGTAAAACTACCCTGAATGATACTATAATGTGGGATACAGGTCATTACCCGTTTGTCCAACCCTAAACAATGTACATCACCAACAGTGAGCCCTAATGTAAACCTACGGACCCTGAGTGATAGCGTGTCAACACAGGTTCATCAGTTGTAACAAATGTGCCAGTCTGGTAGAGGATGGTGATAGTGGCAGACTGTGCATGTGTAGGACTGATGGGTATTTGGGAAATCTGTGTACTTTATTAAATTTTGCTGTGAACCTAAAACGGCTCTAAAAATACGGTCTGGGTCTGGCGTGGTGGCTCACACCTGTAATTCCAGCACTTTGGGAGGTTGAGGAGGACGACCTGCTTGAGCCCAGGAGTTTGAGACCAGCCTGGGTTAACATAGTGAGATCTCATCTCTACAGTTTTTTTTTTTTTTTTTTTAATTAGCCAGGCATGGTGGTGTGCACCTGTAGTCCCTGCTACACGGGAGACTGAGGTGGGAGGATCGCTTGAGCCCAGGAGGTAGAGGTTGTGCCACTGCACTCCAGCCTAGGTGACAGAGCAAGACCCTGTCTTAAAAAAAAAAAATCCTTGTTAGATGAATGAAAAAGTAAGTAAACATGATTTATACGAATGTATTATTCATTGACTATAGAAAAGGATTTTAAATGGTCACCTTTGGCTTCCTCCATTAATAAGTATTTTAAATCAGTGATAAGGTAATGATCACTTCACTGCCTTTCTCTCTTTACCTCATCCCTTCCCACACCCATCCACCCACACACTTGGGGATCTTCGGTGGGAACAGGATGTTTACTGCTTTGTGTATCTGTGTCAACTGGCAGCACTAGCATATGCTAAGTGCCCGCAGGCAGACTGGAACAATCAGAGAAGAGGGCACCAGGGACAAGCCCGACAGCACATCAGGAGGAAGGGCTGGATCCAGCCAAGAGAGTTTCCGGTACACAAGGCCAGGACCGGCAGGGAGAGGCTGCTTAGCTAGGAAAAGGCACCGGGAGCGATCTGGAAGAGAATTACTGGTCTCTAATTGTGTACTTTGTGTGTCTCTCCCCAGGGAGATTGTACTTTAATGGAAGGAAGAACGAAATCTTGTACTTCTTCAACATCTCATGCAACGATGTTCAACGTCTTATGTGCACTTCCCGACGTGCCCTTTTCATAGGCCTTTAGAAACGCGAGGAAAAAGGTTGCCTCTTTCAAATCCACAAGAGTTGTTGGCACCACGGAGGAAACCTATCCGCAAAGGCTGGGGCTGGGGCCTTTGTGGGCTGAGTCCACCTTGGGCAGCACTAGAAATGGGTGGGCTTGTCAGTGCCTGCTCTGGGTAGGGGCGGCTACAGGGCTCTGTGCACAGGACTTAGGGTTAGGAGGACGAGCCTGGCGTGTGTGAACAGCGCGGAAGGTGCTGGGGAGGGGGCGTGCCACTCGGTCTGAGTCCAGGTGAGATTCAGGGATCGGAAGGAGCTTGTGAGATACTGGCCTTTTCCTCTTCCTCCTCTCCATCCCAGTCCTTCCCACTTTCTCTTCGTCCTGTCATTTAATGGGCCAAATTATGGAAATGAAGGTATTTTCTGTTATCCACTGAATCTGCGGAATCGCCTTACAGGCACCCATTATAGAAGTGGGTGGAAAGAGGATTATCCATTTCTTCCCCCCAAAGAGAAACGGGGGCGGAGAAAAGGGAGAAACGAAACGTGCTCGTTGCAAATTGACTCAACTGAATTCACTTTCTTGCCAGCAACCCCTCCCGCTTCCCAGACCCAAAATAAGGTCCGAAAAAGCCGAAGTGTCCTCTTCGGCTGTAAATAATCCACTCGGGCCCACTCGGGTCCTGCCAGCCAGGGCTGCAGAAGGCGAGACGGTCTCCCTGCAGGACTCGGGAGCCGAACATTCGGAGAACAGACATCTCCGCTCCAGAAAACAGGAGAATTTGTGCAGGAGGGTGCAGACAGGACAAAGAGAGAGGAACCAAAGGAAGAGAGCACAATAGAACAGCTGATAGGCTCGACTTGGAAAGCGAAGGCAGCTCAGGACCAAATCAGCAGCACCGAGTGGAAGCTGAGCTGCCAACAGCCAGGCCAACACCGGCGGGGGCGGGGCGCGCCCGCTCAGCCCGCCTCTCTGGGCGGGGTTCTCCTCTCAGGCGGAACACCATTGGTCTCTCCGCAGCCCCTCCACCCAATCAGCGCGAAGACGGGTCCCGCCGGCACCGCCCACCTCTAGCGCGGGCCGCTCAGCCAGGCTCAGCCCAACAGGTGAGGCCGGACGGCGAGGCTGGTCACGTGGCCACGGAGGACTACCCGGCCAGCCTAGGGGCGGGGGAGGCGGCCCCAGTCTCGGCTGCCAGCCCTGCCCCCGCACTGGGAAGCTCCGCCATCTGTCTCCGGCTCAGCGGCCCCCGGGCCAGAGGCGGCGATCCCGCGCGACACCAGGGCCGCGTCGATTGATGCCCGAGGCCGGGTGGCTCGGAGCCATTTTCCCCGCCCGTGGTAGCGCCCCCGGCCACCCTTCCAGAACGGGATGTCCAAGCCAACGCCCCCCTAGCTCCCGAAAGGAGCGGACACGTGGCAACGTCGGGGGCAGCTGGGGCCCTGCTGGACACTTCCGTCCGCAGACCTGAAAAAGGGGGGCGGCTCTCCCCCCAGCTCCATTCATTAAATCAAGAGTGGGATTCTCACTGCTCTTCCCAATGTTTTTTTCACTCTCCATTTGCTTCTCAAACCTCACATTGCCCAGAACCATCTTTCAGCATTTTATGGGTTTCTAAGCAAGTGTAACAGTATTAAGCAGTGTGGGGCAAAGACTTGGGAGAAAACAGGGATTCTGAATCCTACGTGTAAGGTGCTTCATGGACACACATGGAATCGTTCACATTCTGGGCAATGGCGTTTAAAATAGTGACCCCTTGGCGAGAGAGTCTGGGCTGAAACACAATCAACTTGATGTTAAACCAGAGTCTTATTTTTTCACATTTGCCATATTTAGAACAAAAATATCTTATTCCAACAATGTATAGTGTGTGTACTTTTTTTTACTGTCCGGAAAATATAAACTCCTCTCGGACAGTACTCTTTAACCAGCTCTAAATCTAAAGATACGCACTCATAATTTTTACAAACAGCAATCTTTGGGAGGCAAAACCTGTGCAGTACAACTTTGCTATTTAAACATGTTTCATCCATGACACAATGAAGTACATTTTCTGAATGAGCCAGTAACAAGATATTTTTAATATTTTTCAAGTTACCGAAATGTGCGTGAAATTTGTATTTAAAAGAATTTATAAAGGAAATTAATACCACTTTTATCTATGTACAAATAAACTTAATGGTGGGTTTTATTAGCATTAGCAGTATTTTAACACATAGCCTCTTGGCTGCCATAAAAATTATTTATTATCATTTTATTAAGATGGTAATTGCTTCTCACGTCTTAAACTTTTCCCCAAATCTCTTGACAAGAAAAATCAGAAATAAAAATCAGCATGCACGAACATCAGTTTTATTTGATGTTAGTTTTGTTTTGGCATAGTTTGAGAGAAACCCGAGAGTTCCAACAAGGTAATGTTTTAAATATATAAAAAGTTTCATGCTCTACTTACAATTAGTTTTCAAAGATATCAGTATCTCCTTTCTTTTCAGTCATGGTAAATGTTTTCATTCGAGGTAGGCAGCATATTGTTTTCATTAAACTTGAAAATATGCCACATACTTGGGGGACTCATTTTGCTGGAATTCCTGACTATCCCAACAGCCTAGGATTGAAATTTCTCTTACTGTCTGAAATCATCGACTGTTAAATGAGAGAGGTAGCGCCCTGTTTGGAAACTAACTCTATTCACAGCAAAAGAAATGCTCATTATGCCCTGCCTTTAGAGTAGGCATTTTGTGTTTCTGTCAATCAACTTAATTTCCATGTTCATAGAGTGAGAACATAAAGTATTCAAAAAACTACTGACATAGAAACCAGTCGGCAAGCAGCCTGAGTCACGTATTTCAGTTCTGAACCTTGAAATAAATGCCACCTCCCTGATTCATAAAACTAGCTGACTGGTGAGTTTTTAAAAAAATTCCTGGTGTGCTTTTAATTATAAATAATTTTAGTGATTCAAGGAGTCATTTCATATAACCAGAAAACCTTATTCCTACAACATATTATAAACAAAAAGATAAATCAGCATACATATGTGGAATGACGTTATATGACATATTGACTTTTCAAAATATTAAAAAGTTTTTTTTTTTTTTCAGACTAAAACATCAAACTAGAAACACAGAAGCTGTGACAGGTCATTTTAAAGTTTCAAGCAATACAACTCTAGCTGGAAAAATATCTTTCACAAATACTAGTCTATGCTAAATTGTAAATTTTCAATTATCAGTTTCCATTAAAAAACATAATCTAGTTTAGCCAACATGTAATTCCTAATTGTAGTATTCTATTTTGATAAATATTTTTAAGACATGTACTGCAACCTAATTTTTAGAGACCTGTTCAATGATAACATATCATTTGGAAGATAATAAGTGTAATCTAATTCATATATTTTAGCATCATATTTATCTAAAACAAATGGGTTGCTATTAAATTTTGACTATTTTATTAACTCAGAGCATCTGGGAAAACACTTATGATTAGGTTAATTTATGTTATATTTTCCCTTCAACTTGTAAAAGATTAATCAACCATTTTATGGTCTAATTTAGGTGCCTAATTAAAAACAGAGTTCAACACATGCTCCACTGTCTTGCTAATAAATCTTGAGAGCTTTGTAACATGATGGTTTGTATTTCAAATTGTTGCATACAAATGTAGATTTTTTTTTTTTATCTTCACCCAGCATCTTGGAAGTGAGTTACATACTTGGTTTAAACTCTGGGACTAAGAGAGTGTAATTCCTTCAAAATGGATTATCCCCAGCCAGATCTTATCTTAAATTTCCCTCAGTGAAGACAGAAACATTCTTTGCTACCAGGTTTTCTGAAGTAGACTAGAAAAATAGGAGGCAATTTTGTTTTCTCAGCATTTGTTAAATTTAAAATGTGGGGAATATAGCTATTTTCAGCTATTAGCTTTCAAGAGAGAGATTTCTGAAGTTACAGGGTTTTCTATGTTCATTCTAAATGAATCTGCCAAAAGTGTTAGCTATAATTGTCTGCTGGTTAATCAGTACAAGTTAATTATGAACTTGATTTGGGGGCACTCTTTTTATGAATAAATTAATTCCAAGAAGTTCTGGAACGTGTCATTTAACCTCACATCCTCCTCCCAGCCTTAAAAAGGACAAATGGCAGAGGATAAATCTCCTCAAGAGGGACACTTGCTATGTTTTCTCTGTCTGGATGCTTGAGGGATTTTTTGCCATGTCAGTGACTCCCTTGATTCTAACTGTCCTTTGCAGAAAAATGAAACTGACACGGTGGTGTGATTATCCTCACTCTAGTTATTAACCAATGTTAGATGTAGTAACTATCCTGCTTGGGGGCTGATATTCTTTTCAAGTGAATGACAAAATCTGCAGTCTGCGCTGAGACCACTAAAGGCATGTCAGAAAGCTGTCAAACTCTTCTAAAGCAAACTCAGTTTTGGACCCATGCTATATGATAAATATCTTGCTTCAATCACTTAAGCGAGGAAGTGTGATCCAGAATGGTCCAGAACGATCTCTGGAGCAGGACTGCCTGGGTTGGTATATTAGCTTTGGTACTTCCCAGCTGTGAGATCTTGGGCAAATTGCTTAACCTCTCTGTGCCTGTGTTTCCTCACCTGTAAAAGTACCTACTTCACAGAACTGTAATGAGGATTAAATTTGCTAATCCTGTAAAACTTGAAACAGTGCCTGGAACATAGGGAAAACATTCGGTAAGTGTTAGCTACCACCATTTATTATGCCACATACACACACACACACGTACGGTATACTTTGTTTAATGTGGGCCACAGCATTAACGTGTCAGCTTATTTTGTATAACGCAGAATGGAAAGGGGGACCGAGGTGGTAGAGGGAGTTTCTGCCGCTGTACAGTCTAAGGCATATTTTTGTATAACAAACAATAATTACACAATATTTGGCTAACTTAATTCCCAAACTGAGGTCATTACAATTTAAGAATATCTACCAACACTTAAGTAAAATCACAAAGAGAAACTTTAAAAGTTACAGATTTAATTTTTGGTCATTCAAACTTTAAATTAACATCCCAAGCCTAAATGTAAAGGGCAGGTTCTTTCTCCATCTTAGCATATGTGAAATTCTCCTGAACCACAGCCCGGTGTTTCCCAAACACTATGGGGTACCCATGGAACAGGAAGTAACACCCAGTTTCACCAGCCTGCTTGATGAGCCTCTTTGTGAGGTTCTCATTGGTGTCTGCTAAGTTTGGGAGGCCTGCTTCAAGAGGGCTGCATAATGAACTGGAAAAGTCAACCCAGAAGAGTCATCATCGCAGACTAAAACCAACTGGAGTTCCAGTGTGGATGGACAGTGCGTACTAGCACGTTTGATTTTTGCAGGGTTAAGGAGGTAGAAAGGCTGCCACTCTGGCCATTGGCAGCGCCAGCTCTGTACACCACCTCGGTGGGTTCCATCTCACCATGACCCCTCCTGATCCGGCTGATGGTGTCTCCTTTTGCCAAGTGGAAGGAAGAGCAATCAAACTCCGAGATGTCATGCAAATCTGCCAGGCCCTGGGTTACTGGTTAGGCCACTAGCAGGCTGTGTATCAACCGATTAAACCCATTAACGACTCACAGACACAGCCACGACCTCGTTCTCTAACAGATTACGATGCTGATCCTCAGACTCAACCATTCGTCCCCATCGTTTTTTGTTCTTAATGCCTTCAAAATGTCTCCCCACTCTCATATTCTCTAGTTTTTGAGGACTTGTTTTAACTAGGTTTCTGAATTACAACTCTCCCTGGTTAATTACTATTTATACTCTTCTCCAATTGGTTGCCTGACTGCAGGGACAGAGCGGAGGTACAATGGAGCACACCTCTGGCACGGAGCAAAGCTTGGCAGAGAGGAGAGAACTCCAACGAGGGCGAAGGGTGCACTCTGGGTACCAGATTTTAGGTAATGCGCTCTGGGTCAGCAGTCTCCTCCTGGCGTGGTCTGTTTAAAGTTAAAAAGGACGCCTTCAAAATAATTGTGACGTCCATACCTTTGCCCAGACATCCATTCGTTTTTCTTAAGTAATCAACATTTTTAAAGTAAACAGATGGCATTTAAAAGATTTTTTTCCCCCTTGGAAAATATCCACCAACTCTGCGGCCGCGCCAGGAGCTGCTGGTGCAGTCCAGGAACGCAGTGTTTGGGGCCAGTTGCGGCATTTACAGTGGGCTCCTCCGGCAGCCCGATCCGCCGGGTCACCGCCCCGGGCCCTGTGCCCCCTGGACCCGGGAGTCCTGCTTGTCAGTTCAGGGAGATGGCTCGGGAGGACGAAGAACCTCCCGCCTCCCGCGGCCCAGCCAAGCCCTTGCGGCCGCCCGGGTCCAGCCGCCATGCGTGGCCGCTCGCAGCGCAGCCCCCGGGCGCAAGTCGGCAGCCGAACCTCCCGGGCTGCGCTGTCCGCTGCAGGCGCGCGGCGAGGGTTTCCACGCGACTTCGTTCTTCATTCAGCGTTTTTTAGTCAATCAAAAAGAACGTGGCAGGTGGAGGGCAGCCGCCTAAGAGACTGCGTGAGCCTTCCTGTGGGGATTTCCATAGCTTGCCCCAGGTGCTTCAAAACCGCCTGACATTAAGGGTTCAGTCCTTTTCCTGCCAGTTCCTCCCAACCCGGCCCAAGTGTGTCTGATCTCAGAAAATCCTAGGCTGCCTCGGGGCTCTGGCGGGTTCCACCTGGAAGGGCGCTAGTTATAGCCTGCCGCCTGGCCCTGGAATCACCATCCCAGGAGGAGGGGGAGTGGTGGTGGTAGAAGTCATAACAATACAATCGGTGACAATAGCTAACGATTAGAGAGGCCCTCACGTGCCTGCGAGGCACCTTACCGTACCAGCGCATTCACTCTTCCCATCCCTGCCCAGAACCTGCATTATTCCCACTGCACAGATGAGAGCACCAAGGTTCACGCGACTAGCCAGGACGTGAATCCAGGCGTCGGACTCCAGAGACCCCATTCTTATCCACCAGTGTCCCGAGAATGGGTCACAGCCCGGGAACGGTGGGAAAGATGACTGTCACGGTTGGCTAAACCTCGAGACTTGGGCAACTCCTGACAATAATAAAAAACCATTAAGGACAAAGGGGAAGGGGTAGGACGAGGCTGGGAAGGGAGCCGTTTTAATCCGCGGGGTCAGCCCTCTTTTATTCTCCAACCCACCCAGGTCCCGACAGTGGGGTGGGCACAGGGAGAGGGGTTCAGTTATCTTCTCCTCTTTTGTTTTCCCAAGTCTTGAGCGTCTGTGAAGCTAATTGGGCCTGGAGGGGTGTCTGAATGTCGTGCTGGCTGGGGTTACGGGTGGAGACCCCAACGAAAATGTGGGGGTCGTTACCTGGGCCCCTAGTCGAAGACAGTTATCGGAGGCCGAAATCTAGACCTCCTGCCCACTCGCGCCTTACCCGAAGCTCGGGCAACCCAACAGCTCACCCCAAAGACCAGCAGCTGCGGAAAGCAGTGGGCAGAGGTAGTGATTGTGACCCCGGGGCCACTGTCCCTTTGGAACCTGACCCGCAACCCGACTCGAGAACAGAATTTCCGGAAGCCGCGACCTCGAAGCAACCCTCATTTCTCAATCAATGGGCCCCGAATATTCTTTGCTCCGGACGTGTAAAAGCCCCGCGGAGACACGCGTCCTTGCTTTCCCTATCCCAGCACCGAGGGCAGGGAGGCGGAAACGGGCGGCGGTGCCCGGAGGCCCGGACGCCTTCAAAGCCTCGCGCCGCTCCAGCCGGTTGCAGTGCGCGCCTTTGCCCGACAGGGACCAGCACAGCTCCACGCTCCGCGCGCCGCCCGCCCGCCAGGCGGAGGCGCCGGGCCACCCGCCCGGCTCACCCTCCCGAGCCCAGGCGGCTCGCGAGCGAGGCGGGTCTGACACCCTTGGGGTTCCGGTAACCAGGCGGACTGTAACAAAAAGTTAACAGACTCTGCGGCCTCGCCGGGACGCCGCGGCCCCCACCCCCTCTCCCCATCTGGGAAGCAGAAGCTGCTCTAGAAGTTCCTTGAGGGCGGAGACCGACCAAAGGGGCTCAGAACATTCCCAGCGTCTCGGGCTCCGGGAGGAAAAAATTTAAAACGAGTCATAAAATACGATTCGAGTCGGATACCCCCATGGTTAGAGGGTGGCTCGCTTTGCTGAGGGCGGTCTCAGTCGCTGCCCTTCTTCTTTGCGGCGAGGTCGCCTGATGAATTCAAGGGCACCAGTGCTCCGCGAGAACTTTCTGTGGGTTGTGACGAGAACCAAGCGGAGCGCAACCCTCACCGCACCCGGACAGGATGCGCTGCGCAATCTGCCGTAGTTTCCCTGCCCTACCCCGGGTGGTCCGAAGCTGTAACCCTGCCAATTCCCTATCATACGCCATGTCTCCCTTAGCTCAGGGTCTGAATCGACGATGGAGACCCTGCCCCTGGCAGGGAAACTCACCGGTACCAAGCGAGGCCCTTGTCGTAGCTGCGATCGAAGAAATGGGGCTCGGCGCCCACGGCGCGCACGTCGGGGTGCACGCGCAGAAACTCCAGCAGCGCCCGCGTGCCGCCCTTCTTCACGCCGATGATGATGGCCTGCGGCAGCTGCTTGCTCCCAGACCCACTGAAAAAGCTGGAGATGGGGCTTGGGGAGTCCGGCACCTCGGGACTCTGCTCCTCCGGGCTCGCAGCGCCCTCGGCCATCTCCTTGCCTGAAGCCAGTGGGGTGGCTGGCGGCGCCCGGAACGGCAGCCTGGGGGGCGTCCCGTCCGGAGCTGTGGCCAGGGCTGGCGGGTCGTGTGCGGCGCGGGACCCAGAGCCCAGGAGCAGCAGCCCCGGCGCGGCGGCGCAGGAGCCGGCGCACGAGTACAGGAACATATAGAGCCAGACGCAGAGCATGGCGAAGAGCAGCGCGAGCTTCCTCCTCACCGGCGGCGGGGGCGGCGGCGGCTGCGGTAGGAGCCGGCCGGGGACATCGAGGCAAGATCTGCCGCCACTCAGGCGCTGCCCCATGCGCTGCCCGCGGGCGCGGCCAGGGACATGGCTCAGCACATGGCGTGGGTCCCGCCGGGCAGTGAGCGCAGAGAGGGTTCCCCGGCACGCTGGACGCCCGGGTGGCTCGGTTTATTGCCCCCGTGTGCCCGCGGCCGCCGCTGCTGCTGCTGCTCTTCCCCAGGTGGCGGCGGCAGCTGTAGCGGCGGCGGCTCTTGACATGTTGCCCGGCAGGAGCTGCAACTGGAACGGAAAGTCGGGACGGCGGTAACTGCTGGGCGAGGGTCTGCTCCCGGGGCGCGACGACGCGCTCGGGGCCAGGAGGACGTTGCACTCTCGCGCCCTGGCCACTCTAGACTGTGCGCACCGCCGCACGCCGGGGCTGCCTCCTTGCAGTCCTAAGAACTGAGCCTCGAGCAGCCCCGGCACTTCCCCGCAGAGGCTGCAGAGGCGAACTGCGCAGGAAGAGAGCTGTGGACCGAGGTGGAGTGGGCGGTCCCGGCCTTCCAGAGTGACGGGCTGCTCTACCTACCAAAAACCCCGAACGCCATGCAAATACAGGCGCTTCTCCGAGAGCTCAGCAGCCAACCCGCTCCCAGGACGAGGGGGTGTGGAAAGGCTTCTGGGCGGTGTAGGGCGGTCAGGGGTTGCTATTGGCTTCGGAACAAGGGGCGGGCCCAAAGGGGCGGAGTTAGGGGCTGGTGACAGGAGCAGATGGTGGGAAGAATGCTGCAGTGACCTAGCGCTGGGAGAGGTCCTACCCTACTGAGTGGTGCGCTCCCACACCCGCACGCATTTCCGCACTCGTTCCCTAGAAGCCAGCCTTGGCGGTAGTTGCCCAGATGTTGGGACACCAGTCCCCATCCAGATGTTTCGCAGGAGGTTTCGTGATGCTTACGTGTTGCAGAGTAGGGAGGCGGTTGGAGGAGGGAGAGCAGGGTAGGAGATGCACTAGGCACTGGAACCCCCCCCCCAACCCACGCCGGGGACTCATTCGGAGACCCTTCTGGGACAGGCACGGGATTAGGAAGTTTAAGTAGAAAGGATGTTTGGAAATCGCTGTCGTGTGTGTGTGTGTGTGTGTGTGTGTGTGTGTGTGTGTGTGTCTTTCCTTCTTATTCTTTGCCAGGTTAGCTTGGCCTGCCGGTTAACTGAGATTAGTGTAAAGTGTCCTTAACAAAAATCTCCAGCCTTCCAAACTGCCGAAAGTAGGTTGGGGAGGGGAAAAGAGACAGGAGAAATTACCAGGAAGAGAGTCTGGTAAACAAAAGTTTCCTGGTCGAAACATGTGCGTGGGAGTCATGTGTAGGAAGTTTTATCTGGATATGAGTTTGTTGGAGACGTTAGGTTTGAGAAAACTTTCCATCTCCCCCTTTTTCCTGAATAGATATAAAGCCAACATTTGCCTTAATTTAGGAGACAGTGTGATTTGCTAACCTGTGACACTGATTGTTTCGTGTTGTCATTCACCACCGCTTTTTTAAAAGTCAAACATCAATTTGGAACAAATCCATCACTGAGGTGCACTTATTTAATAGTGAAAGTCTACTCGAAGTCACCCCCAACCACATTTTCTTTGGCAAAATGACCCACCCACCCGGGACTGGGGCGGATAAACGCGTCTTCCAAGAAACAGCAACCGCTAGCTGGGGGAAGTGCGGGTGAGCGGTGCTGCGCTTTGCTGAATTCTTGCCCAGGCGTTTGGAGTTCGGAAGCTCGAGATCAAATTCTTACTGGTCGTGTTCAGGAAGTTTTCGATGCCTGCAACCCAGCCTCTGCGGGGCCAGAGGGCCTCCAACTCCTGGCTGCAAGCGGTTCCGGGGACAGAACATTCCTTCCGGCTCCGACCCCAGCGCGACCCCCGGGGCTGAGTGTCACTCACGAAGTGACTCACCGGGAGCCGCCGCCCGCACTGTACTTACTTCACTGTCGGCGACGGCGGGCGCAGCGGAACCGACCTGAGCCCTGGTCCCTCGACCACTCTGTCCAGGACCAGCCACCAGCAGCCGGCCCCTCTCACTTCCTGAGTAAATGTTCCCAAGTGTCCCCGAGTTTACGCAGCCCCACCCTGGGTCCGGTCCCCCCTCGTCGGAAGCAAACGCAGAAAGCCAGATTGACGTTAGCACCCCTGGTTTGAAAATGTGCCTGAGCAGCGGTAATGGCCAGAGAGGATTCAGATAGCACAGCTGCCAGCACCGGACCCGTGCGCCCCGGCTGTGCTACGGGAGACTTCTTTGCAACTACTTTGAGCCCAAGACGTTTTCTTACAAAACTGTTGAGGGAGAAATAAATTAGACAGAGGATTTCCCTCCCGCTTTTATATTCTCAGCAATAACTTCTTTCTAGCTTTTCTTTCCGTGTCTCACTGGAACGTTGTGTTTGTTCTTCGAAGTGACTTATTCGCTCTTAATTTGATAATCTAATCCATTTATTTTAAACTTCTAAAACATGAGAACAAATATATTTCTGAGCACTAGCCCGACTCTATTTGGAAATGTGAGGAGAAAATAGTGTCTCCGTAGGGAGTGTCTTCAAATTTTATGTTATTTAGGTGGAAAATTCATGTTGTATAGGTGTGTGTTGGGCGAACTGTAGCTCCCATGTGGCTAACTTCAGGCTTGCCTGGGTGTGAGTCTTTCAGTGTTTTAAGGATTTTGACAATCCCAATATAAAAGGTCCCTGTCCTGAGGATTAGTAAAGTCTAATAAGTGAGCAATTACAAATTGAGGCAGCTGAATACATTTGGCGTTTCTTTTTTCCGGGGGTGGATTAACGGAAGGAGGGAGTAGAGGTAAAGATGTGGGCGTCGGAAATTGCTCTGACTGCAGCGCAGAGCTGAGCTCCCACAGCTAAGTCTCGGGCCGGACCCACCCGGCGTCCTTTCAATTCCAACTATTGAGAACCACAGGGGAGTTCGCGGTGCGCACCGCGCCGCGGGGCCTTCCCGGCACAAGGTCGGAGGGTCGTCTGGGGCCTGGACAGCGCCTGGGCGGGCTGGGAAGCGGCGCCAGAGGACGACCTGGGCGGCGAACTGACGCTTTGGCCCTTTTGCCCACCTAGCTGATCCTCCCATTGCTCTAGAGAGTCGTAGGCTGTGCCGTGAAATTCCCACGCGCGGCGGTCGCTCTCGGTCCACCCTTGGCAAAGGCCATCTCTCCCAACCGTCTTCCCATTCCGCAGATGCAGAACCCGAGGCTCAAACCTGGACAGAGCTGGTAGCCAAATTAACCGTGAACCCAGTTTGAGCTTCTGCCCTTAACCTTTGCTCAGCAGTGCGGGGTTCCCCACGCTTGGACCCTGGGCATCAGCAAACTGCCACCACTAAAACCGAGGGAAAGGTTTACCTCTGATAAACTCATTCAAAATGTTTGTATTCGGAAATGTAGAAAGGAGAGAATTGTATTTCAGCACGTCTATAAGGTTTATGTTTTATTTTGGTTGGTTTATTTGGTATTACCGAATAGGGTGCGCAGCTAGGGCCTCTCAGGGCTCTCATCTGGGAGGCAGCCCCTCTCCTTTAGGACAGGGCAGGGCCGCCACGGGGGCCCTCTCCTCTCGCTCTTCCCCCAGGTCCTGCTGCCAACAGCCCTCTGTGCGACCCCAGTCGGGTCACTCTAAAATTTCACATCTGTAGAATGGGAGACTTGAGCCAAACCATCCCCGCAGTATTTTCCGCCTGAAATTTCTCCGATTCTAGGCTCGGGATGGGAGGCTCCGCAGCTGCTCCAGCCTGCGGCCAGCTCCGCCTCCCCAACAGCCACCCTCTGGGGCCGAGCTCCTCTATACCCTCTGCGGCACCGCAAAGCAGGCATTTCCTGGGGCAGCCTGAACCGGTGGCCCAGAGCCCCAGTTCCTGCCACCGGAATCCGGACCTTCCTCCCGCTCCCCTCGCCAGCGAGGCGGCCCCTCGGGGGTTAGCAGCTGCGAGCTCGCTCCGCCTTCTCCAGCGGCCCGGGCGCGAAGGGCGGTCGGCGCCGCAGCGGCTCCGATGCCCGCCCGGAAGGGAGCGCTCTGGCCCCGGCCTCGCAGCTGCGGGACAGCCGGGAGCGGAGCAGAGGGCAGCCGCGGCCAGTTGTCTCCCCAGCGGACTGGGAAGGGAACTTTATCTCGGCCTGGACTCCCGCTGTACCTTTGTTGGGGGTTAGTGGTGAGGCTGCGGTCGTCCGAGCTCCTGGGTGTCGCGGGCGCCGCGATCCCCTCTTCCCGTAGAAGGGCCCAGGGCGCTGCTCGAGGCGCGGGAACCCCTGGCCAGAGGCGGGCACTGGCGCAGCCCCGCGGCTGCTGCTGGCCAAGCCGACTGCAGGGATGAGAAATTCCTTGTAAGAGTGGCTGGAAGGCTCCGCGGAGAGGGAAGAAACTCTTCCCAGAGCGAGCTCCCACTGCTCCTTGGGAATGGTGCACTTTCCAGTTCCAGTTGGACCCTCTGGGATTGTCACAGGAAGCGCTGCCATGTATGAGGAGCCCTCTGCAAACTACAGAAGGATGGATGCTCTTAGCTTATAAATAAGATTTTGACGCCCTGGTTGGTTTGATGACTTGTGTCATGAGGAGTAGGGGTGTGCGCTGATTCCAAATTCTTCCACGCGGCATCCTGCTCCGGAGCCTCCCTTGTCTCCTAGAGAAAGGGACAGGGAATCGAAGGATGGGGAGTCTGAGGGAGAGGCCCCTATTCCGCACGCTGTCTCCTGGCTGGCTCCTGAAGGGCTGGCTGCTTCCCCCACCTGGAAGTCCAGGCCCCTGTTCGGAAGTCCTCTCCGCACAGCCTGACAGTCCCTTGGTTCTCTTATGATTGCTCTCCTCCCGCTTCAGGCCTAGGATGGCAAGGACAGCTCCCACTTACCAGAGCCAAGGCACTACGCCGTTCCTGGGTGTCCTCTTCTCCTCCAGCTCCTTTGTAAGTCCCATGCTCCTCTATTTACCTAGTGGAGGGTGTCATGCCAGGACCCTGGCATATGATACACCAGAGCTGCATTGCTTTTCCGAATCTGCTCAAGCTGTACAACATTTCTGAGCCTCAGTACCACCAGCCATCTGTGGTCCTCCATTTGTCCTCTTCTCCTACAAATACCTCCAGCCCCTCTCTTCCTTCATGATGCTTCTAGCATTGGAAATCCTCCAGGACAATTCTGCCTTCAAGTTTCCTAGCCTGAGCCACTGAGTTGATGGAGGAAAATGTGATAGAGATGACTCGTCCTCCTTTAATTTTCCCACTTCTATAAGCATATAAACGTGCCCTGCAACTCTCCTAAGTGTCCCCAGAAGACCCGCTTTCCCAGTCTCTGAGACAAACATTTCTTAGCCTTCTCTCCTGCAAGAGATAACATTTCTCAAAGTTTCTTTGAGCATGTAGATGCTGACAGGGGATGATCTATCCCTTCCACCACCAAACCTCCACACCAGTTGGCACTCCACCCTTGTTATAGTGGAGGAAGCTGCAGGCTAGTTCCAGCACAGTGAACCCCAGTAGTGTTTCGCTTCTCAGCCTTTGCCATCTCCTCATCCCTGAGCCATCTCCCTGTGGCAGACACTGATGGGCCACCAGCACTGCATCAGTGAAGGACTTGCTGCCCCAGCTGCTGGCGTGCTGTCAGCACAGCCTCCTGCAGTCCGCCTCTCCACGATTGCGGAAAGCATCTAGGCTGAAGGGTACGTATGCTGCTTCGCAGGTGACCCCCGGCCAGTGACTGATGTAGAAGCTAAAGGTTTGCTCTTCCCAGCCCAACTTCAGACATCTCTGAAGGGCTGTTCAATCTCCAGAGCTTCTTGTGAGGCGGGCAAAGGGTGTTGGGTTCCACCACAGCTGACCTTCTCCCCCTGCCCACACCTGCTTCCTCCTCCTTCCTTCTACAGGTGCAGGTGCTGTATGCATTGGTTTATATGCTTCCTGTACATTTCCTCAGGAACCCAACCTGCACCCGTCCTTCTCTAAAGTATGGTTACCATCAGCATCCAGACATACTCCTTTTTTTTTTTTTTTTTTTTTTTTTGCTTCTCTTCATAGCAAAATATATGAACAGTTTTTACCTTTCACCTGTCATTTTCTTTTTATTAAGCTAGTTTTATTCTTCAATGATGAAAAATTTATACAAGCCCTGCAAAGGATCAAATGTGTAAGAAATACAGAATATGGCTCTCTCTGACCCCAAACTGCCAAACATTGTTTGCGAATAAAAGCAAAAAAGTGTACATTCCTCTCCTCCCCTCCTTTCTTTTCCCAAATGGCAGCATTAAAGAGCAATGTTCTGTCATATGGGTGATCGCTCTCTATCAGTGTATGTTTCTTAGAAACACTGACTACAGGTAACGTCAACTTAAAAATGATTGAAGTTATAAATGTCTCTTTATCCCTTGGAGCATTTCCTTTCCTTACCTCTAAACACATTTTCCTTTCCGCGGCTGCCCCCTGCTCCGCTCCCGGCTGTCCCGCAGCTGCGATGCCTGGGCCAGAGCGCTCTCTTCCGGGCGGGCATCGGAACCGCTCCAATGTCGCCGGAGTATGGTTTCCTAAATGGTACCTCTAAAGTTAAGAAGAAAGTGCAGGCTGGGCACGGTGGCTCACACCTGTAATCCCAGCTCTTTGGGAGGCCGAGGAGGGCGGATCACGAAGTCAAGAGATAGAGACCATCTTGGCCAACACGGTGAAACCCCGTCTCTACTAAAAATACAAAAATTAGCTGCGCATGGAGGCGCGCATCTATAGTCCCAGTACTTGGGAGGCTGAGGCAGAAGAATCACTTGAACCCTGGAGGCGGAGGTTGCAGTGAGCTGAGATAGCACCACTGCACTCCAGCCTGGGTGACAGAGCGAGACTCCTTCTCAAAAAAAAAAAAAAAAAAAAAAAAGGTACAATGCTTGTGTCTGGACTCATTTTTTAAACTACACATTTTCCTTGTAGACAGCATTTATTCACTCCTTAATTTTAAAAACTGGGTAAATAAGCATACATACTTGTTTTCATCCTTCCAACTTAAAATGAAGCAGTGTACACTTTATTTTACTCTATCAAGATTGATAATATTTGTAGTCTTAACTACCATTCCTGGAGTTCTCTACTTTTAGTTTTATGTTTATGTGACTCACAGGAGCGAAGAAATCTGAGAACTTCATTTTTGATACTAATTTATAGTTGGCTGGAGTTCATGGAATGATTGGTTAATGTTCGATGTTGTTTGAGAAGTATTCATGGATGCTGTACTTTTTGTTGTCTTACCTGCTTGAGAATATCTGTCTGTTGCCTTTAATACTTGATGAAAAATTTGACAGAGTAGAGAATCTTTGGTTATAACGTACTATTTCTTTCCACTTAGAATTGACTGAAACTTGTTTTGTTCTCTACTTGCAAAGGATGTTGCTAGTTCATTCTTTGTATCCATTCCGCATTTTCTCACATCCATTGAATATTTTATTTCAACCAATGTATGTGTTATATCCAGCATGTCTATTTTTTGACTGTTAGTTTGCATGCCTCAATTGTCTATTTTTTTTTCTCAGTGAGCTCATGTTCCTGGGGGCTATCAGCTGCTTAGCAGACAATATTTAGTTGGGAAGGACAAAAATCCCAGGCCATAGCCTGTGCCCCCTCCACTTGTTTTTTTGGGTAACGGGAACTCTGGTGTTGTCAATGAGGCTCAACTACTACCTATGGAACCTTCTTCCTACTAACTTCAGATGACTCCCACTGTCAGGGAAACTTCAAGTACCTGAGCTCAGGGTATATTATTTCTTTTCTTTTCTTTTTTGAGACAGGGTCTCACTCTGTCACCCAGGCTGGAGTGCAGTGTGCCATCATGGCTCATTATAGCCTTGAACTCTGGGTTTAAGCAATGCTCCCGCCTCAGCCTCCTGAGTAGCTGAGACTTCTGGTGTGTGCTACCACACGCAGATAATTTTGCTTATTTTTTGTGGAGACGGAGTCTCACTATGTTGCCCAGGCTGGTCTCTAACTCCTGGACTCAAGCAATCCTCCTGCCTTGGCCTCCCAGAGTGCTGGGATTATAGGTGTGAGCCACCACACCCCAGCTAGCACTGTAATTTCTAATTGCTGCTTCCTTACCTTGTAGTTACATGTAGGGGAGGTGATGGGGGAACAAAGCTCCTCCTTCACCTATTTCCTATGGTGGTAACTGGCCCCCTTCTACTTTAGGTACCATTTTTCTTCCCCACAATGAAATACAAAAACCTTCTACCTTCCTAAGGTTTCTGGTGTTTTCCCCACCCTAAAGTCTGGGATCTCTTGCTTCGGTGGCATCTTTACAGTTGAATTCAAGGGAAGAAGTTTGCAAAACATGCTTTTCCAAAACTGTGACTCAAATTATCTGCTGTTTTTAAAGCTGAATAACTTCACTAGCAGCTATTTTGATGTGGCTTTTCCATATCAGTTTTAATTGAAACATAATATGTTTCCAGCTTTATGGTTTACTCACTACTTAAGGAGTATATTTTTAGGTTTTTTTTTTTTTTCTATTTTGCTTGTTTTGTTCTATTTTTCAGAATGTGGTCATGTGCTGCAAAACAACAAAAGGACCACATATAAGACAGTGGTCCCATAAGATTATAATACTGTGTTTTTGGAACCAACCCAAATGTCCATCAATGATAGACTGGATTAAGAAAATGTGGCACATACACACCATGGAATACTATGCAGCCATAAAAAAGGATGAGTTCATGTCCTTTATAGGGACATGGATGAAGCTGGAAACCATCATTCTGAGCCAACTATCACAGGGACAGAAAATCAAACACCGCACGTTCTCACTCATAGGTGGGAATTGAACAATGATAACACATGGACACAGGGTGGGGAACATCACGCACCAGGGCCTGCTGGGGGATGGGGGGAGGGGGAAGGGATAGCATTAGGAGATATACCTAATGTAAATGATGAGTTAATGGGTGCAGCACACCAACATGGCACATGTATACATATGTAAAAAACCTGCACGTTGTGCACATGTACCCTAGAACTTAAAGTAAAATAATAAAAAAAATAAAAATACTATTCTTACTGTATCTTAGATACACAAACACCCTTGTGCTACGATTGCCTACAGTATTCAGTACAGTAACATGCTCTACAGGTTTGTAGCTTAGAAGCAATAGGCTGTACCATATAGCCTAGGTGTGTAGTAGGCTATGCCATCTAGGTTCATGTAAATACACTCTGTGATGTTTGTATAACAACAAAATGACCAACTACACACTTCTCAGAGGTATTCCTGTCATTAAGCAATATATGACTATACTAATTATGAACCCAATATATCTCCTTTGTCTTTCATGCTTATACTTTTCTGTATAATAGTTTCAAATCTTAGATGTTCTCCAATTTGTAATGTGTGTATCATTTCCTTTGGCCTGTCTAGTTGATCTCTGAACAATTCAATTATTTTCATTCTTTTTTTATTTTGTCATTTTGTTCTTCTCTTTCACTCTTTTCTGCCATCTGTCTGTCAGCAGCTTGCTTTTCTATTTCTTCTGTTGTTTTTTAGCATTTTATATGAACATGTCTATTCTTTAATCTTATTTGTTTTTCAGAAGGGTCATGTTATTTGTAATTCTTTGAGAGTTAGGGAATTATTATTCTTCCTCATCACTTTTTTTTGTAATAAGCTTTATTTTTTAGAGCATTTTACATAAAAATTGAGTGGAAAGTACAGAGAGTTCCCATATATCTCCCTTAACACAGACACACAGACACACACACACACACATACACACACACACACACACACACACTGTATTAGTCTGTTTTCACACTGCTATAAAGAAATACCTGATTGATACTGGGTACTTCATAAAATAAAGAGGTTTAATTGACTCACAGTTCCACATGGGTTGAGAGGCCTCAGGAAACTTACAATCATGGCAGAAGGCGAAGGGGAAAGAAGCACCCTCTTCAGAAGGCGGCAGAAGAGAGAAGAGAGCAGGGAAACCACCACTTATACAACCACCAGATCTTGCAAGAACTCACTCACTATCATGAGAACATCGTGAGAAACCTCCCACCGGGTCCCTCACTTCACATGTGGGGATTATGGGGATTAAAATTTCAGATGAGATTTGGGTGGGGACACAGAGACAAACCATATCTCTCTCTCTCTCTCTCTCTCTCTCTCTCTCTCTCTCACATACACACACAGACACACAGACACACACACACACAGAGTTTCCCCTGTTATTAACTTCTTGCATTAGTGTGGTACATTTGTTAACAACTGATGAGCCAATATTGATAAATTATTACTAATGAAAGTCCACAGTTTACATTAGGGTTCACTTTTGGTGTTGTACATTCTAGGGGTTTGGGCAAATGTATACTGACACGTATCCAGCATACGGAACAGTTTCACTGCCCTAAAAATTGTGCCCTGACTATTCATCCCTCCCTCTCTACTAACCCCTGGCAACCACTGTCTCCATATTTTTGCCTGTTCCAGAATGACATTGCTATGATCTGAATGTGTTCCCCAAATTCATATATTGAAACTTTATGGCCAATGTGATGGTATTAAGTGTGGCCTTTAAGAGGTGATGGAGCTGTGAGGGCTCTACCCTCATGAATGGTACTTGGTGCTCTTATGAGCGTGTCCTTTTTCATCCCTTCTCTCCCTCCCATGGGGGACACTGTGTTCCTCCCATCAGGGGATGCAACAACAAGGCAATGTCATGGAAGTGGAGAGCAGCCCTCACCAGACACCGAACCCATCAACACCTTGATTTTAGACTACCAGCCTCCAGGACAATAAGAAAAAATTTCTGTTCCTTGTAAATTACTCAGTCTCAGGCAGTTTGTTGTAGCAGCATAAATGAACTAAGACAGTCATACGGCTGGAATCATACAAGATGTAGTCTTTTCAGATGGGTCTCTTTCACTCAGTAGTGTGCATTTAAGGTTCCTCTATGTCCTCTTTTCAGGGCTTGATAGTGCATTTATTTTATTGCATTGTAAGGATATGCCACAGTTTGTTTATCCATTTGCTTATTGAAGGATATCTTGGTTGCTTCCAAGTTTTGGCAATTATGAATAAAGCTGCTATAAGCAGCCATGGGTAGTTTTCAGTATTGATGTAAGTTTTCACTCATTTGGGTAAAGATAAAGGAGAGCAATTTCTGGGTCCTATGGTCAGAATATGTAAAAAACTGCCAAACTGTCTTTGAAAGGGGCTGTACCATTTTACATTCCCATGAACAACAAACGGGAGTTCCTGTTGCTCCACATCCTTGCTAGCATTTTGTATTGTCTACTCTTCACTGCTTAATAAAATTTAAAATATAATTCCTCCTTTTTCTTTTACTCAGTTTTAAATGATACATTTTAAAGAAAGTATTCAGAAATAATTAGAAAATAGTTTTTAAAAACACAGAAAGTGATATAACAAACATCTGTGATTCCATTGTCCAATCATTTTCGCTTTATTTATTTATTTATTTATTTATTTATTTATTTATTATTTGAGACAGGGTCTTGCTCTGTTGCCCAGGCTGGAGTGCAGTGGCATTATCTCAGCTCACTGCAGCCTCAACCTTCTGGACTCTAGCAGTCTTCTCATTTCAGCCTCCTGAGTACCTGCGACTACAGGCACACCACCACACCTAATTTTGTTTTTTATTTTTTGTAGAGATAGGGTCTCACTATGTTGCCCAGGCTGGTCTCTAACTCTTGGGCTCAAGCAGTTTACCTGCCTCAGCCTCCTAAAGTGCTGGGATTAAAGGTATGAGCCACTGTGACTGGCCTTCATAACTTATTTTTGAATAAAGTATTACAGAAACAATCGAATCCCTTTTTATATTGCAAATAATGAAATAGTTGGACTTATTTCTGCCATTTTATTTGAGATGTTATTTGCCACCCTTTATATTTGCTCCTTTTCCCCTAACTTTCTACTTTGTGTTGAACTGTGTTTTCTGCATTTCCACCCCTTGTTCTTTTCCTGATTTGGAAGTTATAGATTGTATCTTTATTCTTCTGGTGGTTGTGGTAGATTGTTAAATTAACGCACCTCATTAATCCACAGCACTTGGCATTTATACCCTTACATTTTCATCTCCCATACTGATTTCATTTGACACAGGTTTGACCATGTGCCTTGATTTGTCCAATGACACATCAGCAAACATGACTCAAGTGGAGTTGTAAGAAGCACTTGTGCATTGGGGCATGTTGGAACATTGCCACCACCTTTTTAATGATGAAAGATCCCATGGAGACAGAAGCCCAACCAGCCCATCTGCCTCCGAGACTCAATTGAGCTCAGTTCCCAACTGCCCCTCCAGGTAAATGTTGCCACCTAAGTGGGATGCATAAAAGAACTACCCAGCTAGCCAACAGGGTCACAAGAAACAATACATTGTCATCTTAAGTCACTAAGTTTTGAGTGGTTTCTTATGCAGCAATTGAGAATGGTAACAGTGGATATCTTTAAATTTGTTATAGCCATATGCAAGAAATTAATAAATTTTTCAAAAACTTGGTGGTCTGTAAATGTACTTTTATAAACTTTTGGTTATGTGCCAGTCTGATTGGGTTTTTGCCTCTATGTATCTGCATTATCTAGAAGCTTGTAAGTATTTCTCTTTGTTCTTGGAGTTGTCGGATTTCTCAAGATAGGTAAAGTTCCTGACAATCCCTTCAGGAATTTAGTAAAATTCTTCAACACAGAGAGTCAAATCTTCCTCTTAAGGTAATTTCCCTCTTATTGGTTGAATTATTGCCTCCCCTTCCATTCAGTTTACTCCCACTGGAATCTCTACTTTTTACTTGTTATAACTCCTTGACTTAACTCCAAGTATTCCATCTTTTCCTCCCTATTTTCTTTTCCTGTGGAGTTTTTGCTCTGGTCTTGGAAATATTTCTTTCACTTGATCTTCCAAGCAACTTGTTTGGAACTCACCAGTGTCTACGTGGTCCATCTACTGAATGTTTTGTTCCAAATTATGGGTTTAAAAAAATGCACCATGTTCAGCCAGGCACTGTGGCTCATGCCTGTAATCCCAGCATTTTGGGAGGCCGAGGTGGGTGGATCACCTGAGGTCGGGAGCTCGAGACCAGCCTGAACAAAATGGAGAAACCCCGTCTCTACTAAAAATTCAAAATTAGCCATGCGAGGTGGCGGGTGCCTGTAATCCCAGCTACTCTGGAGGCTGAGGTAGGAGAATCGCTTGAACCTGGGAGGTGGAGGTTGCCGTGAGCCGAGATCGTGCCATCGTATTCTAGCCTGGGCAACAAGAGTGAAACTCTGTCTCAAAAACAGACAAACAAACAAAAAATTCACAATGTTTTGTTTGTGTTATACTTAAATGTCCTAAACTGTGCTCCTTTGTCTTGTCTTCCCCAAGAGTTTTATTTTTTAAGGATCTCTTGTGAGGGTTCTGCTTGCTCCTTCTCTCTCCACCTGCTGGGTCCCCTTGGTGTATTACTCTCTTCCCCATGTCCTTTCAATGGGGCTACTTTCTTGCTGCTGTAGGACAATAAATGGTGCCACCTTGAGTGGTGACAGGGTCAGCAGCCTGTCCCCAAGAGCCTACAGCCAGCAAGGCAAGGTTGCCAAACCCCTACAGAAACATACAAGGAAGACTCCATGTCTTTGAACTCCCATCGGCATGGACAGAGATGACTTGGGCCACCTCTTTACACTTTCTGGAGCCAGGAAGCCCAGGAACCCTCATGTGAATGGAGAGCATTTTTCTCTCCCAACTGTCCATGAGTCTGTAGTAGCAAAATTCAGACACTTGCTTGTGGCTGCTTCTTGTCTCTTGGAAGGAGTTTGGTGTTGAGTTTGGGAGGGAAGAGGAGGCTGCACGCATTTGGGATGATGCCATCTTCCCAGAGTCCCCTGATTCCCCCAGGAGCCAGTGCACACTTTTCTGTCCTTATCTTGCATAGGCTCTCAGCAGCATTAGATACTGTTGACCTTTGTGTCCTCCTTGATAGTCACCTCTTTTGGCTCCTGATACCTCACAATCTTCTGTGTTTTTTTTTTCTCCATCTGTAAATTAAAAATAAAATCCTAACCACCCCCTCACCAACTGAAATAACTCCCTGTTGGCCAAGGGTACCACAGAAAAAACTGAAAACTGAGTTCCCAGTCATGATGGGATGGGAAGTCAGACATGCCTCATTATGCCCCCCTCCCCTCTGTGGTTTAGACACAACTGATCAGCAGTAATGTTTTTATTTTATTATTATTTTTTGAGACAGAGTCTCACTCTGTCACCCAGGCTGGAGTGAAGTGGCACCATCACAGCTCACTGCAGCCTGGACCTCCTAGGCTCAAGCAGTCCTCCCACCTCAGCCTCCCAAATAGCTGGGACTTACAGCATGCACCGCCATGCCTGGCTAATTTATGTATTTTTCATAGAGACGAGGTTTTGCCATTTTGCCCAGGCTTGTCTTGAACTCCTGGACTCAAGCAATCCCCCCACCTTGGCCTCCCAAAGTGCTGGGATTACAGGTGTGAGCCATCACAACCAGCCAATATTAATGTTAAAATAGAGATTATAAGACTGACATAATGAACTCTTTGTGGCAATTAGATACCAAAGTATAGGCCAGGCATGGTGGCTCATGCCTGTAATCCCAGCACTTTGGAAGGCCAAGACAGGCAGATTGCTTGAGTCCAGGAGTTCGAGACCAGCCTGGGCAACGTAGAAAAAACCTTGTCTCTACTACAAATACAAAAAATAAGTCAGGCATGATGGCACATGCCTGTAGTCCCAACACTTGGGAGGCTTAGATGGGAGGATCACCTGAACTCAGGAGGTTGAGGCTCACTTCAAGGGTGCAGTGAGCCAAGATCGTGCCACTGTACTACAGCCTGGGCAACTGTAGTGAGACCCTGTCTCAAAAACAACAACCACCACCAAATTATAAACAGGACAGAAGGCCATGCCAGGCAAGGGTTAATTCATGTACCCTACATTTCAAGAAGAAACTACGTTCTAACTACCACAAGGTTATTCTTTTTCTCTAGCAGCTAAACAAGCACTGGCCTCGAGATAAACAATATTAAAACAATTAAAACTCATCCAGCTCACTGACGCTGACTAACTGAATCCTTGTTGCACCCCAGCTGTGACTACAGCTTTGATTGGACAAGAGACTGATTTCAGTAGCTTTCTCCTGATGAGACCACTGATCATGGACTGGTGCTGGCCAGTTGACAGAGATTGCACACTTGAGTATCTTTGTGTCCTGAAAAGGCCTTTTGACTTTTAGGGCCTAATTGTAACACAGTAATACATTCAGTCTCCACCCAAAGTGAACATGGGTTATATGTTACACGCATGTTTGTTCAGGATGTATGTGCCAGGACCACCTTTGTAAATATTCATAGCTCCTCCCGTAATCTGTTGAATAGGTATGTTTAGTCAACCTGACCAGTATAAAGCTCCTACTTCAACCCCTCCTCCTTCAAAGTGCCTGTCTTTCAGGCTTTGTGTTTCCCAGCCTGTGGCATGGCTATCTTGTAGGCTGTAACCCTTCACAAGAAATAGTCTCCTTTTCCAAATGTATAGATTCTATGTTTCCTTTTAAGTTGACACACCTAACTGTTCACTATATCTCATCTTCATTTCCTTTGCATATTCCATACTCGCTCCCTAGCTCAGTGGTTCTCAAGCACGGGCGATTTTGTCTTCACCCCCTTCTCAAAGGACATCTGACAATGCCTGGAGACATTTTTGGTTGTCACAACTGGGAAAAGGGCTACTGACATCTAGAGGGCTGCTAAACATCCTACAATGCATAAGACAGGCCCCCTCCCCAACCCCACCAAGAATTATCTGGCCCCAAAAGTCAAAAGTGCCTAGGTTGAGAAGTCCTGTCCTAGATGATTTTGCCAAATGCAATGGCTTAAAATATTTTCCATATTATGATTACTCCAAAAGTAAACGCCCAGCCCAGACTTTTTTTCTGAGGTCTAGACTCATAACACCCAATGAATTATTAATAGTTCCACTTGGACATCTCACAGAAACATCAAATTTTACTTAGGATAGGAATCTTGATTTCACCCCAATTTTGCTCCCTTCATCCTTATCTCTCATAATTTTTCAAGCTAGAGACCTGAGATGAATCTCTGATTTCCTTCTTCCCTCCACCTTCCATATCCAGTCTACCAGCGTGTCTTGTCAGTTCCACTGAGATACAAAGCTTGAGTCTCCACTCTTCTCTTCATCATCATTGCCACTGGTCTGATCCAAGTGTCCCTCTTCTCTTCCCTGGTCTTGTGCAACAGTCTTCTAACTCATCTCCCTCTTTTCATCCTTGGCCCACCTCTAATCCCACTTTCCAATTACAGCCAGTAGGAGCTTTGAAAACCTCACCATATCACCTTTGCTGCTTATAAGTTACCAGTATCTTCCCCAAATACTTCAAGTCCTCACACTGTGTCACAGCTTATAAGCCTCTGCATACCCCAGCTCCTACCAACCTTCCCAACTCAGCCCGTCAACACTCTAGCTGATCACTACAATCCAGCTACACTGGACTTATTTCAACCCCTTAAATATCCCAAGGGTTTTTCCTCCTCACTGGAAGTTTGCACTGCTAATTCCTCTCCTTGTAACTGCCCTTTCCCTCAATCTTGAATGATTGCCTCCTTCTTAACCTTTAGTTTCCGTTTAAATACCACTCTTCAGGGTCCTTTTCTGATCATTTTATTAAAGGTAGGTCTTCTCCAGCTCAACTCCATTTTTTTTTCTTCCCAGTACTGTTGGTAATATTTAATAATGTTATTTGTTTGCCCATTCATTGGATCATCTTTCTCCTCTACTAGGAAAATACCTGCTTACAGGTTTTCCATGTATATTTGTTGAATCAATAGATTAGCTTGGGCGGATTAAATTAAAGTATATGTGTATGGTGCCTAATAATATACCTGACACATTGTACAAGTTCAGCAATAATTAAATTTCAGTTTGTAGAATGTGGTTATTTTTACAAAGGTACCATGGGTTGTTTGCAAACAATCCAGCAAGTTCCCTTTGTTTTTGAAAGAGAAAAGATACACTTTATGGAACCCTTGGAGCGGTGGTTCTCAAAGTGTACTCCTTGGACCAGCAGTATTAGCATCACCTGGGAACTGGTTCAAAAGCAGTGTTACAGCACTCTGTGTTACTGTAACAAGACCTCCAGGTGGCTTCTGCTGTGTGCTCAAGTTTGAGAATTACTCCCTTAGCATTTTGCTTTTCTTTCTTATTTTTTTATTTTTACTTTTTATTTTTAGTTGTGGTAGCCCTCTTTTAAGTTTACAGTTCATAGCGTTAAGTACATTTACATTGTTCACATTCAGTCTCCAGAGCTCTTTTCATCTTGCAAAACTGAAACTCCATACTCATTAAGCAACAATTCTCCACTCCTCCCTTCCCTAACCCCCGGCAACCCCCATTCTACTCTCCGTCTCTAGGAATCTGACTACTCTGGGTACCTGATGCAAGTGGAAATCATACAATTCCTGTCTTTTTGTAACTGGCTTATTTCATTTAGCATAATGTCCTCAAGATTTATCCATGTTGTCTGAATTTCTTTCCTTTTCAAGGACAAATAATATTCCATTTTGTGTATATACCACATTTTTCTTATCTATTCATCCATTGATGGACACTAGATTGTTTCCACCTTTTAGCTATTGTTTTTTGGTTTTGTTTTTGAGATGGAGTCTCGCTCTGTCACCCAGGCTGGAGTGCAGTGGTGCGCTCTCAGCTCACTGCAACCTCTGCCTCCTGGGTTCACGCCATTCTCCTGCCTCAGCCTCCCAAGTAGCTGGGACTACAGGCGCCCGCCACCACGCCCAGCTAATTTTTTTTGTATTTTTAGTAGAGACGGGGTTTCATAGTGTTAGCCAGGATGGTCTCGGTCTCTGTGTTAGCCAGGATGGTCTCAATCTCCTGACCTCGTGATCCGCCTGCCTTGGCCTCCCAAAGTGCTGGGATTACAAGCTTGAGCCACTGCGCCCGGCTTAGCTATTGTTAAGAATGCTGCTATGAACATAGATGTAGAAATATCTCTTTGAGACCCTGCTTTAACTTTTTTGGAGCAGATGCCCAGAGCTGAAATTACTATATCCTATGGTAATTCTATGTTTAATTTTTTGAGAAACTAACATGCTGTCTTCTACAGTGGCTGCACCATTTTAAACTCCTACCCACAGAGCACCAACGTTCCACTTTCTTTGTAGCCTCACTAACACCTGTGATTTTTTTGTATTTTTTTTTAACTAGTAATGATGCTAATCAAAGTGGGGTGGCATCTCATTGTATTTTTGATTTGTGTTTTCCTAATAATTAGGGTACTTCAGAGTGTTTTTACTAACACTTGAGCCCAGTTTATAGGATAACAAATTTATCTGCAGTACTGCTGGGGATGGGGAATTTTCAATTGGTTCAACATTTAATTTTTTAAATTGGATGAAAATCCAAATTTCCTATCAATGCTCTTAAAATGTTGGCCTATCTGTATTTTTCAGCCATCAAAATGGGACCTTTTTTCCACCTCCACCGTCACAGCTATAAAGGCTAGCAAACACCTACATGAACAGGTCTGTGCTGAAAACCTGCCTGCAGAAACTGATTCTTCCTTCACACAGAGACAGCCTGGTTAGAAAATGGTGGAAACCACACTCAGGAGTTCAATTGCCCTGAAGTAAATTGCTCAGGGAATTGAAAGAGCTTTTGAAGTAGCAGGTGGCAGTTTGAGAGCCTTTGAACCAGATTCTACTTATGTATTGGCTAAAAAGGAATCTTGTCATTTTAATCGAAGAGAAAATCCTCAGAGGTATGTGGAGGCATCAGTGATTCTTATTACCTACCTCCCAAAGGTCTACATACATTTCAATCCGATTCCTCTTAAAGTGGCAAGAAGTTATTGGCCCTTGTATTTGATCCACCAACAGCCACAGACTTGCTGAAGTCATACAGGGATTTTTCCCAAACCAAACCCATGGAAATATAATGTGGGATTCCTTCTAAATCTTGAGATATGTTCACCCTGGAATTTTCCCTGCAGCCAGGTAGGTGTTTGCTACCCTGTTTTGTGAATAGTCGCCAGGTTCGCCAACCTGGTTTGAATAAATGCAAACGCTCACTATCCCTTGCTCCATTTCTCATCCAAAGGGCTGCTGATTCCAGAGGTTTCCATGCTGGGTGTCACAGTCCCTTTATTTCCACGGGAAATGTTATCCACACTCGCCTCACTGCTGATGCATTCTCTCCTTTCATTTCTGACCATTCTTCTCCATTTTCCACTCTGCCTCCCTCTGGAAATCACCTTTGTAACCTATTCCTCATTTTCAATTCCCAGCAGTCTCCAAACAGGCTGAAGTAATAGATAAGTGAGTCTCTTGTCGTCATAAATGCTAGACTTGTCTCCTTCACTTTGCTAAGTGCATTATGGAAAAATTGGCCATGCAAGGAATATGATTTTCCCATTGACTTCCATTAGCAGTTTATGATTCCCCAAACTTCGAGCTTTTGGGAAACCCGTTTGAAATAGGAACGCCTGGTACTTTTCTTGAGGTAAGCATGTAAGTATAAAATAATGATGTTGACTTTCATAAGCCATCCATGAAAATCAGTTATGTAACTGAATGGCAGGCTTTGTCTCCACAGCGCTCTGCCCAGCTTTTAAACTTCCGGAGGCCACAATCACATTTTTAACCTTTGTTTCTATCTGGGAGGCAGAAAAGCACAAATGTGAATCTATCAAAAAAAGAGGTTGACTTACAAAACCCAGAGTTGTCTCTTATTTGGCTTCCTTCAGAATTCATCTTGAGGAGGTTAATGGTAAAAGTGATTGGCAGGAAATTGCTTTGTCAGCCATTATCAACAATTCAATTAGTATGTAGTACCCAGGCTCTGTTCTGGCCATCCAGATCAATCTTCACCAACACCAATTTTTGCCTGTCGCCATCCCACTCAAAGACCTGTGGGGCCGCTTGGTTGTGCACATCTGTGGCCCTCAACCTTGGTTTCAGTGAGACTATCTAGCTCTGCTCTTTTTTTTTTTTTTTTGAGACGGAGCCTCTCTCTGTTGCCCAGGCTGGAGTGCAGTGGCACCATCTCGACTCGCTGAAACCTCCACCTCCCGGGTTTAATCGATTCTCCTGCCTCAGCCTCCCAAGCAGCTAGGATTGCAGGAGCGCTCCACCATGCCCGGCTAATTTTTGTATTTTTAGTAGACATGGGGTTTCACCCTGTTGGCCAGGCTCGTCTCGAACTCCTGACCTCAGGTAATCCACCCGCCTTGGTCTCTGAAAGTGCTGGGATTACAGGCGTGAGCCACCACACCCTGCCCTAGCTTTGTTCTTGTGTTAACTTGCTTCACCTTGGTTTCACCTGAAATGAGACTATCTAGCTCTGTTCTTGCCATCCAGAGCTCTTTGGAAAGCTACTAATCTCTCCATGCCTCCTTTTCCTCGGTAAAATGGGGTCAATCATGCTTGTAAGGGGCTTAGAGCAGTGACAGGCCCATGCAGGCATTTGGTGAACACTGGATCTTGCTATCATCACTGAAATGATCAGTACATGACCCTCACCTGCCCTGATGGGATGCTCTTTGCTGTTGCTTATGACACCCGGTGATTCTCAGCTAAGGATATGAAGGGAGGGTACCATCAGAACCTCCAGGCTTGGAAAATCTTGCTAGGTTTCTACCCCACTGGGGAGCCCTCCTCCACTCACACCCACATCCTCATGCTCCCCTGAGAATCACTGGCCTGCGGGTTACATTTTGAATTCCTTCTGTTCCCTACATCTGTTTTGAAACTTGGTCTACAGACACAGACAGGCCAGATAAGAAACAAGGGTGAGGCCCAAGATCAACAGGAAAGCAGTGTGACCACCTCCAGACTGGTATTTGCCTGGTGTTGTCAGATCTGATTTTTCCAGCAAAGCTGGAAAACTGGAGTTACTGAAATCACCTGAATTTTAAACATGAGTTGATTTTAAGTGTTACAAATTTGAAATAAAATTTGAAAAGAGCCGTGGAGCCATTCATGTATGAGCCAAACACAACTCTGCACCATCGATTAGGACAGTAGAACTCCAACTTGTAACCTCTGGCCCCTGTTCCCTCCTTTTAGATAGTTCCTGAAGACAAAGAGAAATGACAGTGTTAGAGTGGAAAGGATTTCTGTGTGCACAGAATCAAAACGTCCTTTTTTTTCCTTTTTTTGAGACAGAGTCTTGCTCTTTCACCAGGCTGGAGTGCAGTGGTGCAATCTCAGCTCACTGCAACCTCCAACTCCCTGGTTCAAGTGATTCTCCTGCCTCCAGCCTCCCGAGTAGCGGGATTACAGGCACGTGTCACCACGCCCAGCTAATTTTTGTATTTTTAGTAGAGACGGGGTTTCACCATGTTGGCCAGGATGTTCTCGATCTCCTGACGTCATGATCCGCCCGCCTCAGCTTCCCTAAGTGCTGGAATTACAGGCGTGAGCCACTGTGCCCAGCCAAAACATCCCTTTTTATAAAAGAGAACACCAATTTTCTACAAAGTGAAGTGATCTCCTGCTGCAGGTCATCTAGACTATAACATTGTCACTATTCCCCCACACGAGAGCCTCTTGCTCCATAAGTCTCCTCGTAGAGAGATGCATAGACCACAGACCACCACTGACACAGCCATTCCTCTCCCGTACTGTTAATTTTTCTTCCCTATGTCATCTTAGTTCACAACCTGAAGATCAGTTTTCTTCCACTTCTTTGTAAACCCTCCTCCAATCCTGCCCCTAGTGACTGGCACAATCCTAGACCTACAGTAAACGGCCAACAAATTGTTGTTCCTCAAAGTCATAAAAGCAATTAAGTGCCTTGGATTATTTCATTAGAGTAAGAACTTTTAATGTCCATTTAAATACTTATACGGATAATATCAGTTTATAGTCTGCTTCAGACCCCTGAGATTCTAAAGGAAATGAGTTTCTGGATCCTCCGCTAGCTCAAAGCCTCCATTCACTTATTTGTTTACTCACTCATTTGACCTTTATTTACTCCTTGGGCTGGGCACTGTGCTGGCAACAGAGACTCAGTTGGAAATGAGACCCGCCCGAGGGCATGTTTTCATACACAGTCTATAGAACGATCTTGATATAATTAAGTATAGATATTATAAATATATACATTCATTGCAAAATGGAAAAAGACATACCAATTTAGTTCATGAACATAAAAAGTGAATGCAGGTAGAAACTGAGGCAGCTGTATACAAGGACTCTCTCTCCCTCCATCTGTCCTATCTGCTTTTGGTGTCTCAAAAACAAACAAATATTTCCTCAAGCAACTGAGGAAGCCTCACCAATTCCTGCACAGCAAGTTGGCGTTATAGGAGCATAGTTCTGGAAGAGGCCTGGGGGATCTATTTGCCCCTACAGAAAGCATTTACCAAGCTTTTAGAGCAGCATTCCATGACCTTCCATCTGCCTTTGGCATCAGTGACTCCTGAGTATAATCACAGATGCTATCTAAGTCATGATTCCAGCCATTGGACCCCATTGAGTAATTCTGGAGAAAGTTTATTTCAGTAAATCCTGGCACTCAGGAGGTCTGATCTGGATATGTTTTAGGGCCTAGCTAATGTTAGGCCATTCTTTTGCTGCCTCCCCCCATCCACTTGGCCTCTGAATGGTGGTTTCTAGGTTTCCCTCTTCTTTTCTTCATATACACTCTCCCGAGGTGATCTCATCAATTCTTGTGTTTTGATAAATTCTATGTTTTGATGGCTTCCACACTGACATCTCCAGCCTGGTCTTCTCATGTCTAAACCACAGCCTCATATGTTCTCCCTAACCATTTCCACTAGAGCTTTTATAGATGTTTCAAGAGAAATCAAGAGAAATCTTTCTTCCCTCAAATTTCCCCCACTACAGTAAAGTGCATCACCATCTATTCACCACGTATAGAAAATCAGGAGTTATTCTTAAGTTTCTTACCCTTCCTCTCATCTATCCTGTCCATTCTATCAGAAAGCCCTGCCACATCCTCCACCATGATGTAGCCACATCTTCCCTTTCTCTGCATTTCTATCACCACCTTAGTCCAGACCACCATTCCATCTCTCTGGACTATTACAAACATCCTTCCAGGTAGCCTCCCTGCTCCCATAATACCACCCTCCAATCAGTTCTCCGCTCAGCAACAAGTAAGCTTAAAAGATCAATCAGAGGCCAGGCACAGTGGTTCACGCCTGTAATCCCAGCACTTTGGGAGGCCGAGGCAGGTGGATCACGAGGTCAGGAGATCGAGACCATCCTGGCTAACATGGTGAAACCCCCGTATCTACTAAAAAAAAAAAAAAAAAAAAAAAACAAAAAATTAGCTGGGCATGGTGGCGGGCGCCTGTAGTCCCAGCTACTCTGGAGGCTGAGGCAGGAGAATGGCGTGAATGCGGGAGGCAGAGCTTGCAGTGAGCTGAGATTGCGCCACTGCACTTCAGCCTGGGTGACGGAGTAAGACTCTGTCTCAAAAAAAAAAAAAAAAAAAAAAGATCAATCAGAGCATGTCATTCTCCTGCTTAACACACAACTTCCCACTGAACTTCAAGTGGCCTTCAACCACTGTCCAGACCCTGCCTCCTCATGTGTCTTCCTCTCCTACTCATAGCCCTGCAGATTCAGTGGTTGCCCTGCAGTCCTACAAGCAGGTTCATACAGCATGGGATTTCCAGTGCCATCCATTTGCCTGGTGTTCTTTATCCACACTCTTTACTTGGTTTTCTGCTTTCCAGCCTTCAGATCTCACTCAAATATCCTCAGTCCAGAGGGACTTTCCCTGGAATCCCAGAAAAATCCCACCCTCAGCCCCCACCAATCCTGTCATTCCTGATATTATATTAGATACTATATGAGTTTTTCCCCCTGCCCCTTCATAGCACACATTAGAACTTACAATTATCTCTGTTCTTTGTTTACTGGTCTCTCCCACTAGAAGCAAAGCTGTATGAGGAAAGGAATTGCATATATCTCATTTGCTGCAATATGCCTAGTGCTTACAGTCACATAGAAGATACTCAGAAAATGCTATTTGTCTTTTTCACATAAAGTAGTGGCAAAACTGGAGGAAAGAGCAGAACAAAATGGCAGACTAGGAAGCCCTAAGCTCTCATTCCCGTATAGAAACGTTGAAAAAACAAGTAGAAACAGACAGAATCAACCTTGTGAGAACTCTGAGAAAATGTCAAGAGTTTACACAACTCATGAGAATGACAAATTTAAAACAAATACACACATCAGATTCAAAATAGTGGAACAAATCTCTGGCGTTTTCACTTGCCCTCACCCTAGCTCTTCCCTGGCAGAGTGGTTGTTTTGGCCTTGAAGTAGGTGGTAGCAGCTCATGTTCCGATTTTGGGACCCAGGTACTTCAAACCAGAGGAAACAGAGTAGACCTTGTTTACAAATTATTGTGTGTGTCTGTTTTAACCTGTCTGTGGGATACTTGAAGGACACATGCCAGGCACTCATCTGTGCTTCAGCTAACTTGGAACTCAGATGGGAAGAACAGTAGGCACTGCTCATAAAGCTGCAAGGTGGACTAAAGACCCACAGGTGCCTGGGGTGAGATTCTTTGGGAAATTGGGCATTAAAAACTGCCCCATATATATGGAGGAATTGAGAGAGCCATGTACATGTCCAGGTCAAGATGTATGCTTGGAGAAGACTTAAAAAGACCTTAAGATTTTGCCATAGGCTTAGTGAAAGCCTAGCTGAGTGTTGAAAGAGTGCTTTAGCACAAAGCCAATATGCAAACACAGGAGAGATGTTTTTCCCCTTTTATCAATGAGTATGCTTGTGTGCATGTATTTTGTTTGTTTGTTTTACCTCCTGGCATTCAAGGAAATCTCTGTCAATCATTAGCTGAACACAAGCAAAAAAAAAATTAGAGACTTAAATGACCACGAATGACAAGTAATTGTTGTCACAAAAATGGTTTGGAAAAGTCTCAAAACAAGTGGACTATTGTAGCCTTCAACAATCAAAACAAACAAAAAACCCAAACAAAACTAACCAAACAGAAACCTTCAGAAAACTGGGAAGAAAATCTGATCTTCAGAGTTAACAACATAATAATAGTCAAATATCCAATTTTAAACAAAAAAATCACAAAGCATAAAAAGAAATAGGAAAACATGACCCACTTTTCAAAGGAACAAAATAAACTGACAAAAGTTGTCCTAAGGAATCCTAGACATTTAGACTTTTTTGACAAAGACTTTAAGACAACTGCATTAAGTATGTCCGAAGGGCTAAAGGAGAACACAGAAAATGAAATCAGGAAAACAATGTTTGAACAAAATGAGAATATCATTAAAGAGAAAGGAATTATAAAGGGGAAACAGACAGAAAATCTGGAGAAGAAAAGTACAATAACTTAAATTAAAAAAAAATCAGAAGAGGGGATCAAAAGCAGATTTGAACAGGCAGAAGAAAGAACTGCTGGACTTAAAGATAGGACAATTGAAATTACTGAGTATGAAGCAGATATAAAAAAGAATAAAAAGATGTGAACAGAGCCTAAGGGACCTGTGGGACATGATAGAGTAGACCAACATTACATTAGGGGCCCCCAATAATGAGAACAGAGAGATAAAGGGATGATAAGGTTGAAGAAATAATGGCTAAAAATGGCCTACATTGGATGAAATGCATGAACCTATAAATCCAAGAATCTCAACAAGCTCCAAGTAGGGTAAACTCAAAGAGACTTACATCAACACAAATTAAGAGCAGGGGGATGGTATATTTAAAGTGCTGGGAAAATAGTATCGACCAATAATTCCATATCTGGCATCCTTTGAGAATGAGAAAGAAATTAAAACATTCCAAGATAAGTAAAAGCTGAGGGAGTTCATTACCACTAGACCAGTCCTATAAGAAATGCTAAAAGGAATCTTTCAAGTTGAAATAAAAGGATACTAGAGAGTAACTTGACATTGTATAAAGAAACAATAGGCTGGGAGCAGTGGCTCACGCCTGTAATCCCAGCACTTTGGGAAACCGAGGTGGGCGGATCATGATGTCAGGAGATTGAGACCATCCTGACCAAGATGGTGAAATGCTGTTTCTACTAAAAATACAAAAATTAGCTGGGTGTGGTGGCATGTGCCTGTAATCCCAGCTACTCAGGAGGCTGAGGCAGGAGAATTCCTTGAACCAGGGAGTTGGAGGCTGCAGTGAGCCAAGATTGCACCACTGCACTCCAGCCTGGCAACAGAGCGAGACTGCATCTCAAAAACAAAAACTAAAAAACAATAATCTGTGGTAATGGTAAATACATGAGCAAATACAAAAGCCAGTATTATTTTAATTTTGGTTTATAACTCCAGTTATTTTTTTCTGCATAATTTAAGGCAAAAGCATAAAAATAGTTAAAATATGTTTTTGGACATACAGTGTATAAAGATGTAATATGTAATATCAATAATATAAACAGGTGAAGAAAGAGTTGTATAGGAGCAAGGTTTTTATATGCTATTGAATGGTTATCAATTCAAATTAGATTGTTATAACTTTAGAGAGTTAAATGTAGGTGTCATGGTAACCACAAATAAAGTATACACAAGTATATATAGAATATACAGAAAAAGAAATGAGAAGGGAATCAAAACATGTCACTAAAAAAAAAAAATCAGCTAAACACAAAAGAAGGTAGTAATAGAGACAGTGAGGGACAAGAAAAGCTGTAAGACACACAGAACTCAAATAGCAAAATGGCAGATGTCCTTTCTTATTAGTAATTACTTTAAATGTAAATGAATTCAACTCTCCAATAAAAAGGCAGTGATTGGCAAAATGAAAAGAAAGTCACTCAACTATATGCTGTCTAAAAGAGATCTAAAGTCATGAATAGGTCAAAAGTGAAAGGAAGGACTAAGATACATCATACAAATAGGAACCAAAAGAGAGTTATAGTGGCTATACTGTTATCAGACAAAATCAGTCTTAAGTCAAAAACTGTTACAAGGCAAAAAAGAGCATTATATATTAATAAAATGGTCAATTCATTAACTGGATATACAATTATAAACATGCATGTGCCAAACAACAGATCCCCAAAATTTATGAAGTAAATATTAACAGAATTGAAGGAAGAAATAGGCAGCTCTACAGTGACAGTTGGAGACTTCAATACCCACATTCAATAATGAGTAAAACAACCATACAAAAGATCAACAAAGAAATAGAAGATTTGAACAACAACATAGACCAATTAGACCTAACAAACATTCAGAATACTCTATTTAACAACAGAACACTCATTTTTCTCAAGTACATGTGGAATATTATCCAGGATAGATCATATGTTAGGCTATGAAAGAAGTCAATCAATTTTAAATATTAAACTAATTCTAAGTATCTTTTCTAATCACAATAGAAAAGATTAAACTATTTCTAAGTATCTTTTCTAATCACACTAGAATGAAACCAGAAATCAATTACAGAGTGAAAACAGAAAAATTCACAAGTATGTGGAAATCAAACAATTCTTAACACATTAAACACATTCTTAAAAAACCAATGAATGAGTCAAAGAGAAATCAGAAAAGAAATTTAAAGATAACTTGAGAAAAATGAAAATGAAAACACTACATGCTAAAACTTACAGAAAGCAGCAAAATTATTCGATATTGATGCAGAACTACTCAATAAAATAATAGTAAAGTGAATTCAGCAGTATATTAAAAAGATTATATACCATGATCAAGTAGGATTTTTCCTGGAATGGAAGAAGGGTTCAATATATGAAAATCAATCAATATAATAGTCCTCATTAATATAATGAAGAAAAAAACTTAAATGTTCATTTTCATTGATGTAGAACAAACATTTGAGAAAATTCAACACTCTTTCATTATAAAAATACTCAGTAAACTAGGAATAATAGAAATGAGCTTCCTCAACATGATAAAGGCCATTATGAAAGCCCACAGTTAACATTACATACAACGGTGAAAGACTGAAACCTTTTCCCCTATAATCAGGCAAAAGATAATAATGTCAGCTTTTACCACTCCTATTTAACATAGTATTGAAAATTCCAGACAGAGCAACTAGAAAAGAAAAAATATATTAAAAAATTAAAATTGAGACAAAAACGAAGAAGTGAAATAATCTGTTTGCAGATGATGCCATCTTATATGTAAAAAACTCTTAAAAAATCCACATATACACGTGCAAACTTCTAAAGCTAATACATATATTTAGCAACATTGCAGGATACAAAATCAACACTCAAAAAGCAGTTTCATTTCTATTCACTAACAATAAGCAACCTCAAAAGGAAATCAAGAAAGTAATTTCATTTACATTACTATAAAAAGGAATACAACACTTAGGAATAAACTTCAACAGGAAGGTGAAGGACTTGTACACTGAAAACTATATAACATTGCTAAAAGTAATTAATGAATACACACATAAATGAACAGACAGCATCTGTTCATAGTTTGGAAGAATTTGTCTTGTTAAAATGACAACACTACCCAAAATATTCTACAGATGCAATTCAATCCTTATCAAAATCCCATTGGCATTTTTGTGAAATAGAAAAACCCATCTTAAAATTCATAATGGAATCTTAAGAGACCCTGAATAGCCAAAACAATCTTGAAAGAGAAGAACAAACTTAGGGGCTCACACTTTCTGATTTAAAAACTTACTAAAAGCTACAGTAATGAAAACAATGTGATACTGGTATAAAGACAGACATATCGACCAATGGAATAGAATAGAGAGGCAAAACAAACAAACAAACAAAACAAAACACTTTGTCTATGGTCAGTTGATTTTCAGTGTAGGTGCCACATCAATCAATATGAAAAGACAGCCTTTTCAACAAATAGTTCTGAGAAAACTGAATATTTCTAAGCAAAGGAGTATTCGACCCTTACCCTACATCATATACAAAAATCAACTCAAAGTAGATCAAAGACCTAAACCCAAGAGCTAAAACTATAAAAGTTTTACAAAAAAACTTAGCGGGAAATCATGACATTGGATTTGGCAGTGATTTCTTCAATGTGACATCAAAAGCACAGAGAACAAAAGGAAAAAATAGATAAATAGATGTCATCAAAATTAAAAACTTTCGTGTATCAAAGAATACCATCAAGAAAATGAAAAGACAATCCACAGAATGGGAAAAATATTTGCAAATCATATGTCTAATAATGAATTAATATCTAGAATATGTAAATAACTTCTACAGCTCGAGAACAAAAATGCAAACAACCCAATTCAAAAATGAGCAAAGAACTTGAATAGGAAATCCTCGAAAGAAGTATACATATGGCCAATAAGTACATGAAAAGATGCTGAACATCAGTGGCCACTGGGGGAAATGCAAATCAAAACCACAATTAGACATCACTTCCCACACATAATGACTATAATTTTTAAATTTTTTTTTGAGACAGAGTTTTACTTTTTTCACCCAGGCTGAAATGAAATGGCGTGATCTCAGCTCACTGCAACCTCTGCCTCCCAGGTTCAAGCAATTCTCCTGCCTCAGCCTCCCAAGTAGCTGGGATTACAGGTGCCCACCACCACACCAGTCTAATTTTGTGTATTTTTAGCAGAGATGGTGTTTCACCATGTTGGCCAGGCTCATCTTGAACTCTTGACCTCAGGTGATCCACCCACCTCGGCCTCGCAAAGTGCTGGGATTACAGGCATGAGCCACCGTGCCCAGCCAATTTTTTTAAAAATGGAAAATACCAATTGTTGGCAAAGATGTGGAGAAATTGGAACCCTCACATATTGCTGGTGGGAATGTAAAATTGTGCTGCTGCTGGAGAAAACACTTTGGCATTGTTCACAAAGTTAAACATAGAATTACCATATAATTTAGTAATTCTACACCTACTTATGTACCTCAAAGTGAAAGCAGGGACTCAAACAAATACTTGTAGATTAATGTTTACAGCAACATTATTCACAATAAAAGGTGGAAACAACTCAAATGTCTATCAACAGATGAATAAACAAAATGTAATCTAAACATACAATCATATATATATTAAAATATGCATGTGTATATATGCATATGAATGCAAATATATATGAGCCCTTTTGCTTGCTATAACATGGATGAACCTTGAAGGCATCATGCTAAGTACAATAAGCCAGACCCAAAAGGACAAAGATTGTATGATTCCTTTTATATGAGGTACTTAAAATAGGCAAATTCATAGAGACAGAAAATAGAATAGAGGTTACCAGGGATTGGGTAGGAAGGAATGGGGAGTTATTATTTAATGGATACAGATTTTCTGGTTGGGATGATTAAAAAGCTTTGGAAATAAATGGTGGCAATGATTATACAACATTTTGAGCGCACTCAATGCCACTGAGTAGTACACTTAAAAATAGTTAAAATAGTACATTTTATGTATATTTTACTACAATGAAAAAAGTAGAGGGAAGAAGATATTTATAAATCTGTGAGGCATGACAGAGAAAAAGACTGAGACATGAAAGCCTAGGATGATTACATTCATGACATAATCGTCATACTCAGTGGTCAACTGGGTAAAATGACAGTGGCCTATTTGTGGGAGGGGACAATGGTGCAATGATTCAATGTCTGGTGATGCCAAGAACATGTTTAGTGGGGGCTCCAGGGAAGTTAGGGACCAACACTCTCTACTTGTGTTCAGTAAGTATTTTTAGGCTGCAAGGAGTCAGGGTGACCTCTTACCTCTGGTGATAGGAGTTCATTGTAAGGACGCCTAGGGCAGAGGAGGCACAGAGCACACTCTCCACAGCCACCCTAATCCCTCTAGAGACCTTATCACAGCTGCTCAATCAGATCTTACAGAGACTGATCACCCTGCTTCTCTTCTACCCTCCAGCAGGGAACACCTCTGGTCTATCCCCTTACCGTAGGCCAGTTGTTCTCTGTTTCTGCACCTGCCTCCTTTCCCTGTCTTTCAGCTTCTCCTTCTTCTGCTGTCCCTCTCCCCATGGGGTATGCTCCATCTACACAGCTTCTGACAGCAATTCCAGTTGTTCTAGTTATTCTCTCTCTGGTTTGGCAAGCCCCTGCCGGGCAGGGCTGCAGTTCCAAGACCCCTGCGGGGCACTAGGCAGCCTACTGGTCTCTCCTGCAATCATCTGTGGTCTGCACAAGTCAAGTGGTACAAAAACCAAGCAACTTATGCTGGGGAAATGACCTGCAACACTTCCTGTTCAATGGAAACACAGGGCATGAGCCAGAGCCCAGATTCCTCTAGAAAACAAAGCTTGAGACAAGAAATAAGGCTCAAAAGTTTGAGAAGAACAAGGAGTCGATGAGCAGTGAAGGGAGGGAAGGAGGTCGTTACCTTGTGGGCATTCACTTCATGAAGAGCTTGGAAGGTAGCCTGGCCTAGCAGTCTTGTTCTCTCAGCACACATGCCTTTCCCAGAAGTGTGGAAAGAGGTTCACAGGAGAGGGTGGAGGCATTTATCTACCAAGTCTCCTACTTCTCTTGCCTCTCAATGGTCAGTGTTCATCAGTCTGGTTTCTTTGTCACACTTCCAGATTGCATCAAATCCTTGTTGGCTGCTCGGGAAGCCAAATCCCATACGCTGTGTGTATGTGTGTGTCTTTTGTGTTTGAAAAGTAGAGAGGTGCAGTGGTTCAAATGGAAGGCCCCTCAAAAGGTATGACTACCAGGGATCTGTGACTAGGACCTTATTTGGAAAAGAAGTCTTTACAGATGTACACAAGTGAAGGATCTTGAGATGAGATCATCCTGGATTAGGGTAGACCCTCAATCTCATGACAAGTGTCCTTACAAGAGAAAAGGAGGGTTTTCTCTTAGCTGAAAACTATGAGATCCAAGGGAGTCACAGAGGAGAACTCCACGTAAAGGCAGAGGCAGAGATTAGAGTGATGTCATCCAAAACCAAGGAATGCCTGGAGTCGCCAGAAGCGGGAGGTGGCAAGGAATGGATCCTCGTCTGGAGCCTCCAGGAGGAACATGACTGCCTATACCTTGATTTCAAACGTCTGGTGTCCAGAACTGCAAGAGAATAAATTCTGTTGTTTTAAGCCACCAGTTTGTGGTAATTTGTTACAGCATCCTCAGAAAACTAAAACAAAGGATGATTGGGCGCAGCTGGGGCTGTCTACAGATGAAAAAGAAAAAAGAAAAGGGAAGTAGAAGAAATTTCAGGTGAGCAACATTTGTGTCCAATGTAACTCCTCCTCCAGAACTAGGGGGAGGGAAGAACCAGATCTAAAGATGCAGCCCTGCCTGTGGGTGGCAGATGGGAAGTGGAGCTGGAAATCAAATAAGGCTGGGAGGCTGAAAGCTATGAGATCAAAGGGAGTCACTGGCTCATTAAAAATGGATGTTGTTGTCAATGAGGATTATGGCAGGGGATATAAAGAGAACAAGAAGGATAAATATAGGGTTGAACTTATCTAAGAGATGGAGATGAGTTCTGGTAGGAAGGGAATGAAAGCAGTGATTATTTGGCAAGAAGTGAACAGACAAATGGCTTGAATTTTAGGTGATATTAATGAGAAACTGGTGAGAGGGATGGGTGTAGATGGGATGTAGATGTGGAGAAGGGTGTCTGTGTCTTCTGCCAACCCCTGTGAGAGTGCAGGGAGACACTCTAAGCGCCATTGTGCAAGGTAGCTGCCATTAGGGGTGCTTTAGTTAGGATGAGAGACTAGAAGAAATAGAAGGAAGTTTAAGGTAAAAGAGAATCTACCCTCAGTGGAATACAGGGCTCCACTGAGGCCATGCAAAAGAGGGAGAGGAGTGTTTGGGTTGGGATCTTAGGGTGCAAAGAATAGCAACTAACTTAAGCTACTTTAAATATAATACGATTTTTTTTTAAGGATGCAAAAGTTAACTTAATGGATATCCAGGATAAAGTGGGCTGATCACTGGGGAAATTGGAACCATAAATATCATAACTGAGAAGGAGCCTTCCCTCTCTAAGGGGTCTGAAGGGCATCCCCTATGAGAACTTCTCTGTTATTTTCTCCTGTCTTCTGCAGACCAGCCCCTGTGGGCTCCTGGGGTGTCCCTCACCTTTATCTTGTACCCATGTGGATATGGCTTGCCACGCCACCTACTGACCTTATAGATATCATGTTGCTGTGTGGCTCCTAACTGCTAATGGGCTCTCTTAGCAATTTGAAACCGGCCCCCATACACTATCTGACTGGTTCTATCCAGCCTGTGGACTGGTTCTTCTGAGTCAGGAGCCCATTATTGAAGCATTCAGCTGTGGTCAGGTAGATAAGTTTGCCTGGAACAAACACATGCTCCTTCCCTTGGGCTGTCTATAGTGCAGTAGGTTGAAAAATGTCCCACAAAGATATCAGGCTCTAACCATCAGAAACTGTGATATTATATTATGTGGCAAAAGATGAGATTAAGTGAAGGACTGTATTAGTCTGTTTGTGTCCTCCTCCAGAACTGGGAAGAGGAAAGAACCAGATCTAAAGATTAGTTAAATATATAAAGGAATACCTGAGACTGGGAAATTTTTAAAAAGAGGTTTATTTGGCTCATGGTTCTGCAGACTGTACAGTAAGCTACAGTAAGTATTGTGCCAGCATCTGCTTCTGGTTAGGGCCTCAGGAAGCTTCCAATCATGGCAGGAGGCAAAGGGGAAGCAGGCATGTCACACGATGAGAGAAGGAGCAAGTGAGATGCTATGTTCTTTTCAACAACCAGCTCTTGCCTTAGCTTATTACTTCAGGGAGGGCACCAAGTCATTCATAAGGGATCCACACTCATGACCCAAGTACCTCCCAGTAGGCCCCATCTCCAACATTGGGGATAACATTTCAATGTTAGATTTGGTTGGGACAAACATCCAGGCCATATCAAGGATCTTGCCATAGGTAGGTTATTCTGGGTTATCTCCAGGTTCTAAGTGAGGATAGATGTCTTTTTTTTTTTTGCAGGGGCGGGGGGGTAGGGGACAGAGTCTTGCTATGTTACCCAGTCTGGAGTGCAATGGCATGGTCTCAGCTCACTGCAAACTCCGCCTCCCAGGTTCAAGTGATTCTCCTGCCTCAGCCTCCTGAGTAGCTGGGATTACAGATGCGCACCACCACGCCTGGCTAATTTTTGTATTTTCAGTAGAGACGGGGTTTCTCCATGTTGGCCAGGCTAGTCTCGAACTCCTGATCTCGTGATCCACCCACCTTGGCCTCCCAAAGTGCTGGGATTATAGGCGGGAGCCACAGCACCTGGCCGGATATATGTCCTTATATGAGAAAGGTAGAGGGAGAATTGATGTGTGCGCACACACACACATGACAAGGCAAAGTGATAAAGGAGGCAGAGATTGGTGTGATAGCATTGGAAGCCAAGGAATGCCAGGGGCCACCAGAAGCTGAAATCAGCAAGGAAGTATTCTCCCCTAGAGCCTCTGGAGGAAACTCACACCTATGGACACCTTGATTTTTGCCTAGTGACACAGATTATTGACATCTGTCCTTCATAACTGTGAGAGAGCACATTTCTGTTGTTTTAAGCCCCTCAGTTTGTGGTGACTTGTTACAGCAGCCCCAGGAAACTAATGCATATGAGGAGGAAGGAAGGGCTGGTCAGGCATCCTAAACCATGGCTCCTAGAGAATCTAGGGGTACACATGGAGGAAATGAAGGCTGGATAGATGGAGGGTATGATTTAATGAACACGTTCTGCAGCAGGCACTGTTTGATGCCTGTGAAATGCAAACGCTTACCCTTGAAACACAAGAATAGAAATACTATGTACTAAATGCTGCTATAGAGATTTTAAGAGGAAACAGCATGAGTAGATTTAGGTCTTCTTTAGGAAGCCTTGTTGTATGAAGGTAGGAGTAGTTGGGAGATCATGAGCTTAGCACCTAAACAGAAATAGAAAGCACCAGTTGCCTGGAATGAGTGGGTAAAGCAAACAAGGAAACTCAGCCAGACACTTTGACATGCAAACATATACACACACCTACACCCTACACTTTAAGGCATTATGATTTAAAAAAAAAAAAAAATCTTGTTCTACTTCATAGCCTCTGGCTGTGTCTACATGAGGCCAAAACAATTGGGCAATTCAGTAGAACCGTTAGTCAAACTAAAAGTTCAGAGAGGCAACACACCATAGAGGTGTGACATGGTGATTTATAATAAATATATATTTGGTCTTCATCCCAGTTCCTAGGACAGAACTCCTAAAACCCTCATAATTTCTTAAGTGACAAGAGCCCTAAAGGTGAAAAGAGCATCCTTTATTGCTCATACAGGGCCCTTTCAAACACACTTGAGTTTATGTTGATGAGGTTAACTTTTGAAAAGTCCCAAAGAATAGGGGGTTGGCTGCCGGGGGAACCAACATATGATTAGAAGATTGGAATTTTCAGGGGAAATTTTCTGGGGAGGGGAGAGGGGTTGGAGATTGATTCTAATCACCAATGGACGATGATTTGATCAACCATGCTTACATAACAAAGCCACCATAGAAACCCAAAAAGACAGGGTTCAGAGAGCTTCCAGATTGAACACATGGAGGAGTGGCTGGGAGGATGTCACGCCCAAAGAGGGCAAGGAAGCTCCATGTCCCTCCCATAACTTGCTCTAAGCATCTCTTCCATCTGGCTGTTCCTAAGTTGTATCCTTTTATAATAAATCAGTAATCGGGTAAGTAAACTATTTTCCTGAGTTCTATGAGCTGTTTTAGCCAATTATCTAACCCAAGAAGGGTTTGCAAAATGCTTCTGATTTATAGCCATTGGTCATAAGTACAGGTGACAGCCTTGACATGCAACTGGGTGTCTGATGTGGGGACACTCTTATGGGACCAAGCCCTTAACCTGAGGGGTCTGCACTAAGTCCAGGTAGATAGTGTCAGAACTGAATTAAATTGTAGGACACCCAGTTGCTGTCTGCAGAGAATTGCTTGGTGTGGGAAAAACATCCACACATTTGGGGTCCAGAAGTTCTGTGTGTGGGTAGCAGAGGAAAAAACAGTTTGTTTTCTTTTGTGTTTTTTTTCCTATACAAGAGGAAAGAATATGGATTACTTACTCCAATACCTCCTCCCAGCTTATTGTACCAGATTATTACAGATGAGGAGACAGGCCAGAGTTTGTAGGAATGGCAATGCATGCCCATATCACACAACTGAGTAGCAGACCAGAATTCGAATCTGGGTCTGTATGGCTTTCAAATGCATGGTTGTTCCAGCAGTATGCAGACTGAATGAATCCAGATGCTCATTGGATCTTCAGAAGCACTCTGGCTTAGTCAGGGAACTAAGACATCTGAAAGGAGTAGGGCAAAGATCTGTTAAGAAACCACCCACCATACTAGAGACAGCCTGATTTCTTTAGGAAATCCATGGATAAGTGTCAGGGGAGCCATAAATGCTCTAAATTTTTTTGCAGTATTGGCATATGTTCATTTTCTGGGTGACAAAGACCTTACTTCTTACCAGAGTCTCAGGGTGTGTTTATCTTCCTACTCTAAACATAGGAAACCATGCCAGGTTTTATGAACAAGCATCCATCTTTCTAATGCCACCTGCCCATAGCCCAAAAATAAAAACAGTGCTTTGGGAGGAATCGATAACATTTGCATATAAATATGCTTGTTTTATTTTTCAGTTTAGGCAACTTCTGTCCAGGCAGTTCTGGTCCCAACTATGTATGAAATAAAGATACAAAGGTGTCCCCCCACCATGGAAATCAGGGTACCCTTAGCAGAATGAACATGAATGGATAGCTTGATGGTGAAAATAACAAGGTGTCCACTATATGAAGTTTAGTAAATCTGTAGAAAGTTGAGTGTAGTTCAAAGAAATTACTAAGTCATTCCGAATTACATAAAGACTTTATTAAAATTTTTTAGAGACTTGTGCCCCCCAGTTCTACTCCTTCCTCTGAAACTTTCTAAAGCTCTGGGATCCTTTCTCAGTGAAGTGTCAAAGGTTAATTTAACAGGGCAGCCTCATCCACGTTGGAGAAGTATAAAAAGGTAGGAGCAAGAAAGCTTGAATCAAGGTAACGCATAGATTTCCTCCTTACACACTTGTTCTGCCAAAACCCATCTGTGTTCGTCTGAGTTATTCAGAGAAACAGAACCAGCAGGATAATATATGTGTGTGTGTGTGTGTGTGTGTATATATATGCCACACATACAAACACACGTAAATATGGAGAGAAAGAGATTTTTAATTTATATATATTTAGGGAGTATAAGTGCATATAAGTGCAGTTTTGTTACGTTGGTATATTGCACAGTGATGAAGTCTCAGCATTTAGTGTAACCTTCACCTGAATAGTGTTTATTGTACCCAAGAGGTAATTTGTCATCCCTCACCCCCTTCCCACCTTTTGAAATCTTCAATGTCTATTATTACACTCCATGTGTCCATAGGCACACATTGTTTAGCTCCTATTTATTTGTGAGAACATGTGGTATTTGACTTTCTGTTTCTGAGTTATTTCACTTAGGATGATGGACTCCAGTTGTATCCATGTTGCTGTGAGAGACATGGTCTTATTCTTTTTTATGGCTGAGCAGTATTCTATGGTATATGTGCCACATTTTCTTTATCCAATTGTCCATTAATGGACCTTAGGCTGATTCCATGACTTTGCTATTGTGAAGAGTGCTGTGGTAAACATATGAGTGCAGGTGTGTTTTGCTATAATGATTTCTTTTCCTTTGAGTAGATACCCAGCAATAGAATTGCTGGATTAAATGGTAGTTCTATTTTTAACTCTTTGAGAAATCTCTGTATCATTTTCCATAGAGATTGTACTAGTTTACATCCCCAACAGTGTATAAGCATTCTCTTTGAGAGAGAGATTTGTTATAAGAAATTGGCTTATGTGGTTACAGCAGCTGAGAACTTCCAAGATCTGCATTCAGCAAGATGAGGACCCAGGAGAGCTGATGATGTAGTTCCAGTCTGAGTCTGAAAGCCTGAGAAGCAGGAGAGCCGATGGTTTAATTTCCAGTCCAAAGGCAGGAGAAGACTGATATCCAGTTCAAGCACTTAGACAGGCAAAGTTTCTCCTTACTTGACCCTTTTGTTCTATTCAGGCCTTCAATGGATTGGATGAGGCCACCCCATATTAGGGAGGGCAATTTGCTTTTATGATTCAGATGTTAATCTCATCCAGAAACATCCTGGCAGATATACCCAGAATAATATCTAGGTACCCCATGGCTCAGTCAGATTGACACATAAAATTAACCATTGCACCACCTGTTTACCCTACTATCTAAGCCCAGAGGAAGAGGGTCCCACTTCTTCCTAAGTGAATTTCTCTACCTGTCCTCAGCCTCATTGTTCAACCCCAAAGCATTCTTGAGAATTGCCTAAACATAGAGAAACCAGCAAAGAGGAAAATTGTAATCTTCCAGGTAACCTATAACTCTTGTGCAGAAAAGGCTATGGATATTGTAAAGGGAAAGCAAGTTTATAGATTGCAAGCAGATCAGCAACTATATGGCTTGGTAGAAAAAGTAAGACCCAGTGTTAGATCAGTAGGATGGCTATATGACTGAGCCATAGGGTACCCAGATATTATTCTGGGTATATCTGCAAGGATGTTTCTGGATGAGATTTAATAATTTATTTTACGTTCTAAAATAGCTAGAAGACAATAACATGAATGTGTCTAGCATTAAAAAAAGACAAATATTTAAGGTGATGTCTATCCAAAGTACACTGATTAGATCTTTACACTGATACGAATGTACGAAATTGTCACATGCATCCTGAAATTATATACGTCTATTGTGCATCAACTTAAAAATATTTTTAAAAATCTAATTAAATATTACCATAAGGATCCTTTGCATATAAGAGGAAATTTAACACAAAATGGCTTATGCCCAGAATAAATTGATGGGCTCATGAATACGAAAAATCCAAGAGAGAAACCCAGCATTAGACATCGCTGGATTTAGAGGCTCTGATAATGTCATCAAGAACTGGTCTCTCCCCTTCTCTTTGGTCTACTTTCATCTCTATTGGCTGCTTTTCCAGAGAGGCTCTCTTTGGGGGTGACAAGATGCCAGCCAGCAATTCCAAGCTTATATTCTCACACATGCAAGTCCAAGAGTTCATATCAAAGTCCTCAACATGACTCTACAGATCACGAACTGGACCCATGATCAGTCCTCGCACAGATCACTGTGGTCAAGAGGATGCTGTCCTCCCACTGATCAAGCCTACGTGACATGTCACCTACGGTATGTGGTTAGAGTCGGCCCCATCCAAACCCCATGGACGGAGTAGCCGAGGGAAGACGGGGCGCCCTTAGCAGAATAAACATAAATGGATAGCTTGGTGGTGAAAATTACAGGATGCTCACTACCTATTTTTAAAAAAAATCTGAAGATATTTGAGTGTAGTTCTAAGACAGTGGTTCTCACTGGGGGAAATGTTGTTGGCAGGGGACATTTGGCAATGCACGAAAACATCTTTGTTTTTCATAACTGGGTGATGCTACTGGCATCTGTGGGGTAGAGGCTAGGGATGCTGCTAGAATCCTGTGATGCACAGGACGGCCTCCCGCAGCAAAGAATTCTATGGCCCAAAATGTCAATAGTGCTGAAGATGAGAAACCCTATCCCATGACCAAAAATGCTGCCAAGGATGCTGTGATCCGTGTCATTAGATAATGAAAGATTTCTGTTCAGATATGCTGTGAATATTCATGTCCTTGCAGTTTGCAAATACCTGTTGGCCCGTCACAGTGAGAAAGAGGCCTCAGATCTTTCTCTGCTTCCCTTAACTCTTGAGCTAAACTTCCAGCCCCATCCATCTATATATCAGGAACTGTAATCGTTGAAGTGACCATTTTAGATCCAAAGCAATTAGGTGGGAAAATCCTAGAGGGCCTTTTATAAATCAAGATTATGGGCAAGAGTTAATACAACAGATGGTGGGCACTCACCCGCGATCTCCTCCGTGAAGATCAGCCAAGTGGCTCCATGTATTCCACCAGGCAGTGCTTGGAGGAAGTTGCCTGCCCATCTGCACTTATTTTCCTTTTGTTCATATCGGCTGATAAAAACAGCACCAGGATCAGAGACTCAGTAGCACATTCCTTGGGGCTTCCAATGGTATCCCTATGGAAATGATGTGTGTCATGGGAAGGCAGGTGAGGAACCTTGCAAGTCTTCTTTATGTTGTCAATTAGGATGCTTTTGGCTACCAGTGGCTGCAGGCCCTCTCAAGTTGTTTTATACAATAGGGCAATGTATTATCACAAATAAGTCCAGAGGTCCCGATTTTGTTTTGCTACAGATCTCCTAGCTTTGTTCTTCCCTGAAATAGTTACTGGGATCCCATCCAAGTACCACACACACAGAGCAAGAGGAGGGGCCTCATATCTTACAAATAAGATCTTTCCCAGAAGCTGTGTAGCACAGTCTCCTCATGTCTCATTGGCCAGGATTGAGCAACATGCCTGTCCTAAACCAGTTCCTTACAAATGAAATGGGATTACAACGATTGGGTTAGGAGCCTAATCACTTGGAATGAAATGGGTATTAGGTGTTCATGTAATGAGCACTGTTTCCACTTAGTAGAAGACAGATGCTGGCCCCTGGCAAACCAAAGTGGCAATTCATAAGGCTAGGAGTAAACAGGAATTTCTCTTGATGGTGATGTCTGAAACAGTTCCTCAAGGATGGGCATAATTAGAACAGTGAAGAATATCAGAGTTGAAAGAAACTTTATTTTTTGTATCTGATGTATGTCTTCATCTGATAGCGAGTCTTTGGAAAAATAGCCCAATGCTCTCGGTCTCAATAATGCAATGGGCTAAGCCCCAAGATACCAAGGATGACATTTAACCAACCACGACATTACAATATGACAAAGACCTCAAATGTCCCAACCATAGATGGAAGGACCTCTAATGACCCTGGCTCACTTTGAGTGGGACAATTCTACATTTTAAGGACAGTCATTTGTAATATTCCATTCTAGGTACAAACTACCTTCTTCATGAGCAATGAGAGTTCATTAATGAAATAATGGTGGCAAAATCTTTGGAAGCTAAAAGTTTTAACAGATTTGGTACATTAAAAAACATGCTGGCCAGGTGCTGTGGCTCGCGTCTGTAATCCCAGCACTTTGGGAGGCCAAGGTGGGCGCATCACGAGGTCAGGAGATTTGAGACTATCCTGGCCAACATAGTGAAACCCCATCTCTACTAAAAACATAAAAATTAGCCAGGCATTGCAGCACGTGCCTGTAATCCCAGCTACTCGGGAGGCTCATGCAGGAGAATCCCATGAACCCGGGAGGCGGAGGTAGCAGTGAGCCCAGATCGCACCACTGCACTCCAGCCTGCTGATAGAGCTAGACTCCATCTCAAAAAAATAAAAAAAGTAAAAAATAATGTGCAAACACAGATGAAAAACAATAACCCTAAAGAAGAAGCAAGCACATTTAGGAGCAATTAGCCATCCTTCACTAACTTATTACTAATCACTTAATCTATTCTCCCTAATTTTGAATATTTTACCTTGGAGATAGACCATTACAGATTTTCTCTACAGCTACACAGAACTCTTATCTGCTTGACATTAAGTCTCCTCCAGGTAATTTTCTCCTTTGAACTTTTTTATTGACAAACTCCATGTTTGCCTTTCTCGGAGAAGAAGCTGCCTATGGGAGTCATGAGTGCTGCTTTGTCTCAGCCCTTGTGTCTTTATTAACAGTAGGTTGCACATCATGGCCTCTTGTGGGGGTGGAGGGACATTTTAAGTGGAAATGATGGGTGGCATCTGTAAGCTGGACCATGTCACTGCCAGTGTGAGACTTTCTGGGCCTTTCTCTTCACTGCAGAAACCACCAACATTTAAGATGATGGCTACTCTATCAGTCTGGGTCCCAGAAGCTTGGGAGATATAGCAGAACCCTCACCATAGCTGTGGTGGGCATCTGGCTTGAGCAAAAAACATTAAAAGCACATTTTAAAATGAACCAATATCAGGTTGTTACAGATGTATGTTTAAAAAAAGAACAAATAGGCTGGGCATGGTGGCTCACACCTATAATCCCAGCACTTTGGGAGGCCCAGGCCAGTGGATCATGAGGTCAGGAGATCAAGACCATCTTCACCAAAATGGTGAAACCCCGTCTCTACTAATATACAAAAAATTAGCTGGGTGTGGTGGCATGTGCCTGTAATCCTAGCTACTTGGGAAGCTGAGGCAGGGGAATCGCTTGAACCCAGGAGGTGGAGGTTGCAGTGAACTGAGATCACGCCACTGCACTCCAGCCTGGGCTACAGAGCAAGACTCTGTCTCCAAAAAAAAAAAAAAAAAAAAAAAAGAGCAAATAATTTTGGATGCTACTTGTTACTGTAGCATAACCTAACCCATCCTAACTCCTAACTGAAACACCTTCCAAAATCCTTTTTGTGGCAGACAGTGGAGGCAGTATTGGGAGAAAAGAAGGTGTGGGGGAAGAGGGAGAAAAGTGGCAATGTGGAGCCTAGAGTGGCCCCCGCAATCAGTCAGTCCTTGTGGGTGGGGCTTGTGACTTGTTTCTTAACTATAGAATATAGCAAAGATGATGGGGTGTCACTTTCATATTATATTATATTACGTCTTGTGCTTGAGAAAGTCAACCTTACTGGCTTTGAACAAGTATACCACCATGCATGAGAGGGTCTATGGAGAGAATCAGGTGAGGCAAGCAGCTGTGGGTGGTCTCTGGGAGCTCAGAACAGCAAGAAAATGGGACAGAGAGTCCTATAGGCATTGAAATGAGTTCTGCCAATCACCTGAGGGAACTTGGAAGGGGATAGTTCTCATTTGGAGCCTCTGATGAGACCACAGCCCCAGCCAACACCTGATCACAGTCTTTCAAGATCCTGAGCAGAGGCTCAGCTAAGCCAGGCCCAGACTCCTGACCCATGCCATTGTGAGATAATAAATGTGTGCTGTTACAAGCTGTAACTTTGCAGTAATTTGCTAGGTGGTAACAGAAGACTGGTATGAAAACATTTTCTAATCAGAAGATTCCCCACTCTCTCAACATTGTTCATTCAATAGCTAATTACTGAAGATCTATAATGGGCCTGACATTGTTTTAGGAACTTGGGATTGAAAGGTAACTAAATAGACACAGATATTTGCCCCTAGCGTACTTACAATCTAGTAAAGAAAGGAGGGGATGAGGGACACAGACAACCTATAACATAATGAATAGAAATATTTCATGGTGTGTTCGGGTGCTATGGTGGGGAAGCAGAGCAAGGTAAGGGAGGATGGTGATTGAGAGACAGAGAGGCAGAGTTAGGTTGCAGAATTTAAAGGATGGCCATTAAAAAAAATAAAAAAAATAAAGGATGGCCATTGAGGTGAGGTTTGTAGAAGAGGACCTGAGACATGTGGTTATGTGGAGAAGAAAGTTCCAGTTAGAGGAACAGGTCCAGGCCAAAGTGCACCCAGTTTGTGTGAAGAAAAGGAAGGTGGCTAACGTGGCTGATGTGAAGACAGCAAGGAAGAGAGCACTGGGAAATGGGGTCAGATAGGTCATGGGGTATTCACCATGTCGGGTTCTGTAGGTTCTTCATACCAAGTGAGCTAGCAGGGTTTACCTGAACCATGGCAGGGAGCAGAGACAGGGAGTGGCATGATATGACTGAATTAAAATTGTCTCTCTAGCTGTGGTGTTAAAGATAGACCATAAGAAGCCAGGCGTGGTGGCTCATGCCTGTAATCTTAGCACTTTGGGAGGCTGAGGCAGGCAGAACACTTGAGGTCAGGAGTTTGAGACCAGTCTGGCCAACATGGTGAAACCCCATCTCTACTAAAAATACAAAAATTAGCTGGGTGTGGTGGTAGGCACCTGTAATCCCAGCTACTCGGGAGGCTGAGGCAGGAGAATCGATTGAACCCAGGAGGTGGAGGTTGCAGTGAGCCAAGATCATGCCACTGCACTCCAGCCTGGGTGACAGAGCTAGACGTCATCTCAAAAACAAACAAACAGAAAAAAAAAAAAGAGGGCAAGATTGGAAGGAAAGAGAGCTGTTGGAGCAACGCAGGCAAGAGATGATGGGAGTTGTGCAGATAATGAGAAGTGAGAAGTAGCTGGATACTGGATACACCCTGAAGATATAGTCAGCTGGATTTCCTGAAAAATTGGGATATGAGAGAAAGAGAGGAGGGTGTAAAGAACTGAGCTAAACAAATGAAAGAATAGAGTTGCTATCAACAAAGATGTGGAAGGTTGTGAATATCTGGGGGGAGATCAGGAATCCATCTGGGGCCTGTTGAGTTTGCAATGTCTTTTAGGCATTTTGGCGGAAATGCTGAAGGGGCAATTGGATGGACAAGTCTGGAGATGGCTGTAAACATCCAAGCTAGAGAGGCACATTTGGGAGTTGCTAAGCATCTAGGTGGTATTCACAGTCTTCAGACTGGATTGCATCACCAGTCCACGTGAAATGGCTCATGCCGGTAATCCCAGGCTGAGGCAGGTGAATCACCTGAGGTCAGGAGTTCGAGACCTGCCTGGACAACATGATGAAACCCCATCTCTACTAAAAATACAAAAATTAGCCGGGCGTGGTGGCGGGCACCTGTGATCCCAGCAACTTGGGAGGCTGAGGCAGGAGAATTGCTTGAACCCAGGAGGGTTCAGTGAGTCTCACTCACTGTCGGTTGCAGTGAGCTGACATCACGCCACTGCACTGCAGCCTGGGCAACAAGAGTGAGACTCTGTCTCAAAAACAAAAAAAAAGAAAGAAGAGGATTGAGGACTGAGCCCTGGAGTGCTCCAACTTGAAGAGATTGAGAGAGAAGAACCAGGAAAACAGGCTGACAAGGAGCAAACCATGAAGTAGGAAGAAAAGCAAGGAGCATGGTGTACCAGAAGCCAAGAGAAGAAAGTGAATCAAGGAGGAGAGAGTACTCAGCTGGGTGAAGTGCTGCTGAGAGGTCAAGTAAGATGAGGGTGAACACTCACCCTGTGGATTTAGCAGTGTGGAGGCCAGGCGTGACCTTGACAAGAGCAATTACAGCAGACTGGTGGGGGCAGGAGCCTGTTTGGTGGGTTGAAGAGAGCATAGGAGCAGGGTATTGGGGACTAAATGTTTATGTACCCCTCAAATTCATCCATCAAAGCCCAAATCCTCAGTGTGGCTGTGTTTGGAGTGAGGAAGTAATTAGGGTTAAATGAGGTCATGAGGGTGGGGCCTTGACCTAATAGGACTAGCGTCCTTATAAAGAGACAGCAGAGGCCAGGTGTGGTGGCTCCCACCTGTATTCCCAGCACTTTGGGAGGCTGAGGCAGATGGATCGCTTGAGCCTGAAGCCCTGTCTCTACTAAAAATACAAAAAAATTAGCTGGGTAGGCATGGTGCACGTGCCTGTTGTCCCAGCTACTTGGAAGCTGAGGCGGGAGGATCATCTGAGTCTGGGGAGTTTGAGGCTGCAGTGAGCTGTGATCGTGCCACTGCACTCCTGCCTAGGCAATAGAGTGAGCCCCTATATCAAAAAACAAAAGAATGAGACACCAGAGGGCTTGCTCTGGCTCACTCCAGGAGCATGCTCGGAGGAAAGGCCAGGGAGGACAGTGTGCCTTAATTGTCTGTAAGCCAGGAGGTGGGCTCTTGGCAGAAAGTGAATAGGCCCAAACCTTGATCTTGGACTTCCAAGAGTGATTGGGTACTGGATATACTCTGAAGATATAGTCAGCGAGATTTTCTGAAAATCCAGAAGGGTCTTTTCTGAAAAGCCTCTGGAACTGCGAGAAAATACATTTCTGTGGCTTAGGTCACCCAATCAATGGTATTTTGTTATGGCGGCCCAAGCAGACTGACACAGAGGGTAACTGAAAACAGCAAGTGTAGACAGGCCTTGCAAATTCTGCTGCAGACGTAAGCAAAGAAATGAGGGGGTGGCCAGCAGGGGAAGAGGAATCAAGATGGTATCTGTTTGTCTTGTTTTCTCTTAAAATGGGCAAAATAGCATGTTTTAAGTTTGTGAGAAAGATACAATAGAAAATAAGAAACTGGCTTTGTAGGAGAGGGAGGAGGAGGGTTTCTGGAACAATGTTCAGTGGATGAGGGTATGAAATTAAGCGCACAAGGAGAGGGACCAGCTTCAGACAGGAGCAGGGACAGATCACCGTGGGAACAGAGAGCCAGGGATGGGGAGGAAGGCAGGGTCTGAGCAGAGAGGAGAGTGTGTGGGATGTGAAGATGAGAGAGGGCTGAGGTCCCTGGGCATCAGGCCTGGGCCCTGAGTGGCCATGAGGCCGGTCCATGTTTCCCTGATGCCTGCAGCTGGTCAAGCGCAGGTGTGAGGAGGCAAAGTCGGCTTTCCCTGGCGGTTGAGGATTTTGCCAAGTGAGCATGACGAAGTGAATGAGCAAGATGTCAGGATGCAGGCTGAGGGGTGGGTACAGGGCTGGGGGCAGCTGGAGTGGGATCCAGGTAAGGAGAGAGCACACAGCCTTTTCTTTGAAACAAAGAAGCCCAACTCACCCCTGGTACCCACCCACTGTGAAGGGTCTGCTTGGATTGGAAGTGAGTCTTTCCCACACGCCCGGTTCCAGGTATCACCTGACTCTCGGTTCTCAGTGAACCTGAGTCATCCTGTTGAAACCATAGGGACCACTCTGCCCAACAGCACATGAGCCCTTCACCAGAGGCTGGTTGCAGAGGGCAAGGCCACGCTGAAGCACTGCCTGCACTGGTGAACATGTCAGGCACGGTGACAGGAGCTGGTGGATGGGGCTATCGGGGGGGGTCTTTCCAGAGACACAGGTGGTTCCAACTTAGAACCATGGATACATCCACAGCACAGGATGGAGAGAAAGCAGAGTGAAGGCAGGAGAGATAAAGGAGGAGGCTGTGGGAGAATAGGAAAAAGTCAGACCAGTGCGAGGGGCAGTAGAGACCCAGTAGGTCCTGGGCCAGCCTGGGACCTTCCACAAACCATGTTGACTACCCTGGTTTCCAGCTGTGCCCAACAGCCAGTGCATTTTGTCTTTTGACATTGGGGGCTGTGAGGCTGTCATTAATTATGTGCGTCTCGAAGTGCCTTCATGTTGGAGCAGGTTCAGAGACCAGATGGCACCATCAGCACAACCCAGGGCCTGGAAGGAGCCCCTTCCTGCCCCGTCTCTTTCCTCTACCCCTCTGAGAGCTCAGCCAGGACACCCGCTCACCTCTCCCAAGGCCCAGCTAATGTATGATTTTTGAAGACGATAACCATATTTTTTCATATAACCATTTCCCTTCCATTGACATTCGCGAGCATGTACCAAAACACCTAGAGGACACTAAATAAACACTCCATGCGCGCTCACACACACACACACACACACACACTTGCACAGAAATGGTAGTGACCTGCTCCCTTTCAAACACTAGTTATTGAAATTGTACTCCGGGCCTAGACTTTTTCTTCTGCTGATTCACTTTCTTGTAAAGGTTTCATCAAGAAGAAAGTAAATGCCTTAGCTTTTTAATTTAATTTCATATTCTGCAATAAACAACTTCCTTTCTTTCTAGCCTATTTGAACCAAAGGCCTCATATGCCATGGCTCTTTCCCAGGCTTTCAAAGACTGAATTAGACAAACCTACAGCAAGCAACCAAGATTATAATTTTATATATTACTCAGAAATATAACTATGAGCATCTAGTATATATCAGATAAGTTTGTCTTCACTAATAAATATAAGATATAGTACTTTAACTCTAAGAAATTCATTGACTCATCTGAGAAAGAAAATACAGGTTGAGTATGTTTTATCCAAAATACTTGGGACCAGAAGTGTTTTAAATTTCAGATTTTTTGGATGTTGGAATATTTACATATACATAATGAAATATGTTGGGGTTGGGCCCCAGTCTAAACACAAGATTCATTTATGTTTTATATACACCTTATACACATGGCCCGAAGGTAATTTCATATATTTTTAATAATTTTGTGCATGAAATAAAGTTTGTATACATTGAATCTTTGGAAAGCAAAGGTGTCAGGTGTGGAATTTTCTGCTTGTGATGTCATGTCAGTACTCAAAAAGTTTCAGATTTTGGAACATTTTGGTTTTTGGAGTTTTGGATTCAGGATGCTGAACCTGTATAATAAACGTAAGATGAATTATTATATGAGTCTATAAATTTTAAATGCCAAATAAGTAGTTCAGACAATGAGAATTATATGACATTAAAACAGTGTTTGCTGTTGATGCAGGAGTTTTTACTCCTTAGCTCAGCTAGATCCAGGTTCTTGTCTCATGACCAGGAAAATTTAGGCATGTGGACATCGAAGAGTGAGTGGAGTAGAATTTGTTAAGTGAAAAGGAAAGCTCTCAGCAAAAAGAGGGGTCCTGAAAGCAGGTTGCCAGTTGCCCCCCTTCACTGTTGAATATGAGGACTTTCATATCTGCTGATGGGGCTGGGTTCCCTGTTCGTACAAGGCACGGATTCCTGGCAGTTCCATCCCACCCTTCCAGGGCCTTTGTGGGCCCTTACTCTGAGCCACTCCACATTTATTTCCCTTACTGCACATGTGTTAAGGGATGGAGGTTTTTACCACATGTTTAGGCAAGCCATCTGTGCACAATGACCTCGGTGGGTCAGAGATTCTCTGGGAACCCTCCCCTATCTGCCTAGGAGAGTTCTCTGCCTCCTGCCTCTATCACTGTGGGCCAAAAGGGTTCAAAAAAGCTTCATAGGACTGGGACTTGGCCTTTAAAAAGTTATACTTCAAATTGGCAGGAGATGGAGCTTGATGCACCCTCTTTCTTCCTCCTGGAATGTTGTACTAGATAGCTGGCTTCCTTGTGTCACAAAGACCTAGAGTGTCCTAGAGTGTTACCTGCTCAGAGACACCTTCGTTAACCGCTCAATCTAAAGGATTTGCCTTACCATTCCCTAGCATGGTACCTAGTGTTAATCTCTGTAACACTTACAATCTGATATTTTTGCTTTTGCTTACTTCTTTATGATGTCTCCTTTTTCTAAAATGTAAGTTCCATAAGAGCGATGACATTGTCTTGTCTATAGTGTTCACAGTTCCTTGAAGACTGTAATAGGTGCTCAATAAATATTAGATAGATGCATGAACAGGCAAATGGTTAAAGAAATTATGAAAACAGCATGGGAAAAGAGATGAAGAGCTAGAATACAAAAAAGAAGTCTGGCAAAGCAATGATCACAAACTAAAATGGAGAGGTTTTATTAAGAAGCAGCAGGGAATAAAATGAATGAAGGATATAACCAGGCAATTCACAAAATTTAAAGCCAAAATATCAAATCAGCATACAAAAACATACACAATCTCATGAGTTATTAAATAAATGGTAATTAAAATAATTAGCTTTAAGACTGACTAAAAGTTTAAGATGACAAAGCTCAGAATTGGCAATATTTCTCAAATTCAACACTATTGCTGGAGGAAACTCTGTGTCAAATCTTGAATAATCTACATATCATTTGACCTAGCAATTCAATGCTTAGAATTTATCTTAGGAAATAATTAGGCAAAATTGGGCTTCAGGAGTCTGAGACTCAGGGTCGTTTATAAAAGTGAAAAATTGAACACTGTGTAAATGTGTCACCATGGACAATTAGCTTAATGGATTACGGTATGTTCAGGCAACAGAATACTATGCATCCATTAAATAGGTTGTTTTAGGCATGAAAGATGTTCATGATCCATTGCTTGGTGAAAAATTCACTTACAATACAGTCTAAGTGTATATAGTAGAATCCCAATTTCATAAAAACAAAATAAAAAATTAGATTTATGCACTGAAAATAAACTGGACTTCCAGGACCAAGACTGTCAAGAAAGAATTAACTGCTGTAACTGTCAAATCAAATGAAGCTGTACAGTCCGATTAGAAAGTTTGGGTCTGAATTATTGATAGGTGTAAAAAAACTAAGCAAAAACCACAAATCATTATTAACCCTAAGGGAAACAAAATTCTACGATAAGAGAACAATTGCTTTAGTGCACAACATAGTTCAGTTGTGAATAACATTTGCAAGCCCTCAGAAGTGCAAACACCGAGCACTGATATCAGTTAAAAGGTTTTATGATACAACTATTCTATGAGAAAATGGGAGAAGTAGGTGGGGGTGATTTAAGAAAGCTGAATGCATTTTGCCCATAGAAAAAAGCCAACAGAAGAGGCTGAGGTGAGACGATCGCTTGAGTCCAGGAGTTCAAAACCAGCCTTGGCAACATGGTAAAACCCTGCATTTACAAAAAATAAAACATTAGCCTGGTATGGTGGCATGTGGTTGTAGTCCCAGCTACTCAGGAGGCTGAGGGGAGAGGATCACTTGAGCCCAATAGGTTGAGGCTGCAGTGAGCCATGACTGTGCCACTGTACTCCAGCCTGGGCAATAGAGCCAGACTCTGTCTAAGGAAAACACACACAAACATACACACACACACACACACACACACACACACACAATAGATAACATCGAAAATAAAAGTTAAGAAATAACACTATAAAGATACTATTTAGAGATATATACCAGAAGGCATACAGTAATTAAAGGGTTAAATACAAGTAGTGGGACTTAGAGATGAAAAGTGTCAGTTTTCATTGTAAGTGCTATTAAAATTTTGAATAAACATATGCCCATATTGATTTGATAAAAAATTAAACTTGAGGCTAGGTTCAGTGGTTCATGCCTGGAATCCCAGCAATTTAGGAGGCCGAGGCAGGAGGATCACTTGAGCCCAGTAGTTTTAGACTAGCCTGGGCAGCATAGTAAGACCTTATCTCAAAAAAACAAAAACAAAAACAAAAACAAAAAACAAAACACAAGACTTTAAATATTAGCAGGGCATGGCAGCATACTTGTAGTCTCACCTACTCAAGAGGCTGAGGTGGGAGGATCAACGGAGCCCTGGAAGTCAAGGCTACAGCAAACAGTGATTGCACCACTGCACTCTAGCTTGAGAAACAGAACTCTAAGACACTGTCTCAAAAAAAAAAAAAAAATTCAAATTGAAACAAAAATTAGGATTTTGACAAAAATTTTTTCTATTTTCTACTTTATCTGGATTCCATAACACATCAAGGTCTACTTTACATTATTAGAAAAAAAAATAGTTTCCAAATGAATAGCACTCAGTTAAACAAAGGTTGAGTGAGGTCTTTCTTATTCATTCCACTGTCTATTCATTTTTGAATAGGTGTTCTATGGCAGTGTTTACAAAGACAAAATGCCTTAAGAAGCAAAGTGCTTCCCCACTCTTGGGACTCCAAATGTGTTCTGATGAATCAGACCAGAATCAAACGGCGCTTCCCTCAATAGCAGATTTGAGTCTGGACATTTTCTAACTGTCCCTAATTCCCAACTTGATACTACAATTCTTCATCAAGTTCATGTTCTTCTCAGCTTCTCCAGCTGTGGGATTTAGGGAGGCCACCTGTGGTGATAAAAGAGTAAATAGCAACAGAAAAAAAAATACTGTATAAGTTCAACAAATATTTCTTTTATTTATTTATTTATTTTTGAGATGCAGTCTCACTCTGTCATCACCCAGGCTGGAGTGCAGTGGTGTGATCTCAGCTCACTGCAACTTCTGCCTCCCAGGTTCAAGTGATTCTCCTGCCTCAGCCTCCCGAGTAGCTAGGACTACAGGTGCATGCCACCACGCCCAGCTAATTTTTTTGTATTTTTAGTAGAGACGGAGTTTCATCATTTTAGCCATGATGGTCTTGATCTCCTGACCTCGTAATCCACCCTCCTCGGCCTCCCAAAGTGCTGGGATTACAGGTGTGAGCCACCACGCCTGGCCTCAAACATTTTTAATGTATACCAGGCACTGTGCTGGGTCCTGGAGGTACAGAGGTTGGATGTGATTAAAACATTGTTAAACGATTTCAGTACATTGTGGCAAGTGCTAAGATAAAAATATTACAGGGGATGATAGAAGCCCAAAAAGAGACTAGAAATGTCTAGTTTAAAGAGAGTAAGATTTAGGAGTAAGAGATGAAAAGTAAGAGTAAGGATTTAAGGCAGGTTTAGAACATGAGGCCTGAGCCAGACAGACTTTGACCCTGATCTCAGCTCTATCTTTTATGGAACCACTAGTAAATTACCTAACTTTTTCCAAGCTTTAGTTTTCCCCTCTGTCAAACGGGGATGGTAATTGTAGCTCTGAAGGTTAAAAGTAAGGTATGACAACCGCCTAGTGACTAACAGGCACCCAAAAATGCTTCTCATAGCTGGGTGTGGTGACATGCACCTACCTGTAGTCTCAGCTACTTGGGAGGCTGAGGTGGAATGATCACTTGAGCCTGGGAATTTGCACCACTGACTTCAGCCTGGGCAACTGTGAGACCCTGCCTCCAAAAAAAGAAAAAATGCTTCTCATGCTGCTCATTATTTTCTTATTTGAATATTCCTATCAGGTAGAAAGGGTGGAAGGCTTCTTGTTCTTCCAGAGGGAAAAGACTGGTGGGCTTCAGAGAAAAGGATGCTAGTTTTCCTCCAGAAACAAAGTCCTAGGGAGAGAGGAAAAGATCTAAAATAATTTGTAGAATCTTTTACTAGAAAAAGATATAAGCCTTATTTTTTGGATGGAGTGTAGGGTGTGGTACATCCAGGAAGAGCTTTAGACCTTCCCACAGCATGTCTGTCTGTTTTTTCATGAACCAACATACCACACAGCAGTGAATGAATTTCTTGACTCTGAAGAAGGGCAATGAAGCAGTGTAGGGATTATTAGGCGAATATTGGTCGTGGAAACAGAAATGAGCAAAATATTTTCAGTTACCCAAGATAACTAGTAACCAAGAAGAAGGTGGGAGGGGGGATGGGTTTCTGTGAGGACCAACAGTGTTGGAATAAGAGGCCCCTGCCCTTGATAGGCTTCCTCAGTGCATCAGAACTTATAAATAGAAAAGCCTTTGGGAAAAAGGGTTGATTGAAGTAAAGCACCCATTAAAAAGAATATAATAATTTTAGGCCGGGTGCCGTGGCTCACACCTGTAATCCCAGCACTTTGGGAGGCCAAGGCAGGTGGATCACGAGGTCAGGAGTTCAAGACCAGCCTGGCCAAGATGGTGAAACCCTGTCTCTACTAAAAATACAAAAATTAGCTGGGCATGATGGTGGGTGCCTGTAATCCCAGCTGCTCGGGAGGCTGAGGCAGAGAACTGCTTGAACCCGGGAGGCAGAGGCACCACTGCACTCCAGCCTGGGCAACAAAAGCAAGACTCTGTCTCAAAAAGAAAAAAAAAAGATATTTTATTTTTTTCAATAACTAGAAATTGAATAAAAGAGTAATGTCTTTAAAGTTATTTTTTAATTAGCCTAAAATGACTTTCTCCACCCCTTGCTCACCCTTTTCTGTAGAAAATAAAAAATTTTAAAGCAAGGTAGCAGTAAGTTCAGGGAAAAAATGGAGAGCAAAGGAACTTATAAAAGAATTTAGCATGTTCAGAGAAACTTAAGGAAGTTAAAAACCTCTGGAAATAGAATTGGAATGTCCTTTCACTGAAGTCATTAAATATCACCCTATATTAAACCCTGGTTATTTTTTAATAAAGAAGGCTTAACAAACTCATGGCTATGAAATACACTTGGAATGGACACATAATTTAAGTGGAAAAATCATCCCAGAATTTTGTGATCAAATATTTTCTTACATGGTGAGAATCCAATGACCTTAAAGTGAGAGTAAACCCATTCACAGCAGTGAATTCTCTCTAACAGATATAATTTTCAACCTTATAAAAGAGTACCTCGGTTTCATACAGTCCCACCTGCCACACCCATTCTTTGGAACTCATGGAGAAAGGAGTAAGAGAGCAAAGATATATACATGCTGGATGGAATCTGTGGTTGCTTAGCTATTTTGGAATGGCTACCCAGGACCTGGAATAGCCACAGAAAACCTTGAGTAAGCAAAAGGAAGGGGCAATATTAACACAATTCCCATCAGCTAAAGGAGGCAGGACTTCTAGTTCTGCAAGACAGCAGAGTAGGCTACCACGCAGAGCCACCCACTAATAACATTTAGAAATGCGGGATAAGACACTACAGCTTTTAAAAATCTGTGGCTGTGTTCAAGTAAAGAACATCTATGGTGTGCCCATGGCAGAAGCTAGGAGAGAACTGAGGGCCACTGAGGGAGTTACATGAGGGAACGCTCGCCATTAGGAGGAGTCATCCAACCCAGTTAGCTAGAATTTGACCCTAGGTGAGTTGCTAACTCACTTACTAAAAACTGGGACTACTAAACTGTCCAGTAGTTCAGAGAGACCATAAGGAAGTTGTCTCAGCCATGATTCTAGCTGGAAAAATAGAAGACGAAATCAGTAAATAATTCTCCCATGAGAGCTCAGCATCCCAGGCCTGGGCACCTGGAGTTTGTTTTCTACTACATTCATGGCATGGAAAATCTTTGAGCTGAAAAGGTAATGTAAAGTCAGTCTTAGGTTGATAGTGGCTCTGGGCTATTCAAATGAAGCAAAGCAAAAACACACTGGAGGGATTCCTTAACTACTCAGCGTTCCCAGATTCTTAAATAAAAAGAGAGTTTGTGTTATAATTCCAAATTATAAAATGCACAAGGAAATTACTCTTGTGAATGAAAATCAACAGAAATAGCAAACATAAAAACCACAGCTCAGAATATAAAATAATTGAAAAATAACCTGAAAGGGAATACAACGTGCATATTTAAGACAATTAAAGTATTAGAGGTACAGAAACAATAAGGTGAAAAAGAATTAATCAGCGAAAGCTAACCCTGAGTACATGACCCAGTATATGAATGAAAGATACTAGAAATCAGAAATTTTAAAGAGATGTTAAAAAACACAGAGTACGGATTGAGAAAATCCAACATTCATCTAGTAAGAATTTCAGAAAGACGAAATAAAGATAATGGGAAAGTAATGCTATTGAAAATGATAATAGTTGAGAATTATCCAGGTTTCATTTTTAAAACCATGAATTTTTAGATTGAAGAAGCACAATAACTCTAAGCAAGATAAATAAAAACAGATTCACACTTGGATTAGTTGCAGTGAAGTTATATGAAATATAAAGAAATCAAAATATCCAGGAAGAAAAACTAGATTACTTAAAATAGGACAATAACCCAAATAGCAACAGAATTTCTAATAGCAACATTACAGGATAGAAAATACTGGAATAATAGCTTCAAAGTACTGAGGGAAAATAACTAGCAACTTAGAATTCTATTATCAACTAAACCACAACTAAAAACTGAGAGTAAAATAAAGACATTTTCATAAAAAGCTATTACAGTTCGCCACTAACAGAAAATATTGTTTTTTAATGCTCACAGGCAAACAATATAGTTGTCAAGTCTATAGGTAAATCTAGACAGGCATTGACTCAAACTATCAAAAAGAGAAATAATGAGTAGTTTAAAGGATTTTTTTAAATAAAATACTAAAAAGCTATTACAAACTGAATAAATGATGAGATTGGAATAAAAGTACTTGAAGTTTCTTGTCCTGGGTTAGGTCACAGATGCATGTTTAAAAGCTAATGGCTACCACTAAAACAAATAGGAGCAGAATCTGTGATTTCCAAACAAAGGATGAAAAACAATTCGATAAAGCTGCGTTCTGCGTGTGTGAAGTTCATTTTACCTATACTGGTCTCAATTCTTATCTTCATGAATGGAATATTTCATATAAATAAGCACACAAAAACTTCATAATCAAGCCAGTACAAGGCAGGAAGTTAAAGAGAATTAGTATTTTAAAAAAGCAAGCACAATAAATGTAAAGAGATTGTCTTATTAATTAAAAAGTGGAAACTCTTATAATAGGAAAAGTTTTAGCTATATGCTGTTTATAAGGAGCATATCTAAAATAGAAAAGTGAATGATAAAGGATAGAAGGATATACCAGGCAAATATTAACCAAAAAAAAAAAAAAGCCACTGGTGAAAAAATAGTATCAGATGAAAGAATAATTAAGACAAAAGACATGATTATGAATAAGAAGGACATTACATATTCATTAAAGAAAAAATTAATCGTAAAGATGTAATAATCACATATGTACCTAATGTGAACATATATCTGAAAGAGCCAATCTTTCAACATGGATCCCAAGTGGCTAACCAGTCCTACATTTATAATAGAGCCAAGCGACCATTGGCTGACTACAGTTCACACACCAACTCTGAGTTCTGCCAAAACCAAGACCTCTGTTCCACCTTGATACACATCCAGAGCTCACCTGAACCAACCAATGTTGATGCAAGCTCAGTTGTATCAACAAACAGGGCTCGGCTGTATCAACCAATCAGAGCTCAGCTCTGTTACCCAGTCAGAACTAAGCAAGTTTGTATCTTTCATTTGCATAAACAGATCTTATTAGGAACCTGGACAGGAGCTTTCACTGTGAAACCCAAAGCCTCCCTTTGTTCTCAGGAATGCACCTTCATTTTACACTGAGGGCTGTGTCTCCCCAATTTGTAAACTGTTCACTGCAGTAAAGTCTCTTTCACATTCCTTTTCAGAGAACTTTTGTTCACACTAACAGTTTAGCCTCAAAATCTACAGAAAACTGATACAAAAGGAAAAGAAATTTAGATAGCAACATAGTGGAGATTTTAAGATTCCTTTCACAGATTTGATAGATCCGTAGTTGATAGATCTAAGCAGAAATCAGTAGTTATATAGACAAAAATTAGTAATTAAATAGACAATTGAGGCAACATAATTAACAAGCTTGAACAAAGAGACATATATAGAACTCTGAGAATTAAAGAATACACATGTTCTCAAGCATAAATAAACTTTTAAAAATAAAGTGTGAAGTGAAATTATCATGCACCTGTAGTCCTAGCTACTTGGAAAGCTGAAGCAGGAGGATTGCTTGAGCCCAGGAGTTAAAGGGCTGTAGTGTGCTATGCTTTTGCCTGTGAATAGTGACTGCACTCCAGCCTGGGAAACATAGCGAGATCCTGTCTCTAAAACCTTTTTTAATTAAAAAATTACAAATTAATAAATTGACCATATAGTATGCTACCAACCACGTCCTAACAAATGCCAAAGAAGTAGCATTCTATAGACCACATCACAATAAAATTAAAAGCCAGAAGCAACAACAACAAATTTAATATATCTGGAAATTTTAACAAATACTTCTAAACAACCGAAGAGTAAAGAAGAAATAAGATTTTAGAATAAAATCATAATATGAACACTAAATACCAAATCTGGGAGTCAACCAATGATGTGTTGGTAAATGTATTCCAATAGGTTCCCCAAGCTGGTGTGTATATTTGGAGGGAAAGGGGGATGGGAAAGAACTATTATAATTGTAGCCTTTGTCAATATCCATAGTGTAAATATCCCACATAGTCTATTTCAAGCTACCAACATGAAGTGTGAAGTTGGGAAGGATACACACAATAGATTCCCGCAAGCCAATAGGAGCTACAGTTGGCTCCAGCACAGCACTGCAAATAATTAAAATATATCTTTAAATGCATACATTAAACAAAGAAGGAAAGTTGAAAATGACAATACTCAGTATCTAAATCAAAGGTTAAAAAAAGAATAGCAGAGTAAACCCTAAGGAATTAGAAGAAAGGAAATAATAAAGATAAGAGCAAAAATTAATAACATTAAACCAAAGAATCAGTCATGAAGAGTAACAAAAGAAAAATGGTTCTTTCAGAAGACAAATTCGATGGACCAATATCTGCTCACTTGAACAAAAGAAGAATAATGCAAATAAAAATAAATAATATTCTTAATAGAAAGGACAAGACATAATAGGAAGGTAGTAGAAAATTAACATAAATATTATACACAATTTAATGCCAATAAATTTAAAAGCTTACATTATAAAAGTAATTTTCTGGAAAAATATAACGCAACTGGCTCAAAAAGAAATATAAAATGTGAACATACATATTACCATCAAAGAAACTAATCCAGGCCACCTCCCCCCTGCTGCTGTCCTTTCTAAATACACACACAAAAACAATCTCCAAGCCTGGTTGGTTTTACAGGTAACTTCTGCCTTCAAGAAATGGATCATTTTAATATTGTAAAATTACTTCGGAAGAATAGAAAAAGGAAGAAAGCTATCTAGCTTATTTTATGAGGCCATTAACTCTTGAAACAAAATGAAAAAGAAAATCTGTAGCTAATTTCACACATGAACAAAGCAACAAACATACAGATATTTTATTTTATTTATTTTTAATTTTATCTTTTTACCTGCAAGGGTACATGTGTGGATTTGTTAGACGGGTATATTGTGTGGTGCTGGGGCTTGGGTACAACTGACCCCATCACCCAGGTGGTGAGCATAGTACTCAATAGGTAGTTTTTCAACCCTTGCCCTCCTCCTTTCTTCTCCCCTCTTATAGTACCATTGTGTATTGTTTCCATTTTTATATCCATAAATAACATATTTTTAAAATCTAGCTATATAATTTCTTAAACTATTACTAATTAATATTTATCCAAGAATGTAAAACTGCTTTGGAAGATCTATCAATATAAATCATTACTTTACTAGATTAAAGGAGAAAAACTGGTTTCTTTAATAAATGCAGAAAAGGGATTTACATGGACACAGGAAGGGGAACATCACACTCTGGGGACTGTTGTGGGGTGGGGGGAGGGGGGAGGGATAGCAGTAGGAGATACACCTAATGCTACATGACGAGTTAATGGGTGCAGCACACCAACATGGCACATGTATACATATGTAACAAATCTGCACATTGTGCACATGTACCCTAGAACTTAAAGTATAATAATAATAAAATAAAAATAAAAAAAAGAAAAGGTATTTAATGGAATTTGACAACCATTCTTCATGAAACCAAATTATCCCCCCAAATAAACAAATCATTTTAAACAAACTAGGAATAGATGGCAACTTCCTTAACTTAAAAAAAGATTCTTTCAAAAACCTATTGCAGGCAAGGTGTGATGGCTCACGCCTGTAATCCCAGCACTTTAAGGGGGCCAAGGCGGGAGGATTACTTGAAGACAGGAGTTTGAGACCAGCCTGGACAACATAAAGAGAGACACCTCATCTCTTAAAAAAATTAAATAAATAAATAAAAATAAATATTTAAAAACTATTACAAATATCAACTTAATTATGTCAAAAACATAAGAATACCCCTCATTCTACTTTCAGTGTTATACTGTGAGTTCTAGTCTTCATAACACAAAAATAAAAGAAAGTTAAAATATTGAAGTGTTTATAGCAGCCTTATTCATAATAGCTAAAAACCTTTAAACAACCCAAATGTCTATCAACAAGTGAATCAGTAAACACACTGAGTTATTCCACAGCATGGAATACTATTCAGTCATAAAAGAAAGAATGGGTCTACTTGGGAGGCTGAGGCAGGAGAATTGCATGAACCTGGGAGACAGAGGTTGCAGTGAGCCGAGATCACACCACTGCACTCCAGCCTGGGCAACAGAACGAAACTCTGTCTCAAAAAAAAAAGAAAAAGAAAAAGAAAGAATGGGTTACTAATAAAGGCAACAACATAAATGAATCTTAAAAGGGCCTTATGGCATGCAAAAGCAACCAGTCTCAAAATAATATATACTTTATTATTTTATTTATATAAAGTGCAAGGAGAGGAAAAACCAGTTCGTTGGTAACAGAAAAAAGTATTGCTGGTTGCATAGAGTTGGGAGATGGGAATGGACAGCAAGGAAGCACACAGTGACTGAAGTATTCTATATTTTGATTGAGGGTGCTAATTACATAAGGGTATATAATTATCAAAGCTAACTAAAATAAATAATTAACATCTGTGTATTTTATTGTATGGTAATTATATTCAATCTTAAAAAGCACAATAGATACAAAAAGCAAAAGATTAAGAAAAAGGGGAAACATGATAGATTATATATGTGTATACACAGAATATGCAAGAGAATTAATGATTAAATACTAATACTAATAAATCCAGTAGGCTTGCTAGAAATCAATATACAAAAATCAAGCTATTTTTAAAATGTATTTTTAAAGGACATTATTAACCACAGCATGAAAAACTTTAAGCTACCTATAAATAAATCTAACAAATGATATGTAAGATTGTTACTGAGAAAAAGGCAAAACTTTATTGAAGGAAGTGAGAAAGTATTTACTATATTCATAGATGGGTGGGTTCAATACTTTAAAGATGACAATTTTGGGCTGGGCACAGTGGCTCACGCCTGTAATCCCAGCACTTTGGGAGGCCGAGGCTGGCGGATCACGACGTCAGGAGATCGAGACCATCCTGGCCAACATGGTGAAACCCCGTCTCTACTAAAAATACAAAAAATTAGCCAGGCGTGGTGGGTGGCACCTGTAGTTCCAGCTACTTGGGACGCTGAGGCAGCAGAATGGCGTAAACCCGGGAGGCGGATCTTGCAGTGAGCCGAGATCGTGCCACTGCACTCCAGCCTGGGTGACAGAGCGAGACTCCGTCTCAAAAAAAAAAAAAAAAAAGAAGGGCTGTGCTGTGTGAAAAACACTGGAGTACTGGACTCAATGACCTCATTTATATGACGCGCTGGAAGAGCCGTGAAAAAAATGAGAACAATGGTTGCTAGAAATGAGGGAACGGACGGCCCATGGGTGTGGGGCTGGTGGGAAGGGCCCATGAGAGAAGAATTCAGAGGTAATGGAAATATTTTGTATTTTGATGAGGGTTTGGACTACGTGACTGTATTTTTAAAGCTCATCAAATTGTACACGAGATCTATTCTGGTGGGCTTCACTGTATGTAAACTTGACCTCTAAAATAGAGCTATAAACAAATATTGAGCCCTAGCTAATGCTTGACATGCATGTTGAAGTATTAGTGGCGAAATGTACCGATGCCTGCGGCTTACTTTGCAAAGCATCTAAAAATAAGGTGAATTGATGCATATGGAGAGAAATGTGATGAGAAAAACACTGGCAATTGCAGAATCTAGTCGGTACATATCTAGCGGGTATGTATCTGGATGTTAACAATTTCAACTTTTCTGTGTGTTTTAAAACTTCCCTATAAAACGTTGACAGGAATAAAATTATAGAAATTACAGTTTAAGAAAAATTAAATTGGCTGGGTGCGGTGGCTCATGCCTGTAATCCCAGCACTTTGGGAGGCTGAGGTGGGTGGATCACGAGATCAGATCGAGACAGCAGAGATGAATCATGTTACTCAACGTAGAAAGTTGCCATCAGTAAGTGAAACTGACAAAAGGATATCTTAAAAGACAAATGCTTCAAATTTAATATCTGTAAGGAAATACGGCTGGGTGCGGTGGCTCACACCTGTAATCCCAGCACTTTGGGAAGCCGAGGCGGGTGAATCACCTGAAGTCGGGAGTTCGAGACCAGCCTGACCAACATGGAGAAACCCCATCTCTACTAAAAGTACAAAATTAGCCAGGCGTGGTGGCGCATGCCTATAATCCTAGCTACTCAGGAGGTTGAGACAGGAGAACAGCTTGAACCCCGGAGGCAGAGGTGAGCCGAGATCATGCCATTGCACTCATGCCTGGGCAACAAGAGCAAGACTCCATCTCAAAAAAAAAAAAAATGCAGTTGATTATGGAGACTGATTAAGAAGTAAACTGCATGATATAAGGGGAACATATTAATCAAAAGTAGAATAATAAATTTCATTATATAAATGTTTTCGTTTTCTACAAGTTAATATATAAAGGACAATAGCATGGAATTAAAGGTGTTGTGTTTTTATTCAAGAATGATTTTTTTTTTAATTTTTGATGCAGAGTCTCCCTCTGTTGCCCAGGCTGGAGTGCAGTGGCATGATCTCGGCTCACTGTAACCTCCACTTCCCGGGTTCAAGGGGTTCTCATCCCTCAGCCTCCTGAGTAGCTGGGATTACAGGTGCCGAGCTACCACACCTGACCAAGAATATTTTCTTTTTTTTGAGATGGAGTCTCATTCTGTCGCCCAGGCTGGAATGCAGTGGCGCAATCTTGTCCTGTCTAACTACACTTTAGAACGCTTTCACCGTCTCCCCAAACCCCTGCCTCCCAGCCCCTGGTATCCTCCATTCTACTCTCTGCTTCCATGAGTTCAATTGTTTTACATTCCACATAAGTCAGATCACGTGGTAGTTGTCTTTTTGTGCCTGGCTCACTTCACTTAACATCATGTGCTCCATTAAGCTCCTGTGAATCCCAGTTTCTAACCTGCAATTGCTCTAAGTGTTTTCATTGCCTTTTCATGGTTTCTACTAAGAATTCCAGAGCCCAGCTGCAATGTTTTCACTGCTTTGGATGTTATTCATTGTTTTTCTTTACATCTTGTCCATGGACACACAAATAAATTGTCCGGTGCAAGTGCAGCGGCCGTATGCGCTTCCTGTGAAAGAAGGCCGGTTTGACATCTATTAAACAAATCCATCTCAGCATTCTTAACAGCCTTTATATTGTTTGATATCAAGCTCAGTCATTTAAAAAATATGCCTCTGTCTTTGTAAGATTACCTATGGGTTGGAGAAGACTTATGTAATATTCAACTCAGCAGATAATGTATATAAAAATTATTGCATATGATTTAATGATCTGGAATCAATTTTAACTGTTTATATGTCACACTTGGGAAAAAGCAGGACAATTATAAAATTTAATAATGGCATCTCCATAAAAAGCAATAATTCATATTCTACTTTAAAAATCCTTTCTCTTATGTAGAGGAGTAAGTGGCATCCTGGTGGCACCAGAAGGATGTACTGGTGAGCTTGTGTAGTGGTCACTAAGTTAACGCGTGTTGCTTTATTTGACTGATACTGATGTTGCCATCTTAGCTTCCGGCAGTTAGGTGGGCAGAAAACCCAAAGTTAGTAACTTTGGACAGTTGCAACAATGTTAGTAACTCAAGGGCCAAAGTGATGGATTAAACGGCCAGTCCAGGCAATCTCTGGTTCACCCTCATGATGACAGAGTGCTTTTAGGTAGTGAGGCAGTGCTTAGTCTCAAGGCAGCCTCCCTTCCCCTCATGCATTACCTGGTGTTTGTGGGCAGGAGTGTGGATCCTGTATACATGCCTGGGGTTGTGGGTGTGGGGAGGGGCCTCCAGTGTGCTGGGGTATACCCTGGGGCCTCTGTAAGTGCCTGATCCATAGATGCTCCCTGTGGCCTCGTCACAGGGGTCACCAGGCCCCTGGTGGCTTACAGTGTGGAAGTTGGAGGCTTCACCATAATCTGTGGCCTGAGCTTGGCCTCAGGGAATATTTCCAGGTGGTGTCAGCTGTATCTCCTCCTTACTCAGTGTCGTAGGGGAGCAGCGACTCTCTGGGACAGTGGGATGGGTGGTAAAAGAATTTACCAAGACAGTTGTAGGTAAAGAAAGGCAGATTCATTGGACACCACAGAGCTTACATGTTTGTGGTGATGTGGGTGTGAACATACGATTATCAACAGTGCATAATGCTTGATGAAAATAATAGATGCTGATGTTATTGTTTTATGTATTTAATATCCTATATTTTTTATTGTTATTTTAGAGTATATGCTTACTACTTTTTTTTAAGGTAACTGTGAAGCAGCCTCAGGCAGTTTCTTCAGGAGGTTTCCAGAAGAAGGCATTCTTATCAAGGAGATGACAGCTCCATGCCTGTTACTGCCCCTGAAGACCTTCCGGTGGGACAAGATGTGGAGGTAGAGGACAGTGAAATTGATGATCCTGACCCTGCTTAGCCTTAGGCGAAAGTGTCTGGTTGTGTCTTGTTTTTTAACAACAAACGGTTTAAAAGTAAAATAAATAAATAATGAAAAAAGCTCATAGAATAAGGTTAAAAAGAAACAAAATATTTTTGTATAGCTATATAATTTGTGTGGCTTTTTTGTTTATTTGTTTGAGACAGGGTCTCACTCTGTCACCCAGACTGGAGGGCAGTGGCACAATCACAGCTCACTGTGGTCTCAACCTCTTGAGCTCCAGAGATCCTCCCACCTCACTCAGGAGGACGTCAGTCCTCCAGGCAGACGTCAGTCCCCAGGTGGACCCTGGACTCAAAGTGTATACCAGGCCCCAAGTTGACAACCAGGCCCCAGATGGACACCAAGGCCCTAGGTGGACAGCAGGCCCATGTTGAACACCAGACTCATGAGGACATCAGGCCGCAGGTAGACATCATGCCTTAGGTAGATACGTAGGCTCCGGGTGGACATTAGACCCAAGGCTCCAGGTAGACATTAGACCCAAGTCCCCAGGTGATCATCAGGCCCAGGTGAAAACTCAGGCCTTAGGTGCACCTCTGGCCTCAGGTGGACACCCAGGCCCCAGGTGATCACCAGTCCCCAGGTGGACACAAGGCCTTAGGTGAACAACAAGACCCAGTAGGCCATCAGGCCCCAGCTGGATACAGTCCCCAGGTGAACACAAGGCCCCAAGAGGGACATAGGCCAAGGCAGACATCAGGCCCCAGGTGGACATCAGGCCTGAGGACGACATCTGGCCCCTGGTGAACATCAGGCACAGGTGTCCAAGCAGACCCTGGGTGGACATAACTGTGTACGGGTCAGGAGATGACCTGAGGGGAGGGTGAGTAGTCAGCAGCCCAGTGGAGTCCTGAGTAGGTCTTATGGAAGGAAGGGGACTAGGGGACAGAACCGTAAAGAAGCGACCTCACTTCCTGGATGATGACCACACGAACAGAACTTAGAACTCTGGTAACCAGGCACCCATATCCTAGAGTCAGCGCCGTAAACAGCTCACTTGGTGGGAGTCGCTCAAGAGAGCAAGATGTTCTCGTGTTGCTTCCCCACTTCGAGAGGTTGCTGCTTCAGGAATGGAGGGAGTGAGAGCCTTTTCCGACGATGCCGAAGAAGGCTCATCCCTCACCCCAGACGCCTGTCGCCCGTTGTAATAAGGCGCATCCAGGTACCACAGGACAGCCTGGGGCAGGCCCTAGCAGGCCAGGCCACACCAGAGATCCCATTGGGGCTGCAGCTGCACACTGTCCTTGTCCAGGAGATTCAGGAGCTCATTGAGGCACAGACACTTGGTGAGGTGGCCTGCAGCCTGGAAGACTTTGCGGGGGCGGTGATTTTGGGCTGGAATTCCCTTAAATTCAGTGAGGTCGTTTCTGTGTTTGGAAATTCCAGTGGAAAGTGACTGAGGCTGGTGACCCTTTCTCCTTTCTCAGCTCCTGGTCCATGTGCAGAAGTAAGAGCACTGCCAGCACCAGCGGCGGAGCCAGAGCCAGCATGGGAAGAGGCCCCTCCAGAGAGAGCACTGGAGCTGGAGGGAGCTCCAGCCAAGGACCAGACCAACGAGGAGCTGCCTGAAATCACGGCACGTACTGTAGCCACTAGCCCTAACCCTGGAACTGAAAGCGTGGCTGGAGAGAGAAGTGGGAGGGAGGGGGTGACCAGCACAGCCCCAGCCAGCAGCTCCCATGCTGCCCCTAGTCCTGGGCACGGTGGCAAACATGCAGGCAGAGAGCAGGGCATTTGGCCTGGCCTCCTGTACCTCGCTGGAGAGAGGCTTCTCTCATTCACTAGAACCACAGTCCTGCTGCTGCAGGTCCGTTTATTCTCCTGATCCTGGTTTATCTGTGTGCAGGAGGTGCCGGAGAGCATTAAAAGAAGGCTGGGAAGAAGAGTTCCAGCAGCTACGCCTGCTCCCAGAGGCAACCTCCTCCTCCAGGCATGGATGCGGGTCCACAGCTGGGCATCCAGGCTGTTTGCCCCTAATGTGCTGCCCGGGACAGGCCCTTAACAGGCGGGCAGTGGGTGAGGGGACCAGGAGGTGGCTCCAAAGGGTAAAGCAAACAAAGCTTTTAACGACAGCCGTTGTGCCCCAGGCTCTCCATGCCACCACCTGCCCTACCATTTATTAATAGTGTTAGAATTACAAGTTGATGAAACGAGATTACAATAAAGTTTGATTTCTGAAACTTCATGCCTTTTTGAACTCCCTAATGTTAGATGGTGTTTTTGAGGCTATCCTGAAAATCTCTGATAGTTGTGTCTTTTGTTGTGGTTGTTTGTGTGGCTGAATTACCATCGAGTCATCTGTTATTGGAAACCTTTCAGGTATGGCTTTTAGAAGACCTTGACCTACTCTTGACTGTTTTGACTCTCTGGTTTATTGTGGAAAGAGGGATGATGTAGGCTCATGTCTCCGGCAGATCAATCACCTTTTGCCATCAAGGATTTGGCATCAGAGTTTCCAAGAATTATGTGTGCAAGTTGATATGCTGCTACTTTAGCTAATCTGGGTGTCAAAACAGAATGCCATAGACTAGGTAGCGTAGAAAATTGATTTCTCACAGTTCTGGAGATGGTAAAATCCAAGGTCAAATTGTCAGCAGATTCCGTGGGGCTGACTTCCTGGTTCATAGACAGCCATCTTTTTTACTGTGTCTTTACATGACAGAAGGGATGAGGGAGCTCTCTGCAGTCCCTTTGAAGGGGCACCAATTCCATTCATGAGGTCCCTGCCTTCATGAACTGAATCACCTGCCAAGGCCCCACCTCCAAATACCATCACATAGAATTAGAATTCAACACATGAATTTAAGGAGGACAATAACATTTGCTTCACAGAATCAGGTCACCCCGCACCATATGCACTCACAGGAAATCTCTAATCTCCTGTTAAGTATTTGCTGGTCCCCTCTGGGTTTAGGGAATTTTTTTTCTTTAAGAAAAATGATCTTTCATGTGGTCCATGGTTTATTCATAGAAAAGCACTGTGAGTTCATACACTTGCTAAAAAGAAGGGCAATTGTGATACGAAAATGAGAGTGAACTCTCTCCCTCTCTTCTTTTCAACCAACTCATTGGACTGAGATGTTATAGGGTCCCTTGGCTGGGCAGTAGGACGTGAGTAGCCACAAACGGCAAATACAACTTCTTGGTCAGTTTGGAGTAGAAAAGGTGACATTTTGTCAACGAAAGAAAAAGGAAAGCAGATGGAGAAGTTCTTAGTTTGCATTCTAGCTATACCACCCCTTCCCTATCAAACCCCACCCCCAGCTAAGGAACTAAGACATAAAAGAGTAAACACCAAGGCACTGGTAACCAACTGACTCTTCTGAATGCTCTTGCTATCTCCTACAATAATTCCAGGCTGAGTATAGGGGTCAGGAAAGTAGCAGGAACATGATGATTCACTGTGGAGGTCAGCCAGGGCTAAGACAGGGTTGCCCACTGGGGCTAGAAATTAGGAAGGGAGAGGCTAAGTGAAGACCAGCCCTAGCCTCCAAGTCAGCAAGCAATGAGACTGTGACAAAAGCAGGCAGAGAAAGGCAGGGGAAGAAAGCAAGTACGGGGTGAGAAGAGAACTGTGCAGTGAAAACAGCCAATCTGATGGCAGAAGGAGACTGGTGCTTAGAAGCTCATTTGGTGAGAGAGAATGAATAGAGGAGGCACAGAGATGGGGAACATTTAACTAGTGAGAGAGATGTAAGACGAATGGGAAGAGAAATCTCGCAAAAAGGACACATTCATGCAGATCCTCAAAGAGGAACACGCAGTCACCCCCACATGTAGAAATACACTCAGTTACACATATAAAAACACAGATGCATGGAGAGCAAGCATACACACAGACACGTATCTCTACACATGCACTCATGTGTGCCCAGATACACACACACTAAACATGCAAGACATGAGAGCATTTACACATAGATATGCATCCTCACATGCAAGCAAATGTTACATTCTCACACAGGTCCCACATTCCAGTGTGCACATATCCACCCAGGTACACAGCCATAGAACTGACATACGTACACATCAACATATAATGTGCACATACAGACAGGCTTGCGCAGATATATCTATGCACGTAGACACATGTACTCAGTCATACAGATACACACACTCTCTAACACAAAGGTGACCAGTGTAGATGAATATTGTGAGCTCAGTGGCTTCCCAGACCTTCATCTTTTCCCTGTTCTTGTTTCAAAGGTGCTCAGCAGACTCCTGGCGAGGCTGTGTGAGGCAGGGGCAGGACCTTCAGAGTCCTCACAGCTTTGTGAGGCAAAAGTCTGAGTCCAGTCCTGGCCTCTGCCGCTCACCCACCACTGGGCTATTAATGCCCTGTCTGTAGGCGAGAGATTCTGCATAGACTAGTCTTGGGATTTTTTTCTAACTGGCCATTTTTCTCCTTGGCACACCCACTATCCCACTGGTAACGGCACACACTCTGCAAGGGAAACCTGAGAAATGGTTGTGAGTCTCCTCGGACAATAAGCATACCCTCCCACCCACAGCTACCTCAAGTGCCCATCAAATCAGAACCAGAATTATAAATACTTACGACTTTACAGTAATTGGCAACACATATACTATAGTACTTACAGTACCATAAATGCATCTGTTTCTCTGGTGAAGCAATCTCTGAGATGGAACAGTGTTCTGTGTTTGCCAAGGGAGACAGGGCCAATGCCCAGGACACGCAGGACATAGGGGCAGAAAGTGGCATATCGTGGGGGTTTCTGGTCGATCTGCAAGGCCCAGCTTCTCCATGAACAGTGGGCTGTAGTGAGAAGCTTGCCAAGGTATGCATATCGACTGGAGTTGGAGTCTCCCCATCCTTAGCCCTGTGGTCCTTTGGCCTCAGCCACAGGTGCTCAGAGTCCTCTCAGGGTGGACAAATGTCTCAGTGTCGTTGGCCTGACCTGATACTACCTGGAGACCCAGGCTGCCGGGCTGGTGAGCTATCTGCTTTCTCAGCCAAAGGGCTCTCGAACCAGCAGCATCAGCTGGTTATAACCACTAAAAAAATCTGTATGAAGAGATACTCTTTTTAAAAAAAAACTATATATAAATTGAAATATAATTCTAAAGGAAATGTCCAAACAACCCAAAGGAAGCAGGAAAAAGAAAACAGAAATAATAAGCAGAGACACAAACAGAAAACAAAAAATTATTATGCCCTAACATATCAGTAAATATATTAAATGTAATGATCTAAATACACCAATTAAAAGACACATTGCCAGAGCAGACTTTTTTAAATGATTCAACTATACAGTGTCTAGAAAAAATTCACTGCAAATATAATGATTACAGGCAGGTTGAAAATAAAAAAATAAAAATGATACATCCTGAAAATATTAATCTACAGGGAACAGTCATTATATTATCAGATAAAGTATATTTCAGCACAAAGAAAATGACCAGAGACTGAGAGGAATATTACATAATGATAAAAGGGTCAATTCACTGAGACGTAGTGAGCCTAAATGTTCATGCACCTTTAAACATCAGAGCTGCAAAATAATGTGAAGCTAAAACTAATAGAACTGAAAGGAAAAATAAATAAATCCACAAATACAGTTGGAGACTTCAACACCTCTCAATAACCCAATTAAAGTAGTCCTAGGAGGGAACTAAATGTAACTAAAATGCTCACATTAGAAAAGAGGAAAGGTCTCAAATCAATAACGTATGCTTCCACCTCTAGAACCTAGAAAAAGAAGCACAAAATATACCAAAAGCAAGAAAAAGAAGGAAATAATAAAGATAAAAGTAGAAATCAATGAAACTGAAACCAAATCAATGAGCTGGTTCTTGGAACAAATTGATAAAATTGACAAACTTCTGACAAGATCAACAAAGAAAAAAAGACATAACGGCACAAATTAATTTCAGAAATAAAACAGGGATACCATTACAGATTCTGCAGACATCAAAAGGATAATTAAGAATACTAATACAATTCTACAAATATTAATTTGACAACATACAGAAAATGGACCCGTTTCACTGAAAAACACAGATAATTAAAATGATCTTATAAATATTAAGGAAACTGAATATGTAATTTTATAACACACACAAAAAAATCTCCGAGCTCAGATGGTTTTACTTAAGATTTCTACCAAGTGTTTAAAGAATGAATGCTAATTCCATATAATCTTTTTCGGAAAACAGAAGAAACGCTTTCCAATTCATTTTATGAAGCTAGTATTACCCTGATACCAAAACCAGACAAACTATATACAAAACCCAAAAATTTGTTAAAAGGGAAAAAAGAAACTATGGACTAATATCCCTCATGAATATACAGTAATTCACCCTTTCTCCCATCCACTGTTCTGCAGTTTCGCTTTCCTGGGTTTGTTACTCACGGTCAGCCACAGCCTGAAAATATTAAATGGAAAATTCCTGAAATAATTTACGAGCTTTAAACTGCATGCCTTTCTGAGTAGTGTGATGAAATCTTGCATCGTCCTGCTCCATCCCAGCTGGGAGGTAGATCCTCCCCTTTGTCCATCGCATCCACGCTGTATACTTCACCTGCCCCTTTGTCACTTAGTAGCCAACAGTTATCAGATCTACTGTGGTGGTATTGCAGTCCTTGTCTTCAAATAATGCTTGTTTTACTTCATAATGGCCCCAAAGCACAAGAGTAGTGATATGGTTTGGCTGTGTCCCCAACCAAATCTCATCTTGAATTGTAACTCCCACAATTCCCACATGTCGTGGGAGGAACCTGCTGGGAGGTGATTGAAGCACAGGGGTGCATCTTTCCTGCACTGTTCTTGTAATAGTGAATGAGTCTCACAAGATCTGATGGTTTTCAAAACGGGAGTCTCCCTGTACAAGCTTTCTCTTTGCCAGCTGCCATCCATGTAAGACATGACTTGCTCCTTCTTGCCTTCCACCATGATTGCGAGGCCTCCCCAGCCATGTGGAACTGTAAGTCCAGTACACCTCTTTATTTGGTAAATTTCTCAGTCTCAGGTATGTCTTTATCAGCAGCGTGAAAATGGACTAACACGAGTAGTGATGGTAGCAGTTTGGATATGCCCAAGAGAAGCCATAAAGTGCTGCCTTTAAGTGAAAGGGTAAAAGCTTTCAATTTAAGGAAAAAAAAAAATTCATATGCTGAGCTTGCTAAGATTTACAGTAAGAAAAAAAATCTATTTGTGAAATTGGCCGGGCGCTGTGGCTCACGCCTGTAATCCCAGCACTTTGGGAGGCCAAGGCGGGCGGATCACGAGGTCATGAGATCAAGACCATCCTGGCTAACATGGTGAAACTCCATCTCTACTAAAAATACAAAAAATTAGCCGAGTGTGATGGCACGGGCCTGTAGTTCCAGCTACTTGGGAAGCTGAGGCAGGAGAATTGCTTGAACCTGGGAGGTGGAGGTTGTAGTGAGCCAAGATCACGCTACTGCACTCTAGCCTAGGCAACAAAGTGAGACTCCATATCGAAAAAAAAAAATAAAGGAAAGAAAGAAAGAAAAAGTAAAAGTAAACTACTTAGTCTTTATAACATAGTAGAACCAGACAGAATAGTAAAGCTCTATGGCCATTTGGTATCAGCTAAAATAGTGGTTCTCAAACTATGTTTCGTAGAAGTATTTCAGAGACCTCCTCTCTGTCAGGCAAAATAGCTCTCCTTCAATGAGTTTTATATATTGGTGTCCTGTGTAAGATTTTTGTTTCAAAAAAAGTGTCCATTATTTGAAAAAGTCAGTGCTTCTCAATACCCTGTTATATCAGCATTTCAAACAGGCAATTCGACTAAGACTGTCCCTCAAATTGCTGTGCCTCTGGCATTGTTGTTCTTCGGGCACCAAAAATCAGTGTCATCTCTCCCATCATCGGAACAATTCTGAATGCCCCCGCACATTTCCAACGTGGCCCCCACCCCCACTGATCTGCCCGTAGTCACTTTGGAGTTAGCACCAAATCTAACAAATCCAGGTCGACAAGTCTGCATTTAAGTGGAGAAAGATTTCCCACAATAGTACTTTGCCTGAAATTGTTCTTGAGTGTTAAAAATGGTAAAAGAAACACTTAAAGGGTGTTTTTTTTGTCATCCAAGTCCAATTCTCTTTAAAAGAAACAATCATCATGGGGACCTCCCACCTTTCCTGCCAGAGAAACTGCTCTCTCCTGGTAAATGAATAGCTCCTGGATATTTCTTGGATATTCATACGACTTAACTCCAGGATGAGAAAGGCTGCCACGATTGTGCCAACATTTGTGCATCTGGTCTACTTGACAATTCCACTTACCATTGTAAAGGAATAAGTTGGCGTTCTGGTATCTCAAAAATAAACATGTAAAAAGATCACAGTGCTTAAAATCCACAATGAGGCCCAAACAGACTGCCACATGGTAAGGGACATCACTGGCTTACACCTTTGGGATCTACTACCCTCTACTGGGGCAATCACCTGAGAAAGGGCAGGGGTTCAGGTGGCACCCCCACTTCCCACAGAAAAACTGCTGTCACATGGTTTTCTTATAAGAATCTGCAAGTGGAAAATGAGTGGAAAGCAAGCCAGAACAGATGTCTAATATCATTAAAGCTGGTTCCAAAAGAATCCAGATCTCAGTTTGGTATATTAATGCTCTATTTATCTTTAAACACAGATGGATATTTTTATTGGTATTACTTTGTTTATCTGGTTTTAAGAAAGGTTAGTCCAGGGGGCAGATGCCTCTGTTACGAGAGTGCATTCCTGTGAGAGAGTCAGAGGAGAGGGGCAGCTTTTTTCAGCAGAACTTTAATTAGGAAAGCCAAAGTTGTATACGTTGGCAGCTCTCGCCTGATTTAATGAGGCCAGTTGCAACAACAAACAGAAAGACAAATAGGACATTGGCAAGCCCAGGGTTTCCCACCTCTTTTCCTCACCAGCCGAAGAGAAAAACAACACACCACTACCACATTCCCAAGTGCAAAATAGACAATGACAGAATCTAAATTCTCTAGAAAGGGATGCTTCACAAACAACTATCACATAAGATAACCAAGAGGAATAGGTCTGTTACCAGTGTCCTAGTTATGAACACGTGGACCTTCCAGAAGCTTCTGGGTAAAGCGATTTCCATGTGGCTTATGGACTTGTATGGCTTTTATTAGATGATAGCCCGGGACCCCAGCGGGGGGATGCCCAGGCTCTGTTTGCAATCGTTACCTCTAAGTTTGCTTTTTTACTGGAGTTGATCTCTAACTTTAGTCTCTCTTTTTGGAGGAGTTAAACAGGATTATGGATCCACATGTCCAGGAAATTCCTTCCTGAATTGGATTAGGAGATTTCATTTGCCTGATGGATCTCCCAGAAATAATTGCTAACATGAACACAGTGTGTGTGCTTTCTTCATCAACAGAGTAACTCCTTATTCCTCATCTTTTTCTTTAATCTTCCTTCTGCCATCCTCTTCAGGCATGAACATATTCAAGTGTATGTGTATCAAGAAAAGAGAAAATGTTTTAACATCCGAAAATTGGAGTTTGAGAGTCACTTCTGCCACATGCCCTGTGACCATGGACACACACTTACCTGCTCCATGTAACAACTCTCCTGCCTTTAAAATAAGAATAAGGCTGAGCATGGTGGCTCACACCTGTAATCTCAGCACTTTGGGAGGCTGAGGCAGGTGGATCACTCGAGGTCAGGAGATCCAGACCAGCCTGGCCAACATAGTGAAACCCCGTCTCTACCAAAAATATAAAAAATTAGCTGGGTGTGGTGGTGCGTGCCTGTAATTCCAGCTACTTGGGAGGCTGAGGGAGGAGAATCGCTTGAACCCAGGAGGTGGAGGTTGCAGTGAGCGGAGGTTGCAGTGAGCAGAGATTGCGCCACTGCACCCCAGCCTGGGTGACAGAGCAAGACTCCATCTCAAAGAAAAAAATAAAAATAAATAAATAATTAATTAAAAAAAAAAGAATGAATGTTCCTATCCCACTCACCTTACAAAGTTGTTTCGAATGTGTGAACTCATTCTGTTCCCTCCAAAAATTCACTCTGCCTCTTGGACATCATATTTCTCCTTCCTCATGTGGGGCTCTTCTTAGCTTCCTCTTTTTCCTCACTCTGGGTATCCATCTACTCTCTCTCCAAAGCTCATCATCTTTCTACTCTGAATTTCTTCTGTTTCAATCTTAGTACCCATGTCTTCTGCTATTGCAGAGACCTCCTCACTGATGTGCCTGCCCAGATCTCTTCTCCTATTCATCTGACACACACTGATCTAGGTGCACCTACCTGATCCAGGTGAACCTGACTGATTCAAAAACACAGTCCTCTATGCAATGGCTTTTAATGGCTCTAAATAGTGTACTATCTTAGTTCGACATATTTTGCTGCATAAAAATAAGATATAGGCCAGGCACGGTGGCTCACGACTGAAATCCCAGCACTTTGGGAGGCCAAGGCGGGCAAATCATGAGATCAGGAGATCGAGACCATCCTGGCCAATATGGTGGAACCCCGCCTCTATTAAAAATACAAAATTAGTTGGGCGTTGTGGTGCATGCCTGTAATCCCAGCTACTCAGGAAGCTGAGGTAGGAGAATAGCTTGAGCCAGGGAGGGAGGCGGAGGTTGCAGTGAGCCAAGAGGGCGCCACTGCACTCCAGCCTGGTGACAGAGTGAGACTCCATCTTAAAAAAGAAAAATCTCAGCCCACTGGTCAAACATGCCCCGGAGGTCTCACTCCCCATTTCCACTATGATTTCTCTAACCATTCCCCTTCAAACAAGGTATGCTTTAGCCAATTTGAAACTCTGTTAATCCACTCATATTGCTAGTAACATTCACCCTTTGCTTCTACTCCTAGCACTCCCTCTTGCTGAAATACCTTTTGGATTCCACTCCTCTACATGTTCATGTCCTCACAAGGCTCGGCTCTATTGGGTCCTCCATTAAGCCATTCGATTTTCAAGGCTACAGGAAGTAGCTCTCCTCTTTACCACATTATCCGTATATCTCTTTTTGCACTTATTTTTACTTTCCCCACCATTTATTTAGTCCTAATGGTTATTTACTGCATGACCGTGTTGGGTCCTGTGTCTGATTCACTTTGCAGCACCTGGAGCAGCTAGCACACTGTGGGCCCTGCGTAAGTACACCGTGGTGATCAAGATGTGCCATTTTGAGCCTGAACAAGTGTTCACTACTGTGAGGCTGGTATGTCTGGACATGTCTCACCTTTCCAATGCCAACTTGCATTTTTAAAATGACGTGCCCTCTGGAAAATAACCCATTACAAAAGAGAGAAGGTGAGGCAGAAAAGCTTGGACCCATAACAAAGCCTTAGTCATGGCAGTCATGGCAGCAAATGCTTGGATTTTTGAGTAGAGTATTATAATGTTTGCCTTTCAGCTTTGTCTGCTCACCCAAAAACTGTTTACTAAAAAAAAATCTAGAAGGCACTGGAACATAGCTGCACAATTTTAAAGTCCCTATGAAAATGCTGGGAGTGGAGAGAAAACATTCTCCTGACTGTACAGAATGTGAAAAGCTCTTGACCCTCAGAGGTCTCCAGAGGACGTGGGGCTGTTGCTTTGGTGCCTTGAGGATGCAGCTCATCAAAAGTCTGATGGTAGCAGGAGAAAGGAAGAAAAATAATGCAGATGCTACATGAGACCTAACAGTTTATTAGTGAACCCATTTGAGATACCTCTGGAGACCTCCCAGAAGTAATTTGTGCAGAGCAGGAAATTTGAGAGCCTAGAGACCCTGCAATAGCAGGTAGAGATGAGAGCAAAGGAAACACAGATAACATACTGCAGGAATGAGGAGATAAGAGAATTAAGTGATGTATATAAATGAATTTGTCAAGGCACATACAGCCCCCAGGTTTAGGTTGTTATGATGAATTGGTTCTGTGGGTTTCTCTTGGTTACATAAACACAGTCTCACAATCTTGGGTCTTGTCACTCTAGAATTAACCTGTCTCCCAGGACCTCCGTTCCCTCTTACATTAAATTTTCCATTTTTTTCGTCTTTTTCTTTTTATGCGTTACATCTATTTGCATCATCTCCTCTAAGGTGGCTATAAATATGTCTACTGAGCCATGGGGACTCATGTCACCAGCCACAAGGACCTTTTGCTTGTCATTGCAAATATTGGCTATCAGATGTGAGCAAAGAGAGAAAAAACGTGACGTATGTCCCTGGAGTCTGGGAACTGGTTGAAATGGTGGTAGGGGAGGGGGAGAAGAATTGGAAAGATAGACTATCCTGCTTAACTGCTCCTCATTTCTCATGCCTGATGATTATTAATTACATTTGTGCATTGATACAATTTGCTAGTTTTCTGAGTAGGCGAATTGCGCTTAGTCATCTTGGCATTTTTAAATATAAATGAAAAATCACCCAGTGCTCCAAGCCAGAAGCGAGAAAGATAAATAACACCAGGAAGCTGGTCGTTGCCCGTCTGTCATAAAATTTCATTAGTTTTGACAGCCTGTACAACATAAGCAATGAATGAATGCTAACTACACTTCCTCCTCTGTCAGCTCCCATAAGTCACTGGTCCTTCACAGGCCAAAGGAGGTGGCCCTGATGGGGTGTTGGGATGAAAAGACACTGAAGCATTAGCAACTATAGAACCCAGGATGCACAGAAGAATTCCACTGAGGCCGAGAATCTGAGCAGGTTGGACTGAGTTGAGTGTGGTTTAGGGAAGACACATCCTCCATATTCATTACTGCACCCAGAGCCTCCCTGGCCATGTGGGACAGCCTCATTACTGCGTTCTGTTCTAGGACTCAATCATTAAGGAAATATTTCTTGGTACTTCCATGTGCCAGGCACAGCACTGACTGCTAGAAATGGAGGAATTCATGCAACAAATAGGTCAGAGGGTGATAAGTGCCAGGGAGGAAAACAGATCATGGAAAGGTGAGAGGAGTCCCCGGCCAGGACTGATTAAAGGCAGCGGCAATTGCTTCCTTGACTATGGAGCCAGGTGGGCATTTGAGTCTCAGAAATCGAGGACAGCATCAGGTCCAGAGTCTCTTGTGATGACAGACACAAATGAAGATAAAAGGTGCTTCTGCTTCCTCTTCCCTTTTCCTCCCTTCCTGAGCAACTCAGCCTCAAAACTATTAATTGGGACAGCACAAGGTCACACCTATGCAGGAAAGGGAGGAAAACATGGTGGCCTATGAGTATGAGTCCAAGCAGGGTGAAAAGGGCATCCCCATGTTGGAGTGGCCTCGCCTGCATTGTCTGAGCCTGAGGTTGGGTGTTAAGAACCTATGGGCAGGATGGGGAGGGCTCCTGTGCATGCCTTTAGGTGACAAACAGTGGGGACTCAGAGTGTGAGCAGAAAAGGAGAGTCCCCTAGAGAGACAGTGAGGCATGGGGTGTCAGCCCCAGCAGGGTGAGGAGAGCACCTACTCACAGAGTGGCTTAGCATTGGGGGTCAGAGCCCCAGAGGCAAGAAAACAACTTCTACAAAGGCATGGTCTGGCCTGTGGTGTCAAAGCCCAAGTAGGGTAAGAAGGCGTCACACATGGGAAGGTGTGGTGCAGAGTGCCCAGACCTGAGCAGGAGTGAAGAGGGTACCTCTGCAGAGGAGCAGACTGAGTAAGCTGCCAGCGCCCTAGCAGGGTGAGGAGGGTGTCCACCTGGGGAAGGGTCAGCAGCAAAGATGGATGGGGGGTTTGATCACATAAAGAAGGATCAATCAGATGAGTAAATAAGACGTGGAGATGTACTTTCTCACTGTCAGAGAAGGAAGATACTCACAGGAGAAAGAAAGAAATCAAAAATCAAACCTGTATGGTTGGATTGCAATGGGAGGAATCAGATTGAACACACAGTTTTCAATTACAGACATAGACGTAAATACAGATGTGTGCACACTCCCTTGCTGAGAGAGCCTCAGAGCAAGGACAGCCGACAGAGAACAAGTGTACCTTTCTTTCTCATGGAGTGGTTGAGCTGGTCACATAACAGCCTAGATGCAGCATCTTTACATCACAAAGGGAGAGGCTGCCTGAGAATGAGGGGTTGACACAGAAGAAGGAGAATAAACAGACTGGATCTCAATGACATCATTTGACCCCCTGGATTCAGCCATGCCTGAAACCCATTCTGTAAGGGAACAAATTTCTTTTTTTCTTTTTTTTTTTTTTTGAGACGGAGTCTCGCTTTGTCGAGTGCAGTGGTGCAATCTCAGCTCACTGCAATCTCCACCTCCCAGGTTCAAGCAGTTCCCCTGCCTCAGCCTCCTGAGTAGCTGGGACTACATGCGCGTGCCATACCTGGCTAATTTTTTGTATTTTAGTAGAGACGGGGTTTCATCATGTTAGCCAGGATGGTCTCAATCTCCTGACCTTGTGATCCACCCATCTCGGCCTCCCAAAGTGCTGGGATTACAGGCATGAGCCACTGCGCCTGGCCATTAAATTTATTTTGTTTTCTTTTCTGGTTTAAGCCAAGGTGAATTGAATTTTTGTCACTTGCATTGGAAGGAGATTCAGTTATTAATACCCCCAATTAATTCCTCATGATTGATTTTAATTGATAACAACCTCAAATACTAGGGATGATTCCAAGTCACCCGAGTTTTTCTTAAGGCATTCTATCCAGCCATTCATTTATCAAATATTTATTATATGTCTTCAACTTGCTTGACACTGTTCTAAGTTCTTGTGTTATGTAGAGAAAAAGTGCTGACAAGAACTCTTGACCTGTGGGATTTACTCTAGGGGAGAAAACCAAGAAACAAGAAACATAAACAAAATAAGTAGAAGGGTTTAAATGCCTAATGGGGGTGAGAAAGAGTTTTTTTTTTTTAAAGTATAGAATGGTAAGGGGGTGACAAGCATTCTGGTGCAGGAGGTGGGACTTGCATTTTTAAGTAGAGTTGTCAGAGTAGAATACAGTGAGAAGCTTACTATCTGAACAAATATTGAAAATAATGGAGTTTGAATATATAAGGGGGAAGAGCATTCCAGATGGCAGGAAGAGCCTGGGTAAAGGCCCTGAGGCAGAAACCTGTCTGGTGTGTCCAAAGAACAGTCAGGAGCCCACTGTGGCTGGAGCAGTGTGGGGGCGGGACAGGGAGCCACGGGCTCATAGAGGGACAGGTTGAGACAGAGCAGGTAAGGTCTTAAGGGCATTTTAAGATGTCAGCTTTGACGCTGATTGAAAGGAGGAGTCATTACATAGTTTTGAGCAGAAAAGTGCACGGTCTTAGGTGTTAAAAGGATCATCCTGGCTATTAACAAAAAATGGACAATGGGGATTTGGTCAGGGAGGGTAGGAGCAGAGAGAACAGGTAAGAGTAACCCAGGTGAGAGATGCTGGTGGCTCAGACCAGAGCTACATCCCAGACAGAGTTGATCCCAGGGAGGGGTCAACAATGATTTTTAGGTGTTGTGTCTGAGCAACTATAATGATGAAATTGCCATTAACTAAATGGGTGATGCCACAACAGGAGAAACTTAAGGGTAGAAGATCAGGAGATGAGTTCTGAACAAGAGTTGAAATGTCTACTAGACATCCACATAGAGATGTTGAGTAGCAATTATATGTAGGAATTCGGAGTTCTGAAGATAAATCAGAATGATTTTATTAAACTTTTGTAAATGTTTACAAAATTAGCTGATCTCTAACATCGTTGGAGATCAGTTTCTAAAAACAAAATTATAAAGATTAAGCTGTTTCTTTGTTCACAAAACCTTAGTTTGTAATTCCCAGTGTTCTGGCCTCCACTACACCTTCCTCCACCAATGGTTCTCAGAGTGTGGTCTCAGCACCCCCGGGGGAACCTCAAACTTTTTCAGGAGACCTGGAATATCAGCATTATTTTCGTAATAATATGAAGGCATTATTTCTCTTGTTTTCATTCACATTCACTCATGAGTACATGGTGGAGTGCTCCAGTGACCACATGACATGTAATATCCATAGATGGAATACAGAAACAAATATGAGAATACTGCTGTATTTTACTAGATAGACATTTCCTAAGATTTGCAAAATGAAAAAACAATGCCCCTCTTCTTGCTAACGATGTTTATTTTGGTAAATATGGTATTTTTAAAGTAATTCATGTTAAAATGCAGTAGGTTTATTATTGTGACTTTAATTTTTTTCTTTTTTGAGATGGAGTGTCACTCTGCCACCCAGGCAGGAGTGCAGTGGTGTGATCTTGCCTCACTGCACCCTCCACCTCCCAGGTTCAAGTGATTCTCCTGCCTCAGCCTCCTGAGTAGCTGGGATTACAGGCACCTGCCACTACAGCCGGCTAATTTTTGTGTGTATTTTTAGTAGAGACAGGGTTTCACCATGTTGGCCAGGCTGGTTTTGAACTCCTCACCTCAGGTGATCCACCAGCCTCGGCCTCCCAAAGTGCTGGGATTACAGGCATAAGCCACCGCGCCCTTGTTACTTTTAAACAAATCTTTCAAAATTTTAATATCTAATATAATCAGTCCCAATAGATTTAATGCACCTAGATAAAAAGTTTTTGGGGTCCTCAGTAATTTTTAAGAGTATAAGTGGATCCTGAGACCAAGACATTTGAGAACCATGCTATTCTGTACCCTGCCTGCGGGATTCTCAATGAGACAGCAGCCTTCGGTCACTGGTGGTGACCGCAATCCCCGCAATCCCTCCTTAGGCTGTCTCTGCTCCAGTAAATTTATATTTGTGTACATGCACGACTGTCTACAAGCTAAAAGAGGTTTAAAAATACAACTGATATCCTTTCTCTGTAATGAGCTTCAGGTTTGGGTGAAATGGAAAATCAGTCCTTACAAAAAACTTTCCTTCAGAAAAGGAAATGGAGAAAAACTAACCCAGTTTACTTCACAGCTGGCTTCCCAGATGATCTAGAGCAAATTCCCCTCTTTGAGGGGAAGCCCCCCTTCCCCTCAAACCCTCCTCTGTAAAAATTAGTAACGGGATGGAAATGATCCTCTCACAAACATCAACATCCAAAACATAAGGATTAGTTATAATTTTGGCAAGGAAACTCCCAAAATGAATCAAGCATGTTAATTTTTAAGCTATGTATAAAATAATAACGACCTAAGACAAATACAAATTTATACCATGAGCAATTCTTCAGTACCATGCAGCATCTTTAGTCTTTTCCTGTTGGTTTGGGAATATGTATTAGTGGCTCTTTTTAATTACATCTTGTATCCTTACAGCTTTCTAACCCATTATGACTTTAGTAACCCCAGAATGACATGGAACAGGTCTACAGCCTACACAAACAGTTCTCTCCAAATAAAGTTTTCACATTTCTTTCCAAGAAACTAATAAAGTGATGAAATGATTTAAAAATCCCCTACCTCCCCACAATAATAAGTATAAAATGCATACACGCATATTAGTTTATTTCTTGAAGTGATATGTCTTATAAATAACATTAAGTTTACTTTCAATACAAGGGATTTCTGATGCAAAAAATCACATTCCAGCCGGGCATGGGGGCTCACACCTGTAATCCTAGCACTTTGGGAGGTTGAGATAGGCGTATCACTTGAGGTCAGGAGTTCAAGACCAGCCTCGCCAACAAGGTGAAACCCCGTCTCTGCTAAAAATGCAAAAATTAGCCAAGCGTGGTGGCTCATGCCTGTAGTCCCAGCTACTCGGGAGGCTGAGGCAGGAGAATCTCTTGAACCCAGGAGGCAGAGGTGGCAGTGAGCTGAGATACTGCCACTGCACTCCACCCTGGGGGACAGAGCAAGACTCTGTTTAAAAAAAAAAAATCACATTCCATTAACAGCATACAATGCAGGCTCTTGCCATTTTTAGCTAAAATACAAAGAAGAAGGAAAGAAATCATCAGAAGGAATATCCACACATTCCTGAATAAGAGAGATGGGCACACAACCTAATGTCAGAATCTGGTAGGAATCACCATTTGCTACAAAATAGACTGACAAGAGCAAGGATTTTGCCTCAGACTTTGCCTCCTGAAGCAGAGATAAACTAAAAGGTAAGATATAAGTTAAAACTTTAAATGTAAATTGGCTTAAAATATGAAATCCAATTGTATACTGCTTAAAAGAAATACAAATAGGCCGGGCACGGTGACTCACACCTGTAATTCCAGCACTTTGAGAAGCTGAGATAGGTGGATCACCTGAGGTCAGGAGTTCAAGACCAGCCTCGTCAACATGGTGAAACCCCATCTCTACTAAAAATACAAAAATTAGCCAGGCATGATCGTGGGTGCCTGTAATCCCAGCTACTCTGGAGGCTGAGGCAAGAGAATCGCTTGAACCCGGGAGGCAGAGGTTGCAGTGTGCCAAGACCGTGCCATTGCACTCCAGCCTGGGCAACAAAAGCAAAACTCCATCTCAAAAAGAGAGAGAGAAAAAAAAAAGAAATACAAATGTATCACAGTAGCACACAGAAGAAGTAAAGCATAAGTAAAGGAATAAAAAAAAGAAGTGGTCCCAATACAAATATTGATCAAAGAATTCTAGACTAAATATATAACACTTATAGAGCCATAAGTTGATAGAGTCTTTTGGGTGTTCAATTTAGCAATATGCATCAGTATTTAGCTTTAAAACTGGATATATATACTGACCCAGCAATTTCATTTTAGGACATTTTTCTATTTTCATAATTTATAAGAAAGTGTCCACATTTATAAGATAAATGTGGGAAAAGATTGCCCTGCAGGTATGTTCATCATAGTCTTCTTTCAAAAGACCTGTCTGGAGGTCAGCGATGTGGCCCACCACGTTGATGTGGTTCCCCTAAGGAGGTCCACGGGCTGAAGCATGAGTCCCAGTACCCTGTTCAGCCTAGCCCAGCCCTGACACTAAGAACGTCTTCTTTACTCTCCACTTATTCATGGTAAGATGATCTGGACCTTCTATATTGACCCCCAAACACTTTTCCATACCAGAGGGGCCTGTCACCATTAAAGCATTGTCTTGCTTCCTATCCAGAACTTTCTACTTGTACAGTGATTATTTTGTAAATTGTCAAGTATATCCAACACACAGACAGGCACATCTGTACACATGCATGCAATCACACATAGAGAAAAAAGCTGGAAATAAAAGAGAGCCAAAAGATAATGGCAAATAATTTATGAAATATAGCAATGCTACATTTGAATTTGAAATATCAATATGAGCCTAAAATATGTGTGTATATTTCCTAGTTCTGTCCTCTGAAGGAACCAGAAACACTGGCACCTCAATAGCAAGGTGCATGAAGCTCCCTGATCTCCATTCCTAAATGACCCCTAACAGAAACCAGGGGTCACTGGAGAAACAGTCAGGGCAGGAAGCTCACCATGTGAGCCTGAAAAGTCTTGCTGGATCAGAAAGCAAAGGAGTGTTTGGGCTAGTGGGACTGTGCAAGAAGTTCCCAGGAACTGCTTGATGAAGCTCCCACTGGCCATATTTTAAGGACAATTTGAGTGTTAGAAAGAATAATAATTACACTTAGATAAATAAAAATCCATGATCTCATAGTGACCATAGTAGAGAAGAAAAGGAAAATGACTTTTGACTTAGATGATAAAACTATGAAGAAAAACAACAACAACAACAAACCCTGAGTACTGTAAAAATCAAGGTAGTTGGTTTCCTATAAGGAAAGGAAGAAAGAGCTGACTAAAGGTTAATGCAATTCACTCTACCTGTTTTATGGAAGTTTCTGTTTGTATCTATCTTTTTAAATAAACAAACAAGAACACTAATGAATTAAATCTGCCACAAAATAATCTATTAAAAAAGACTAGAAAGGTGAAAGATCAAAATTCCATAGTTGATAGAGTTACAGATGATTTTAAATTCTCTTCCTTTTGTTTCTTTTTTTTTTCTAATTTTCTACAGTAAGTATGTATTACTTTAGTAACCCAAAAGTAACAAAGGTATGATGTAACCTACCACACATCATGTACACAAGGCTGGCAGAGGCCGCACAGAGTAAGTAGAACACATCATGTATCCATCACTCTTTCATGATTTAATTATATGCACTTCTATTTTTTCTCAACCTGCCTTTCCACTTTCTTTCTTTTTTCCGAGACACTATAGAGACAGAAATTTAGTTACAGGTGGCTGGATTAAGCACAACTCTTTGGTTAATATGCTTGAAATACTTTATACAGATCTGAGTTTCATCTTCAAAGCAATATAAGAGAAGAAGATATGAAAATGTATGAGATGGCAAAATAATGAGACGTAAATTTTTTTCAATACCAAAATATATCTGGAACTCCTCTTCATCTTTAGAGTTGATGGCACATTTCTTCAGGAGCTGCGATAGCGTAAATCTTTAAGCTTTGAGGTTGAATTTCATTTTTGGAAACAACCGAAAATCATCCAGGGCCACGTCTGATGAATAAGGTGGTTGATGAAGCAGGAAATGATTTTTTGGTTAAAAATGAGGTGCAATTGTAGAGTCATGGGATAGAAAATATAAACTAGTTCGGAAGTAATTCCAAAGTGGAATTCTTTAAGCATTTTGAGGCACTTTAGTGAGGAAAAAGAAAATGGAGAGCCTCCCTTAGTGAGTACTTTGAAAGAAAACTCATTCATCATTATCATTCCCTATCCATTTCTCTCGCCCAGTGAGAATATAACAGCCTCCGGCCCCATACATCCTGAGGCTGCCACCAATCTTGCCTAGGGAAACCTCCTCACTCTGTACAACTGAGTGCCTTTACTTGTTCTAGGAAATAGTTTGAAATTATCTGTCTTCTTCTCAAGGAATTGAGTCCATTCATTCATGATGGTCAGTTCCTCTACATTAAATTTTAATTAGAGGATGGGCTTCCTAATTTCCCCGGCCAGGATTGTTAGCAATTATTCCAACATCTTCCATGCTCTCGTTAACTAAAATCAACCAAATGATGTGTACGAAGTCTCTGGTTGGGTGATCTCTTCCTAAGATGAAGTTCTACACCTGGGGTCATCTTTCACCCATAGTCTTCTCTGTGGATCTGCAATCTGGGGGCCGGAAGAGCCAGTATCATTCATGCCAGAACGTGCCTCTTGTAGCTTTTGCCTCTGAGCAGTTTTTTCTAGATCAGAGATCCAGTCCACCAACATCTCAGGGTAGCCTTTCCAGCAGGGTGCTCAGAGGCAGAGATGGGAGAACACCAGCAGACCAGCAGGCCTAGTCCCACAGTCTTTGGACTCTCTCAAGAAAAGAGATGAGGGCCCTGCAGGGTGACTGGCCTGGAGAGGAAAAAAATCACACTAGGTCCTGAAATCCATCTCCTCCAGTCAGTAAACTTTTAAAAGCAGAATATCACAACAATAACAAATGAACACTAAATAGGTAAATTTCAGCCTAAAGATCCAGTCATGCAGTAAAAACGCTAAGTAAAGTTTCAAAAACAATATACAAAGGAGTGGGTGAGGAGCATAAGATTGTAAAAGCCACATGGGCTGGAAATTCACTTACCTCGGCTCAGTATGCACTGTTGGTTGAACTTGGTGCTAGTCTCAGCAAACAGAATTAATTTCAAAGGCTCCCTTTTTTGACAAGCTAAATTTATAAACACGGCTATTTGCTAATAAATGTGACCTTTAAATCACATTACTCTAAATACAGACTTACTCTGTGTACAGGCTAGGGGCGGAAAGCCTGGAGAAAATCCTTGAAGGAACTGAATAAGCTCTCCTCAACCACTCAGACCTTTAGCAGACCTCAAATGGCCCATTTCTGCTCAAGACTTCACCCATTCTTCCATTTATTCAGGAAATCCATTTTTAATCTCTCAATAACTAGTAGGCATCAGGTGCTAAATGAATACTGTAGATACAGAAATTAATAGAACACATTGTCTTCAAAGACTTTGCATTTGCAGCCACAAATAGCCACACTTACACAAACAGTATCAGTTCTGTAACACTTGAGACACACAGGGTATACATTTTCTGGATAAAGTCATACTTTGAAGGGGAAGAGGGTCATCTCACCTGTGACAAGACAGACAGGAAGGCTTTGAAGAGTTGACTTTTGATTTGGTCCTGGAAGGATGATTATTTTTTGGCAAACAAAGAAAAGTTGGAGATCATTCCCAAAACAGGAAGAAGCATGAGTACAGCTAAGGAACAAGAGTGGATTAATATTTATTAAGCACCTACTGTGTACAAGGTACTCTGCTATCTCTAAAGGCAAAAAGAAAAAAAGTAAAGCTAGTTTAATCAGAGTGGGTTATTAGATTGTTTGGAAAGGAAAATGTTCATAACCTCAAATAGCTGTGGTACCAAAACTGCATAAAGCCAAAAGTAGTAAAATGGTAGATTATACTACAACCGAACAACCTTTAAAAGACTGTCAGGCCATTCAAAAGCTTTCTATGATCTGTGACCCAAAATGTAGGAGTTGGGTGAAAAATAAGGGAGAAAAGGTAGTTAAAAGTAATCTTATAAGTATCTTGAATGCCCAAATTAGACACATATAGTTTCGGTTGAAGGCATTGGAAGTTGTTAAGTTTTTGAGTGTGGCCACAACTGTTACTAGATGTTTGAGAAATTAATATAGCAGCAAGGTAAATATACTGATAGACCCAAATGAGAGAAGATTGGAGAAAGGGAAACCAAGTATGTTTGGACATGGCTTTTGTTTAACATTTATGTACTAAGTAGTGTTTTCTGGGCTGTTTCTGATTCCATTGCACATTATATTATGGCATTCCCTGTTTCCTCCCCTTGTTCCCTTGACACTGCCAGCAGCCTGTTCATTTCTGCTATTGTACTTTTCATCCTCTTTGCTATCTAAAATAGCTCATTTCTGGCTCTTCAACCCCAAAGCGTTTTCCTGAAGGGATTCCTAAGAAAGTGGAAGTGGCTTCCAAGCAACATTTTATTTCGAGAAGAAAGCTGCAGAAGTTTAAAGGTGCTGATTCAGGTGCTCTTGATGGGATTTGGCCTTAGCCCTGACTGTGGCTCTGTCTTCCCTGAACATGGCGCTGGCTTGGGAAATCCCAGGGGGTAGGGTGGATTTGGTTTAAAGAGAAGGTAGTAAAATGTCCTGGGTTGTCTTAGTGTTAATGGTCTTGTAATAGGCTGACCTATTAATCTGGGACTGTATATAAATGTGGTCTTTCTTTACAATAAGCTGGGACCACAGGTGTAAAATGCTCAGGACAGCCTCACCTCTTGGCTGTGGGTGGGAGAGCCTGAGGGTCTGCAGAGGAGCTGGGCCCAGCCTTGGCTGGCACTCCTCTCCAAGACCCTGGGGCCCATTTCCTTAGAGCTCCTGACTCCAAAGTCTCTATTACCAAACTGGAAGGAATTTCCCCTTCCTCCACCCTCTTCCTACCACATTTCCCAAACCTTTAGTCATGGGAAGGGAAGACTGCCTTCTGCACGCAGCCACTGATTGACTTGAGCCAGGCTCGGTGAATCAAAAATGGGCACCAACCCTGAATCAGACCAATTAAGACCTGCATCTCAATTCCAAGACTTCCTCTTTCTTACTAGGTTTGAGGAAGAAGCTTCTCCCAGCCAGGCAGTTCTTCACCCCAGAGGCAACCAGAGTTACTAGGTTTTTTGCATTTTTTTTCTAGAGATATATTATAGGCATGAGGGCAGGGATGTTTGACTGTTCTGTTCACTTCTGCATTCCCAGTACCTGAAACAGTATCTGGCCCAAGGTAGTTAAATATAGAGAAATAAAGGAATGAATAATTGTTTAAGGGTTCTCAGTATCTTAAAGGGAGAGAGCTTACCAAGAGCTGTGGCCAGGATCAAGTCTTGCCGGAAGCCAGTGTGCTTCTCAACTTCCAACCACATGAACCAACACATTCCTTATTTTGATCAATTCAGTTTTAGTTGGAATTCCTGTCACTTGCAATTATGTGTCCAGATGGATACAGGAAGGTTGGTTAATGGTCAGCTCATGAGGAAACAGCGCTATGGGAATGGCTGTCTACAAACAGACAGCGGGCTTAGTAGGGAAGAGTTTTTTCTGTTTGTCTGGTTCTGGGGAGATCATTTCTATTTTGGAGGTGACTAAGTGTCAAATGGCTGTGTGAGGGATCTGGACATCAGCCACAGTTTGGGTCAGTTTTAAGGCAAGCAATCCCATTCTTCCTTTTTGTCAAATGAATTCAGACCCTCTGACTGAATAGGTTGGTGGGTTATTCAGGTTGGGGAGACTTGGATGGAGAGAAAAATTGGAGGAGTTCCTGCTTTGAGCATCTTCCAGGCAGACGCAGTTGACTGAGGGGAACCGTGGGGCAATTCTGTTAGAGCAAAGGCAATGCACCTAGTCTTCAATGAACTGGTGTTCAGCACACCACACCACAGCAGGAGACTGCAACTGGGACAGGCCAGGGAAGCTATTTCCCACGTGCCAGGCAGTGGGGAGATTCCAGGCAGAGGCTTGGGTGGCCAGGGGTCTGCATTACTGCGGGAGGCAGGATTATGTGAGCGTGAAGGGGTAGGGGCCAGGCTGAGGCAGCCTGGGTCTTCCACTAGAGCTGAGACCAGCAATTGAGATATTGGTGACCACAGGCAAAGGGAGAAAAGGGGACATGAGAAATGCAAGAGGTACTCCCCTCGAGTGAAGGCACCATCTTGTCCTCAAACTGGGACCCCGGGAATATCCCAGGATCTTCTCTCACCCCAATCAACCCTGTGGAGTTTCCTCTGCTCTCCCTCTCCCTCATCTGCCCAGATTGAGACCCATTATTGCTCCCCTGGTCTTCCCAGTTCTTCCCATCCACCTTCTGCTCTGTGGCCTGGATTTTCTTTCTAAAGCACAAACATGATCATGCTACTTTCCAGCTTTACTCTTCAATGGCTCCCTATTGCCCTTAGGGTAAAATCCAGGTGACTTAGTTGGGCAAACATAAAGTTGGCCAGACCTGGTCCCTCCGCTTCTGTCTTCAACGTCATCCTCCAGCTCTTCCTGGCCCCTACCCTCCAGCCATGCAGAACTGCGAATGCTCCCCAAACACTCGATGCCCCTTCACCCTGGGCCTTTGCTCACCCTGCTCTCTGCTTGAAGTGCCTTCTCTCCTCTCCACACTCCCTAGTAGTGTTTGGCCTAATGACCAATCGCCTATGCTGAACTATTTCCTTTGAGACACAGAAACACAACTGCGGTGATGCGTAGAGGCTAGACTATCCCATTAAAAAAAAAAAAAAAAAGAGCCATGGGCTGGGTTGAGTGCTCGGTTTGGCTCAAGTCCCCTTATAGAGTCAGGGCCTATGGCCAGACCAGCCCTGTGACAGAGATGGAGCCCGGAACGAAGGACCCTGAGAGCCAGATCAAGGGACACAAGAGCCAGGATCATGGAGAAGCGGATGTTGAGAAGCCCCCAGCCAGGCTGCACAAAGGCAGCCCCGAGTCAGGTGGCGGGTCCTGAGAGTGTCACAGGCGAGGTTGGAGGATTCTAGGTTAGGAACGGGGTTTGGAGGCGGGGCGTGGTGGGGAGGGGAAGGCTCCTTCTACTCCCACCTCATGGCTGCATTGCCTCTCTAGGAAATCTCCGGAGTGAGCTGCCGGGGGCTGGGAATATTCGGGTGCATCTCGCTCCCCGACACGAGGCCTCACACATAATCTCGTGCTCAGTGGGCACAGGAAAGCTGGCTGCTGGGCGGAAGGTGGCTCTCCTCTCAGTGGGTCTCTGTTTTGGTTCTTGGCTCCTTGCTTTCCGTGTTTGTTGAAGCTGGGGAGGGCCGGGGAGCTTGTCTGGTGTGTGTGGCTTATCTTCTCCAGATTGCCTTGGTCACCTTGCCTCTCTTTGGACGTTTGGGGTTGGGTGGGGTGCGGTTACTCAACCAAGAACTTTGCTTTGCCTCGCCCACTGTGTGCTGTGCGGTCGTCGCCCCGCTCTCTCCTGAATCCCCGGCTCTGGCCCCGCTTTGCTGAGTGGGGAGCCCTCAGCCAACAGCAGCTTCACAGCGCCCCAGCCTGCAGCGCCCCCTGGCTGCCGGCTTGTGAGGAAAGACAGGCTTTTCCCACGACCCTGGAACCGCACCCTCGTTCCCTGAATGGGGCCCACCTGCCCTCTTGACCGTCTCTGCAACTGGGAGTCCTTATTGTCTTGGCTTCTACTTCACAGGCAGGTCCCCAATTTATAAACCGGGAATGGTTCCCTCATTTACAGTGGCCTGGATGCATGATGCTGGTGCTCAGGAGGTGAAGCCTGAGCTCCTATCTGGTGGGAATGAGTTAAAGCAAAGCCTTTCGCAGCAGATGATGAGGGATGAAGATGGAGACAGACACTAGATTCTCTGCTAATGCATTTAAAAAGTAAAAATATTGGTCAAGAATCCAACTTAATTTACTGGGCTGAAAACTCTGTTACCAAGTAGTTAAGTCAAGGTACCCCTGAAGATACAGAAAATGATGAGAATTGATGAGTCAAACTAGGAAGAAATAGTCACTTGCCTTGGTTCGACTTTGGCAGTTTGCTTCACGAAGCAGGCAGAAACGTGCACCTGTTCCAGATTCAGTCACAAGGGGCAGGCATGTACCAATCTCCTCCACCTTCAAGTGCTCCCGCCACCTCCACCTCCCACCATGCCATAAAAGGTACTCATTCATTCCTTTCATCATTGATGGAGCACCCATCACATGGTCATTTATGGATTGTCTTCTGTTGTAGGTGCCTGTGGAGACAGCAGTGAGAAACAGACATTTCTGCCCTACTGAGTTTACGGTTCAGGGGTGGTAGTCGGTAGTCAATAACAAGTAAGTGAAATGTGTATGTCACATATTAATAGGTGCTATGGGAAATGAATATGTCAGGAATGACAGTGGCAGTGGAGGGGGGGTGGAAGTTTGAAGTTAGAAAAGGCAATTCCAGAAACAAGTAGAAGCAGTGGGGTGGTGGCCTGGAGGCAGTGGAGTGCATTCTGGTTAGTGCAGCCTGGGGACAGAGTCCTGAAGTCGGGAGTGGGAACAGTGATTGCACCAGCCAGATAAGGACTATACAGAAGCCATCTTTTCTCATGGAACCACAGGTCATCAATACCTTTCCAAATCCATTCATTCTTTATCCCAGGCTAACAGGCCGTTTCTCTCTGACCACAGGGACCTCATATAACCCAGACGGGGTTATTCTTTTATTTATTCAGGAAGAAGCATTTATTGAGTGCCTACTCTGTGCTAAGCATTGTTCTAGAAGTTGGAGATAAAGCAATGCAAAGATACAGTCCTTGCCTTCATGGAACTTATACTGCAGGGAAGACAGACATTAAATAATGAGATATGTAAATAGACATAGAACATGAAATAGTGTTAATTGAGGTCAGGAGTTGGAGACCAGCCTGACCAACATGGTGAAACCCCATCTCTACTAAAATACAAAATTACCCGGGTGTGATGGTACCTGTAATCCCAGCTACTCTGGAGGCTGAGGCAGGAGAATCGCTTGAACCCGGGATGCGGAGGTTGCAGTGAGCCGAGATCGCACCATTGCATTCCAGCCTGGGCAATAGAACGAGACTCCATCTCAAAAAAAAAAAAAAAAAAAAAAAAAAAAAAAAAAAAAAAAAAAAAGCAAAGCACAGCAAGGAGGTGGGGACAGGGGAGCTATTTGATAAAGTGGCCAAAAAAGCCCTCTCTAAGGAGGTGTCCTCTCAATGAAATGAGAGGACCCCACATAGAGGGAACAGGAGGTATTAATATGAATACCCCACAGCGGGTGTGCCTGAGTATTGAAGAAAAGCGTGGAGATCTGTGGGCAGGGTAGTAGGTGTGGCAAGAAGGTATTTCCAAGATCAGAGATGGGAGCAGGACCAGATGGCATGGGACCAGGTAGGAAAGCAACTACAGGGTGGAGAATGGGAATGGCAGGATCTGCCTGGTAGCTTAGAGGGATCATGCTGGCTGCCATGAGAAAAACAGACAAGGCTGGGGCAAAGAGGAAAATAAACTGCAGGCATGTCTTGCAGGCATGTGTCTCGGATAGATGCTTGGTTCAACCAACCTGGTGGTGGTAGAGGAGGTTAGCAGTGGTCAGATGGGATTTTCAGAGGGCTCAAACTGGTGGCATCACACAAGCTGAAGTGTGAGGAGTGAGGCATGATCAGAATGCAAGCATAGAGTTGTCCCACGCTGGTGGATACCTTGCCTCTCAGATGCTCTGTGATGTGCATGGCAGAGTCCAGCCACTGAGTGATGGACTCTGAATTATTAAGCGAACATGAGAGCCTCTTTGATCCAGAGCGTATCTTCACATCTTACAATTAGGAAATAGTGGCCAAAAGATGCCAAAAAGTGTAATGTGTCCAGCAGGTCAATTACATTTGGGTTTCCAACAAACAAGAAGCAGGTATATTGCTCTCATTTCTCCAGGCTGGCAGATATGTACAGCAGTTCTCCCTTATCTGTGGTTTCTCTTTCCACTGTTTCAGTTACCCATGGTCAACCAAGGTCCAAAGATACTAAATAGAAAATGACAGAAATAAACATTTCATAAGTTTCAGATTGTGTGGCGTACTTAGTGTGATGCAATCTAGCGTCACCTGCTTGGGACCTGAATTATCTCTTTGTCCAGCAGATCCATGCTGAATACTGTCCCACCCATGAGTCACTTAGCAGCCATCTCGGTTATCAAATCCAACTGTGGTGGCATTGCAGAGCTTGTGCTCAGTAAGCTTTATTTTGCTTAATCATGGCCTCACATAGTGATGCTGGCAATCCAGAGATGTCAGAGAAGCCAGAAGGTGCTGCTCTTAAGCGAAAAGGTTAAAGTTCTCAACTTAATATGGCACAGAAAGATAAATACTGCATGTTCTTACTTCTATGTGGAATCCAGAATAATCAGACTTGAAGCAGAGAGTAGAATGGTGGTTAGAGAGGCTGGGAGTTGAACGGAATGGGTACAAGATGGTGAAAGGGTACAAAGTCAGTTATGATGAGTACGTCTCCTCCCTTTGACGTACATCACACACTGTGTGAATGCAGGAAATAATGTATTCTAATTTCAAAATTACTGAGTACATTAAAAATGTTCTTATCACAAAAATAAGTATCTGAGGTAATGAATACATTCATCAGCTTGATTTCATTATTTCAATTGTCTTCATAAATCATAACATCACTTTATTACCTCATAAATATACACAACTACAATTTGTCAATTTACGAAACAAAACCAACCTCCCACGCACCCTCTGCCAGCTCTTGAAGGCGTGATCAAGTGTCGGTTCTACCAAGAACTGTGCGAACTCAGCACAGGATGATTACTTCCAATGACGTCACACACACTCCTGTTCTTGTATACCATTTTATTGTGGAAGGAAAAGAGAATCAATGAATTGTACAAATGTGAAGGCTGTAACAAGTTGTAGAGGCTTTTTCCAGACATTCCTATGCAATGTTCTCCACAGTAAATACCTGGGGGCAGCCAAGAGGGAAGATTTCAGATAAGTGCAAACAGTGATTGGATGTTATCTACCTACAATCCCTTTAGACATTTTTGAGAGAACTCTGTTTAAATGTTGTTTAACTCTCCCACCCCGACCAATGAATCCCTACGGACCAGCAGTGCCCTGGGAGACTGAGTAATGAAAACATCCTGTCAAGCTTCAAGACCTTTGGGCAGATGGGACTCTGCAGACCCGTGGGAGCACAAAGGACTAAAAAGCTGCAGGTAACCGTATTTGGTAACCGAGACCACACCTGGCCACAGGATAACTTGCAAAATTCCCAGAACCCTGCTTCTGGCTCTTAAAGCCATTGCACATGTGGAGGCTAATTTCTGAATTCAGGAGATATCAGGATGGACATGTATTTTTCACCCAAGGGACAGGAATGTGAGCTCTGTGGGCTGGTTAGCCCAGCACACCCTTCTTCCTAACTTCCCTTCTCAATACAGCCTTGAAAAAGCCGTGCTGTGTAGCAGAGGAGTGGCGACCCACAGTAGTGACTCCAGAGGTACAGTAATGGGGTGGGGGCCAGAGGTATCCGGCTGGTATTAAGTCCAGGGCTACCCTTTTAGAAGGAACTGCTTCCAACAGTGTCTATATGTTAACGTGAACTATAAAGATGCCTGTGACTCCTTGGAGTTCTGAAATGCTCATACGCAATGGGGGTGAAGGGAGGACAGGGGCTGGCAGTCCAGCTTGAGACTCCCAAGGCAAACATGTGGAATCCCCAGTCCCAGTGCACAGCAGCCGGGTCCTAGCTATTGGTATTGTTAGAAGGACTATGGTTGAGAATGTGTGGGGTGGGGAAAACCAAAAATGCAGGCCCTGGCTCAGTCACCAGGAAGGGGGTGCTCCGAGGCCTTTGAGGGACCTGAGCTCACAGAACTACAGACAGCAGATCATGAGGCTCACACTTTCTGGCCACCAAGTGCCACTCTGCTGGGCATGTGGAGTGTGCGTGTGGTGTGGTGGTAAGGATGGAACCAAAAGAGGAAGCTGTGTATGTGTACCCCCATGTGAGGAGGAAGAAACAGAATAGAGGGTGGGGTTGGAGGAGAGATGTATAAAGACCCTCAAAGGGAAAAATAATTCCTTTTTTGTATTCACTGACTGAGCTGATGCATTTCTTATTTGGGGAGCATTTTGGGTAATATTTAAAAAAAAAAAAAACTGTCAAGTGATCACTGAGCACCGAATTCGTTTATAATCTTGTTCTAAACCCAGCAATTTCTCTTCTTGTGTTCCAGAATTACCACAACATGCTCGCCTGGCAGCGGAGGGAAAGGGGCGGTGGGCGTCCCAGTGCTCTCAGCTGGGAGGGGGCCCTGCGTCCCCGCCTCCGCTCGGCCGCTTGCAGGTGAGCATGAGCAGCAGCAGCAGCGGCAGGTGCCACAGGCTGCAGAAGAACAGTCTCCGCGAGCTCCTGCGGTCTGCGTCCACGTAGAAGCGGAAGCCGAGGTAGGAGATGTACGCATTGATGGGAAGGGCCATGATGGGGAAGGTCCATGTGGTGATGTCCAGCACAGGGGCTGCTGCGGACAGCACGAGCAGGGCCAGGCAGTGGCGCAGCGCCACGCGCCGGCACAGGCCCGGGTGGGTGACCGACATCATGCAGTAGCCGCCCCGGGAGTAGTCTTCACGGAGGCCCCAGCTCAGGGCGTTGAAATGAGGAAACTGCCAGGAGTAGAGGATTCCTCCCAGGAGAAATGCGCCTGTGCGGGGGTCAGGGAAGGAGAGGGAGACAAAGGCAGTCATCACCAGAGATTTCCAAAGAATGGTTTCCTCTCCTGGGAGAGCCTGCCTGGCACCTCAGAAGCTCTGCCACCCTGTGCTCTCATCGCTGCCTGCCTACATCACAGGGTGGCTGGGAGACAGGTGCCTACATCAGGCTGGTGGGGCAGCCGATGAGCTAAGATCCCTCCTTTCTCACCTGGGGGTGCCAGTGTGCCTGGGGGCAGGAGGCTGTGGGGTCTGGCTCAGACCCTGCTTCACAGGGGGGCTGCCTGCGCTGCAGGACGCTTACCATCGCTGGCTCCTGCCCACCTGATGCTCCTCACACCTCCCCACATTGTGGGGAGCAAAGAAGCCCCTACACACGGGCAAACACTTGTAGGGAATTCAGTATCTACTTCAGTACTACCTCTGGGTGCAACCATTGTGCTGGAGCGCTGAGCTCCATTTCCGCCCGCTGGGACCCGGGTGTGTGGCTTCAGGCAGGTGGAAGCAGTGCTGTAACCTGGAGGACGCTGCAAGTCCGCTCCGCCTGTTCTGTGAGCCCTGGCTCCCTTTCCAGGGCAGTCAGTGCTCCTGGCTCAGCACTGACACAGAGCCGGATGTACCTGCAGGCGGGTGCGTCACACCCTGGCTCTGATCTGTTTACCTCTTTCACCAGGGCTTCCAGGGCACAAGCCTGCCACATTCCTCTCACCATCCCCCAGAGCCTGGCACAATGGCACAAGCGGGAGGTGTCAAAACCACATGTGTTAAATAAAATGAGTCACAAGGACAAAACGGTCCCAGAGTACAATGATAACTTGTCTATGGCTTTGTAATTTTTCAACAAGGACATAACACCCTGAGCACCATTTTGCCCCTTTCTCTGGAACAGTCTCCCCAGCACCCACATGGGTGGAATGAAGGCTGCTGCTCGCTGAGCTCCTATTATGTGACAGACCCTACTCTCATAGTTTGCCCCATTTAATCTTGACCATTGGATTTTGAGGTAGATTTATAAACTTCAGTGAAAAAAAAAATTAGGCAATGCCAAGTTCTCCAAAAAGAGACGGAAGAGCAATTCAAAACAAGGCTGCTTGATTTTCAGGCCAGGGTCCTTCTATGACATGCACGAAGCCACCTAAGGACAGGCAGTAGGGTGGGGGCTGGAAGGCAGGGGCTGGTTATTCCTGTGCAGGTGACTGAGTACTCGCGCAAAAAATGCTCCCCGGGCGCCTACTATGGGGTAAGCACCGTGCTAGGCACTGGGGATACCATGGCGAGCAACAATCCACACGTGCTCCTGCCTGCACCGAGCAGACCCTTCAGTCAAGGAGGTAGACATCAAGAGCCACACTAGTGACTCTAAAGTCACCACTCCAAATGCAGTGAGGAAAAGTGCATGGTGCAGTGAAGACACATAAGAGGAGCTGACTGAGTCTAGGGGACCAGAGGTGGCTTCTCTGAGGAAGGGATGTCTCAGCTGAGCTGGAGAGAGTGGTGACTTTGTCAAGTCAGGGCTGGTGGAGGGGACAGTATTCATAAAGGCCTTGGGGCTGGAAGGTTTGAGGTGTGGGCGGTGTAAAAAAGAAGATTAACACGTGTTAGGAGTCACAGAACTATATATATTTAAAAAGTCAATTTTATTGCATGATTAAAAAAAAAGGAAGGTGGTGTGGTTTGGCTGGAGTGCTGAGAATGACAGGGAAAGTTCCTCAGGACAAGGTTGGCTGGAGTGCAGTGGCACAGTCTCAGCTCACTGCAGCCTCGATCTCTTGGGCTCAAGTCATCCTCCTGCCTCAGCCTCCTGAATAGCTGGCACTATAGGTGCACGTCACCAAACTCAGAAAACTTTTTAAAACAACTTTTTGTAGAGATGGGGTCTCACCATGTTGCCCAGGCTGGCCTTGAACTCCTGGCCCCAAGCAATCCTCCTGCCTCAGCCTCTCAAAGTACAGAGATTACAGGCATGAGCCACTGCACTCAGCCTTGACTTTGCTATTCTAAAAGCAACAGAAAGCCACAGAGGATCTTAACGTATAAGAGTGCTGAGCATGTGTGCCTGCGTGTATGTGTACCTCTGTGTGAGTGTGTGCACCTATGTGTGTAGGGGGTGAGGGGAGGGGCACCAGTGCTAAGTGATACTATTTGTGAAGGATACACTGGAGGGGCCTAAAGAAGGTATGGAAGGACCAATCAGGAGATAAGGAGTGAGGGGATGAAGGATGACAGTACTTAGGATCAGGATGGTGACAGTAGAGTTGCAAAGAAGATAAATTTGGAAGGAATTTGGGAGGCAAAAGGGACAGGATGTGCGTGCAGTGTAAATAAGGAGGGGAGGAGAGAGGGAGGAGGTATCAATAGCAAGTCCTGGGCTTATGGATCCTGGGCTTATGGATCCATACAGATGCCACTTACTGAGACAAGCAGGGAAGAAGGGGAGAGGAGGTCATTAGTGTGACCTTGGGTGTGTTCAGTCTGAGATGCCTTTGGGACATCCAAGGGGAAAGTCACTAAGAGGGTGTGGCAGCCAGAGTGTGGGTGTCGTCTGTGATAAGCAACTGTGAGCGTCTTTTCCTGAGCAAGCCACAGGGTCCAGGCAGACATTTACGTGTCTGCATTTCCTACCTGAGGTGAACTTCTTAGGGTATGTTCACTTTCCCGTGAATCTCCAGGCATTAGAACACAGAAAGTATGTAATGATATTGTAGTAAAGTGCGCCCAAACTCATCAAGGGAGCCAATTAAGTTATCCCCAAGATCACTGTTTCCCAACACCGGCTTGGGAACCAGTCAGGCAAACTACAGGATTCTGTCTATCTTCTCCTTCCCCTCCTCTGGAACCACCTTCTCCATGGGGTCCCTGGCAGAGAACTGAGAGTTCACCAACCCTCTGTGTCATCTGCCCTGGAAAGCACCATCCTGCCCAGGGAGAGAAGAGGTTGAGAATTTGTAACCACAGTCCTATTTCAGGTAATGAGGATCTTTTAAGTCCCTGGTCTGTGGGAATGTTCAGAAAAAGGGAGCTGGGGGCTACTGCTAGGCAGAACTCACCAGGAGACAGAGCACTTTACATAATGCAGAATACTTCAGAAAATAAGTCTGGGGCTATAAGCCACTGAGGGGCCCCAGTTTGTGCAAATGACAGTGAGCATGAGAAGGAACCAGCTCCTCCTTTAATCTCTGATCTGTATTCCTCAACAGCACAGAGTGCAGAGTGACACTAGGGGCAGGCTTTGCAAGTCATCTAAAAGAAAGGAGGAGGATTTTTAATGCACATTGTTCTGGGGAGAAACTTAATCATTTCTGAGTTACGTTTATCAGACGGGGCAGTTGTAGCTTATCAAGCGGAATTTGTGTGGGTACAGATGGTTTAAGAGGGATGAGGGCCTCCTTTTATATCCATGAATAGTTTTCTGTGGCTTCCATAAGTCAGTCAACCCCTTTTCAGTCTTCCAGTATGGGAGGAAATATAACAAAGACCTGATTTTAGGGTCCCTATTTCAGTAGGGTTACTGTCAAATCCCCCAAATTCATTTTTAACTTTAAATTTTATACATATATATATAAAATTTATATATGTATAAATCTTAGCTCATGCAAACACACTCAATTTTAATGCTGATAATATGAGCAGCTATTATTCATTGAATCCATTAACCTGGTAAACAGATGACAGGTGTCTCACATGTAGGCACAATTCTGGGTGCTAGAAAGGCAGTGGCAATCAAGTCCTGCTTAAAGTCTAGAGGGAGATGGACATAAACACAAGTAACAGTGCTGATGCCTATTTTGAGACGACTCAAAACAGGGTAATGCAATGCGGGTGACTTGAGACTGAGTGCTCAGGGAAGGCCTTTCCATAGGTGACATTTAAGCCATGACTCAACTAATGGCAAGGAGAACTCTACTGGATGCTGGGAAAGGTCCCAGTAGGCCTCTGAGACAGCATGGAGGCTGGAGTGAGGAAGGGAGAGTTACAAGATGGGGCTGGGAAGGCATCTGGAAATCAAGATAAGGAGTGGGATCTTCCCCCAGCGCAGGGGGGAACAGGCTGGGGGTCGAGAGACAGAGGGGGTGGCAGAGGGGGGTTACTCAGGTGGGGAACCCTAGGATAGACACTGCTGAGTGTGCTCACGGTAGAGACACGAACGGTTTTACTTTTGACTATTTTAAGTTTCAGGTACATAACAGACATCTCAGTTGAAATGCCTGTGGCTTTTACGTGCCAGGCAGTTACACATATGCTTTCGAATCCTTACAACAACCCCGCCTATAGGTATCATCATCATCATCTTATAGATGAGAAAGATTAATTTGCCTGATGATATTCAGCACTACTGGCACAAGATATTAGCACCTTCTGTTAGAATGTGGTTGGTTATCTGGGGCAACACAGCAAGACCCCATCTCTACAAAAAATTAGGCAAGGTGCCACGTGCCTATAGTCCGGCCTACTTGGGAGTCTGAGGAGGGAGGATCGCTTGAGCCTGGGAGTTCTAGGCTGCATTGAACTATGACTGCACCACCGTACTCCAGCCTGGGTGACAGAGCAAGACATCAATTCTTAAAAAAAAAAAAAAAAAGTTGTTGCCACACACAGACTAAAGTTTGTGACATTCCCACATCAGTGGACTGTTGGGTGCTCTGGGTAGAGGAAGGCTTGCTGAAAGAAAAAATTGCAGAAGCATTTTCTAGTACCTTAAAAAAAAAAAAAGAGAGAGATCTGTTTTAATGACAAAACTATCAACTAGAAGGCATTTTTTCTTGGCAGTGAGTACTGCTAGGGAATTAAAAAGGACAGAGGAAAGGTTGGAATGCTCAGGTGCAACTGACGGAGTAAACAGGGTGATGCAAGTAGACTTCTTTATATTTTGATGGTAAATAAAGTGACCTCTGGATTTTAAAGTGACTGGTAAGAGGAAGCGTTGTCAGAGTCTTGGGGCGTGGGGTCACGCTGAGACTTTGAACACGAGGTACAGAGAAGCCCAGCCCCAGCTCACGAGCTGTCTCAGATTCAAAGAGTTTGCAGTTATGACAGCCACAAGCACGGGGGAAGTGTCTTTCAAGAAAAACAACATCAGTGATAACTTAGAAATGGGGGAAGGAATTGGATCATTCAGAGCTCAGTGTCTGCTTTGCTCTAGAAATGGCTCAGAAAGAGCAACCTCAGCTGGGAAAATGGCTAAAATACCAGCTCCAAATGTGAGATTTTCCTTGTCTTTCTCAAAAGCCCTCCTTTTTTGTGTGTGTCAACCGAAGTATTTTGTTTTGCTCAATACACTTTTTTCAGTAATGCTTCTGCTTAAAATAAACATAATTAAAGAAATCATTTTCCTGAGAGTAGCATGCTGTTTTCTGTAAGAGGAAATTGGGTGTGGGTTTGGCTCATGTCACAAATGAAGGAGGTTTGGAAATCACAGCCTAGCCTTAATGGATTGTAATCAGAAAACCACCACCCACACACGGCTTTACTTGATATGCTTCAACTGCCTCTCCTCCTATAAAAGATGAAAACAAATTACTTTCTTCATCAAGATAAGGTGAACTAGAACAGGAAGACTTGAATTAGTGCCGGGGCTGTGGTGGAACCCACCTTCCTTGTGGAGTAAACATAAAGCACTCAGTTGACTAATTCAAAGACCTCACCTTCCTTCAAGATAAGTATTCTACTCATCTCCTCTGCCTCAAGCTCCTAAAGCAGTCCATTTTTATTGGGTCTGTCATCTATGACAACAAATCTGGACTGTGTGCCCCTAGAGATAGGCACAGTCTGTTTTCAAAGTCCTCTGCTCGTGTCTGGCCAGGAAGAAAGACAACACAAAGGGATTACAGCCCATGGTGAATGTTACTTAGTGCAGGGCAGGAGAACACTTAATTCAGCCTTGAGAGGTCAGGGAAGGCTTCCTGGAAGAAGTAATTTGTAAACTGAGATCTAAAATTGGTCTCTGAGTTTCAATCCATTCAAACAAACCACGTGTTTTCGACTTCTTTTAACTGTATCTTCCCATTTTCCTACCTAACCCTGCACAATCTTTGTACACATTTGGTTTAATCATGTTTGAAAGAAATGTCCACTTCTCTTCTGTTAATCAAATACTTGCTAGTCTGTGAACATAGAAAATTCTGAAAATCTAGGTGGCATATCTGTAGACATGGCTCTCCAGAGCACGGCAGCTTCCTGAGAGCATGGAGCTGAAATCCCACTGCAAAGGCAACTCCATAGAATGTCCAGGTGTGCAGGGCATCGTTACTTCCCTCCTTCCTCAGAAAATGGAGAAGGGCACATCTGCTGTACTGTATGTAAGAACAGCTGGAGGGAACCCCCATCCAGTGGCACCTGGCTCTGATTAGAGGGCTGTATTAGGTGGGGCAAGGCTCATTAATGTCTTCCTGATGACTCGTTGAAAATGCTATGTATTTTTATATTCTCTCGAAGCATCTATCAAACATTCTACAACATACAGACTGGAGGAGAATCGCAATCATTTCCACCTCTGCACATTGTCCAGAAATGCTCTTGTCCACAGCACACCTCCATCACTTTGCTGACAAAACTAAGGCAATTCCAGCTAAATGGTATCTGAATGGAATGGAGACAAAAATCCTCAAGCTGGAGCTCTGACTCTGTCAGGAAATTCCTTGTGGAATGGAGTTCATCGGTTTCGGCTTGTTTTCTCTCACTGCCCAGTGGGCACCTTCCCACCCCCACCCCCCAAACCCATTGTCACTCACCATCCACGCATGGCCTTGCAAAGGATAAAGAACCCTAGCTCCAGTGAACCTTGGTGCTGGGTTTGGGAGGTCTTCCCTCGCCAGTACAATAGTCTCCTCTCTGATGTGGCCCACGGTAGCGCGTCTGCTCCATGACTGGCTCTATTTGTGCTTTTAGGGTTATGTGGTTATGTAGACTGGGGGCTAGCTGGGGAAGCAAAGCCAAACCCAGAGCTTCATGGTCACAGATTTCAAAGCCTTTCTTTTGAGGGGCAACACAAAGGAGCTTGTGAAACAGATCAGCTTCAACAGTGCAATAGACTTCTATGGTGCTGCAGATAAAGGGAAGAGGATGTGGGGCCAGTTTATCAACTGCACAGGCGACAAAAGGGAAGATTAAAAGTCCCCTGAAAATAGGAAATAGAGTGGGCAATAACTGCTTGCCCTTGAAGAATTCTTTGCTAGTAGTTTAGGAATAATGGAGAGGCTCAGTGGGCGGGAGGGAGCTGGATTCTCTCCTCTCCTTCACCTCATTGTGTGCTGCCGCCCTCCAGGCAGAGTCATGAGGAGGTTTCACTTAGAGAGAAAGATGGGAGTAAAGGAAGCAAAAAGCTCTGACTCTGAAAACAGTGCTCCCCTTTTTCTCTTCTTGCCATTTCCTTGGAAGGATGTTTCAAGCACCTGTGAATTCTCTCTGAAATTCAAATGCTTCCTACTCCCTTAGCTCATATTGGAAGGTCTTTCCATCTTTATCACTTAAATATTAATTCACTGAAGAATACTAGTTACACGTGCACTCTGCTCCAGGCACCATGTCTACCAGAGGCTGGCACACCGTCATCTATCGTTCATTCAGGAAGGCACTGGCCCAGCTCCCTAAAAGCTTGTGATCAATTATGGTCAACACAGCACAACTGACAAGACCTCAGTGCCCTTAGTACCAGTTTGCCTCCAATTATACCACCAATCTGGGGGCTTGCAACATAATTTCTAGTACGTTCTTTCGTAGCTCTTTTTTTTTTTTTGGTCTTTCAAGAGAATATAGTGTTCTAAATATTGTTTGTTTGCTAATATTCCCATGAAAATGTTCCTTGTTTATTTTGTCTTTAAAACTATCATTTAGCTTAATCTGGAGCTCCAACGCTAGTATAACTTAATCTGGAGTGCTAAAACTAGTTATGGTAAAATCTTATACAAAGTGAACACAGACACAGATACTCATTTTCAAGCTTGGTTTCAAACCGAGGCAGCGTTATAAAGGAAATCATTAAGTGCTTGGGTTAAACAGTACCTGGTACTTAGTAAGCCCTCAATAAATATTTGTTGAATGGGTGAGTGAATAAATTCACTCCGACTCTACTTTCTCATCCAGGAATAAGGGAGGTAAATAAAGTGAAACAGAACTGAACATTTTGTAGTTTACCAGCTGAGGGTAAAAAAATCTCATTCTCTTTTTGTTACTAAAACCATCCATCTGCCAAATGTCACTTCCTGATAAGATCCCATTTCTGAGTCCTCATTTGTAACTAAATGTTGGGTGACATAATTAATGCTTAACACACATTTGAATCACAAGCCAAAGGCAACTGCAAATCCACTCTACAAGATGGTCATTACGAAGGCCCAATCCATACACTCCCGAAACATGGGACTTATTCAAATTTAGGAAAATGAGGAAAAATAATCTGAACCTTTCTAAGATATTGGAGTGATGAAAAGAGGGGGCCTTGGCAAGAAGGAGGGGGAGCAGATTTAACCCAAAGCCTCTGAGATACACTAATAGTCTCTGGAGATAAACACTGTTGAGAGGCCTAATGCGTGTGGCTCCAGGCCCGCTTGCAGCTGGAATGTCGGCTGGGCACTTATCTGCAGTCCCCTCCCTCCCCTACCTCCTCAGAGTGGACTCCTTCACCGCGGCTCCAGCAGGTCACTTCTGTCATTGCCATTCCCTGTGTGCAGAATCAAACCAAGTGCGGCAGTTCCTGTGACAACAAGCTGGCTAGACCAGGGGCCAGAAAGCAACCCTCTCATTCTGCCTTTCCTGAATCTTAGCTAGGAAGCATTTTTAATGGTTTTTGCTAACAGCAGTTAGGCTGAATTAAAAAAAAATTAAGATAAGGTAATTAGGCAGGTGAGAGGAAAAGGCCTAACTCTGAGGCTGAGAGGAAAATGGACACAAGTAAAATCCCATTATAATGATTACCTTTATAGACAGAGGGCTTTGTAAAATGAAGTTATTTCCTGTGCACAGAAGCAGCTGGGCCGCAGAGTCCTGACTACCCTGACAGAACAACCACAAAGAGCACTCTCTGGGCTGGGCCCATGCTTTGCGGCACAGCACTCTCTGTAGCAAGCACTGGACTGAAAGCCGTTGGCACTGTGACGGGGAGAAAAGCTGAGCTGCTTACAGTTCATTGTGCAGTTATAAAATAGCAAACATCAAGAACAATTCACATTTGCTTAGCTTTCACAACATCCATCTGCTCATCTGTGTCATTTTCTTCACCCTGCCATCCTACCTCACTTACCCCATGCTGGATTCCCGAAGTGGGCCGGTCAGACACCTATGTGGGACCCACACCTCTCACCGGGCATCTAGAACAATTAGAAGTTCTTTTACACTATCTGATTTTTAAAAAGTCAAAGTAGTTGTGGGGGGAAAAAAAATCAGAATCCCATGGAACATCCTTAGAGTTATTTTATGTTTTATGTCTTTGCAGGAAGAGAGGAGGCATCACAATCTCTTCAGTGCTCAAGGCCCCCTGGAATTCTTAATCTGGCCCTGTAGCCACCACAAAAAGCACAAAATGAGCCAGACACCACAAAGGGGAAAAGGTACTTCCCGACATACTGCATTTCCTTGCTTGGTGGAGCACTCTGACCCATGGGCTGCCTCAAATGCACAGTGTTTTCTATAGCTACCAATCTTTAAATCTCTCTCCTCCAAAATATATTGGGCCTTCAATATATGAGGCTGCAGGATTTCCATTTCAAATCTTGGCTCAGCGGCTTCCTCTCCATCTTGACTACCATCTACTGAGCCCCAGGAAGGGCTTTTGCAAAAGTATCCTCAGTCAAGGTGACTGGGTGACTAAAGGGTTGGTGCTGGGTATTTGATGTCTTGGCTCAGAAGGGAATATGTTCCGTGCAACCTGCCTCCCTTCAAACATGTATCCTTCATCCATTTCCCCGCTTGGAGGGTCACTGGTGTTAACAAGCTGCGTCTTCAAAGGATGATCAGATTGATGCTTCACTACTTAAAAGGCAAACTGTTAAATTAACTAGGGAGGGCAAAGAGAGTGTGGGAGGGAGCAGGTCTAGGGTAGGTGGAGCCCTAGTGGAGAGAGAAGGAAGTGGAGGAGGGGAAGTAGTAGGTGAGAGGAGGCACACAGGCTTGGAAGGACAATAAAGGCAGGCTTCTGCAATTTACTGACTTTCCAATATCTTGGAGAACCTGCAGCACACTGGTAAATGATCCTAAATGTATGACCCTGCTGTTATGCTGCCTCAAGCTCCAGTGGGTCTTTCTCACCACTGAATGAACTATGACTTCCTCTGCAGGTGGCTCATCCTTGCACGTGTCCCCACCCCACTCTAGACTGGCTTTCAGGCCTGTAAGCCTTTGTACAGGCTCTTCCCTCTTCCTGGAAAGCATATTCCCTCCTCAAAGAAACTGGTCATGACTTAATTCTGTAGACTTTCTTCTCCAAAGTCATCTGGGACCAGTTTGGGGTAAGTTAAGAGAGCCCACAGCCCTCTGAAGATACCCTGCTAAAGCTCTTAGATCACTCAATCATTTGATTACCTGCCTGCCTCTCCCCAAAGACCCTGAGACGTGATTTCCTGAGGGCACTCACTGGGTTTTAGTTATGTTTGTGTCTCTCGATGCCTGGCAAACAGTAGGTCCCCAGTTGACACTTGCATGATGAAGCAATTATGGGGACCAGTTTATAAAGGTGGTGATCTAAAGTGATCCATCTTTGGGGGCTCAAAGATTAAGTGCTTGGCAATACCACAGAAGACGGGAAACCTTTTTGGCCATTTTTTTTTTCTCAGAAGGGCTCTTTATAACTATACATGTCCCCTAAGATAAAAACCCAGATGAGAGATATCCCCTCTGTGAATAATATAAATGACACCATTAGTACATCTCAAATAATACCATCTGCCTATGTCCTAATCTCCAGGTATTTTCAAGATATTCTAATGGCTAGAGCTCTGTCTGGTTCTGTCTTTGCAAACTGGTGGTTCTTAAAGTGTGGTCCCTGGACCAGGGGCATCAGCAGCAACTAGAAACTTGTTAGAAATAAAAATTCTCAGACCCCACCCCAGCCCACTGAATCAGAAGTTCCAGGGGTAGGGCCCAGGAATCTTTGTGTTAGTAAGCTCTCCAGGTAATTATCATGTTCTCTGAAGTTTGCAAACCACTGTTTTAGACTTTAGTGAGACCACAGGTACAGTCTCATTATTTGATGTACATATTCATGTGAGGATGATGAAATATAGATTCATAAGGACATCAACCTTTCCACCCAGGCAGTACGGTCTAAGTGAACATTCTGCAATAATGGAAATGTTTTACATCTGTGCTGTTGATAGTGTAACTACTAGGTACATGTGCCTTTGCGCGTTTGAAATATGGCTAATGGGACTGGGTAACTGAATTTTAAAGTTTAGTATAAATTTAAATTTAAATAGCCACTTGAGCCTAGTGGCTACCACACAAGACAGTACAGCTCTAGAAGATGACTTAGCAATATAAGACCATATTCAACCCAGTTCCTAAAATCCCAGCAATAAAAATCTGTTTAAAAATACATTCTCTTAGATTCTATCACCTGTAAAATAGAAGGTACCTATGTTCACTCATTTGTTCATTCAATTAAGTATTTGCTGCTTATCTCAAGTTGGTTCTATCAAATTAATGTTTGGAAACTTTTTTGAAGTAGTTTAAAGCATTATGTAAACTAGTAGTATTCTTTCTGTATAATCTTGACAAGGCTTTAAGCATATGGTTTGATCTGCAATTAACTGGGATTCTGGGGGCAGTAAGTCATGTTGTTACTGTGTGCCCCACAATGCATCTTTAAGATTTAAAGTAAAAGGATACACTGTAATAGAAGCCAACCTCAAAAACTGCCAAGGGAACTTCTCTTTGTGGTTATACATGTCTTTCAGACTGCTCTGTTTTATACCAGGTTCTGTTGGGGTAGAAAAGGGGTCTCATTTTCCAAGACAAATACGTACTTTCATTCTGCTACCTAAACAAGGGATGAGCTGCCCTTAGCTGTCCATCATTAATGAGTTTGTATACAAATGATTAAATCTGTATTATAGAAAGACTATAATCAACATTAAAAAATTTATTTTAGGCCAGGCGCGGTGGCTCACGCCTGTAATCCCAGCACTTTGGGAGGCCGAGGCAGGCGGATCACGAGGTCAAGAGATAGAGACCATCCTGGCCAATATGGTGAAACCCCGTCTCTATTAAAAATATAAAAATTAGCTGGGCGTGGTGGCGGGCGCCTGTAGTCCCAGCTATGCAGGAGGCTGAAGCAGGAGAATCGCTTGAACCCAGGAAGCGGAGGTTGCAGTGAGCCGAGATCGCACCACTGCACTCCAGCCTGGGCGACAGAGCGAGACGCCATCTCAAAAGAAAAAAAATTATTTTAAACATGACTATTAGCAGTTTAGCCAAATCCAGACTATCCTTAAACAAATAAGGGCTCTTGTCTGAATGTGCACTCTTAAGTGAGGACTTTTGAAAAGCTCTTTTTCTCTAGCCTCCGGGGAGGCAACTCCAGCCTGCACATGCTGAGGCTCTCTTCAGGAGGAAACTGCCCGGAAGTGTGACAAGGGCCTCTAGCCCTCAGCAAGAACCTGGGCCCTAGGACAACACTGCACAACAGTGGTGACCAAGTTCTCCATGGCCTGGGACTGAACTGCCCATACCAGTCTCCTGTACTACCTGTCCCTAAGGCTGTAATACTTGGCCCTGACTCTGGCCCTGTCTGGGTCTTCCCAGAAAGAGAAGGTTCTTGTTGCTTGGTGCCAGGTTTGAGGAAGTTGAATAGAGTTCAGGCACCCCTGCCAGGGATGGGGGTGTCTCCATCAGACAGGCAGGTGGCTCAGTGCAGGGACCCAAGTGCTGAAGTGGGGCTACACCCTTGAGGAAGGGGGATACTCCCCATGCACAGCCTAGGAAGTCCCACACTGTCTTTCATGGTCTCCACCTCAAATGTCTGCACAATCACTATAAAGGTTTGAGGGAAATAAGAGGGAAGAGGACAGTTGCGTTAAGGGGGAGAGGGAATTGGGGTCAAGTCAGGTGAGCTCCAGGTGGAACTAAGGAAGAGGAACGTGACCGGGAGCAGGAGGGCTGGTGGTGTGCAGGTGTGCTCTGTGAAGGTCAACTATAAACCAGGATGAACACGCAGATGTCATCTAGCCCAGGGATGCCAAGCCCAGGCTTTAAACCCTCCCTTCCCTCATCCACTGCAAACCTCACCAAAGGACCCCAGCACTCTTTCCCACCAGGCTGCAGGCGCCTCAGTCTTCAAAATAACAGCCAGAGGACAAGGCTGCATCGCTCAGCTTACAAACCAAACAAAATCTTCCATTTCCTGATCTGTGCCAGTCCCTCCACTGTATGAAGGAGGACTCCTGAATGATAACAACAGCATACAGATCCCAAATTGAGCCCTCACCATGGTCCAGCACCTTACAAATAACAATTTGTTTCATCCTCACAATGACTCCAGGAGGGGAGAAGATTATTAGCCCCATGTGGGAGATGAGGAGACAGTGGCAGAAAGAGGCTGAGTTCAGCTGCGAAGGATGCACAGCTCATGAGCGGTGGGGTCGGGCTCCCCATCCAGGCAGCGCCGCCGGCTTCCTTGCTCACCACCGCTTTGCTGACACTGCCTCCCACATGGATGGGGCTCTGGTTTTAGGTTTATCACAGAACACACAAGCACATACGTTTTAGAATATGGTATTCGTAGATTCATTAAAATCTGACATTTACAGGATATTAAAACCATTCTAAGAGACAATCATGGTAAAGGTGTAATCGCATTTGTAAGCTTGCCAAATTGGAGTGTAAGAGCTTTTATGAAAAGTTTCAGAAATGTGGCTTACAGGGTAACGGTTTATGGTCAACTGCCTTTTGATCTCTCATGTGAAAAATATGTACTTACATATATTGCAGGAAACCTCACCACTTCCTTCCTAAGTGTCGGTCAAAAACACTAATTACTTGACTAATTAGACTGTGAAACTTCCCTTACACATGGTAAAAATGAGCTATTTTCACCCCACAAATTTAGTTGTGACATACCACCAAAAAAATGTAGGAATCTTTCAATAGTTTTACTATAGACAGTATGAACGATTTAAGCAAATCATATAAAAATAAATTAGAAACTAATGAAAATAATCTGCCCTTTCATAAGAGGGGAACACAGGAGGCTGGCTCGTGAGACGAAACCCCTTTGATGGGAGACTGGAGGCCAGCTCCAGATACCTTCTCCCCGCCCCATGAATTCGTTAGTCCTAGCTTCGTTTGTGATTTTCATCATAGCTTCAGGTACTTTCTTTATCCACCTGTAGTCACAGGTAGGCAGCACTGCTTCCTTTTTTTTCTCCCAGACATTCCCTATAAGGGAAAGTGTATGTCATGTGCACCCACCAGCCAGGATGACACGGTCTCTCTTTACTCTGCGTCCACAAAATTTCAGTCTGCCACATCAGCACATTTGCTAAAAGAATTAATGTGGGATGGAATGGAATCGAACCAAGTGCTACAGCTCAGGGAGGAAATGCCTCCTTGACCGAGTGTGCTCATATGAGACTCCACATCGCGGGACACTTACCAGCATCGAGGCTGCCCGTGGCCGCTGTCCAGCCCATGACAGGCGGGATGGCCCCAACCACAGCTCCGACCCATGTGTTGGCAATGCTGATCCTTTTCAGTGGTGTGTAGCAGCAGGTATACAGGAAAATGTTGAAGAGCCCCAGGGCTCCTGTGAGTGGATTCACCCCCAAGGTCAGAATGGCAACTCCCGGAACAGCACAACAAGTGGCAAAGGACACAGCTAGCAATGGGCTGGAAAAAGAGCAGAGAACCTGGAGTGATCATCTCCAACTCAACTCAATCACACTACCTAAAATCGGCACTGACAAAGTACAAATAATCCACCTATCCAGTAGAGGCAGTACTGATCTGGCTGATTCCTGGATATGGGGAATCCTCTTTATGAAACAAACTTATAATAAGAAAGAATATGTTTGTGGGAGCTCTGGCTGCTCTTCTTGATTTTGCTAGCTAAGAGTAAAGTGGTTAAGAGAGTCAGGATTAGAGTGTTCTGGATTCATATAGGTTCTGTCCCTTCCTGGCTATAGGGCAGCTAGGTTTCACTTACTCCTCTCTACAAGAGAAATGATCATCTTTTCCTCCTAGGGTTGAAGACTGACTGAGACAATGCCTCCTGCACAGTGTTCCATTTTATATTTAGTCATGAACAAACCACTTCAAACACAATATTGGAAGATTGGGCAGAAAATACTACCTGAATTCTGGAAGCTGTTCTTCCCCTGTATTTATACTTTATTAAGACATCACTTAATTAGTGATCATGAGTAGCAATGAAGTGCCTCTGACTGCCATCATTACAACGTCTGTAATGAATTACAGGCTCAGCATGCTACCGGTTCCTGACAACAGTAAACACCGGGTGGCTGTTGTGTAGTACCAGTGCTGTAACGTGACTTATGCACACGGGATTTTCAAGGGGAGGTCGCACAGTGTTATTTATGCAAATGAAACCCATCATCTAAAACTCTACAATGATAATGATTATTATAAGCCTGTTTCTCAAAAGAGCCAACTTCTAAAAGTAGACTTTGTATAGAATCTTGTGAAAGGCTTTTTGAGAGTCTAGATAAATTGGATCTACTAGTTCCTGCTTATATGCATGTTTATTTATTCTTTCTTGAGAAACCTAAGGAGGTTACTCAAGCCTGCCTTCTCCTAGCAGAAGCCATAATTCCACTTCTGAGTAAGATATGTTTGTGTAGTGTTCAGTGACCCTGCTGGATTACAGATTCCACAACACGTTTCTTAGCAAGCAAGAGTCACCAGTGTGCAGCTTCTAGAGTGCTCTGGTTTTAAAAACAGCCAACTCCCTAGAGAGGCAGACTTTACCCTATGTGCACACATGTGAGATGATACCCTTCTATGCACAGGGTTGCAGTGTTCCTATGGCAGGAGAGAGGGCCTGTATCTATGAGAGGGCCCTTCTAGGAAAAAGACTAACTTGTAGAATTATGACGAGTTAGAATTTAGCCGGGAGGGTGCCAGAGGAGAGCCCAGCAGCTGGAACTACAGTACGGAATGAAGTCAGGGCAACAGAATATGAAAGCTAGAAGTGACTTGATGGAGAATTCTGGCCACCACTCTACCACTCTGCTATAGGGGCCAGCACTGACTCTTTCCTACCTGGCCTGCAGCCTCTGTGCCCAAAGAGTGACCCAACAGAATGAGAATTTTGATGGAAAATGAGAAAATATAAGGGGTATGTTGCTGTCAAGGTGCTTGTGACAGAAGAACCATAAATTACAGCTGAGAGACTTCTGAGTGCACATTCTGCCTTGAGGTGGCATTTCCACCCACCTGTTCCTGGGCCATCTCTTCTGAACCCTGTGGTCAGTTACTTCCACAATACTCACTCAGGCACCCTCAATAATCCATTCTGCCTTGTCCATCCAACATTCCCACCCTGGATCTGCTCAATAACCTACTGTCTCTGCTCCTGCTGGGAAAGGCTTACACTCATACTAACTGGCCCCATTTCAAGGGGATGGTTTAACAGTGCGGGTGCTTAGCCAGGGCTGATTTCCATTTTCGTTCCTTATAGTGACTATTTTAACTCTTCTCCTGCCTTCTCAAGGCTCTAGGTTCACTCTAGCTCCCAAGACGCCTTAACAGATGCCCTTCCCTCTTATACAACAGTGACAAATGCCCTCAGATTTACTTCCTTCCTCCCATTTCAGAAGAGGCTGTCTTCATTCCTTTTAAAGATAAACCCTCCACTTTTGTTTTTATTTAATCTCCTCCCTAATCTGTCTTTTATCTTCTATCTCTACTGTCTATTAACTTCCTGCATCAAATAAATTACTTTCTTCATATTTCCCCCAAGGTAATACCCCTCTTGCTTCAACACTCTTCAAAGCCAAGCATCCTGATGGAGTGGACCACACACATTCCTTGCCTTTATCTCTTCCATCCCTCTGTTTCCTATTTGTTCCTCAACTGTATCCCTCACCAACTGCTGAAACACATTTCTCTAAGGTGGAGGTATACAAGGGGACTTCAAAAAGTTCATGGAAAATGCATATTCTGAAAAGACTATGCATGGATTTCAAAAATTTTTTGCACCAAAATAAACTCATACTAACTTGTTATAACATGTCTGAACAGGATCTAGATTGAGGCATTAAGGAGGATAAGACATCAGTTTGAAAAGAGCCCTTATCAAAGCAACATGAATTCTGCTAAAACAGAAGCAAGAACAAATATCAAATTTATGCTAACACTTGGATGGAAGAATAGTGAAATCATTGATGCTTTACAAGAAGTTTATGGGGACAATGTCCCCCCCAAATCAGCAGTTTACAAATGGATAACTTGTTTAAGAACAGATGATGTTGAAGATTAAAGTCCACAGCTGCAAACCATCCACATCAATTTGTGAGGAAAAAATGAATCTTTTTCATGCCCTGATTTAAGTGGACCAATGGTTAACAGTAGAAACAACAACCAATACCATAGACGTCTCAATTGGTTTAGCTCACACAATTCTGATTGAAAAATTAAAGTTGAGCTAACTTTCCACTCAGTGGGTGCCAAAACCATTGTACTCAGATTGGCTGCAGACAAGAGCAGGGCTTTCAATGGAAATTTTAAACAAATGGGATCAAGATCCTGAGGCATTTCTTCAAAAAAAAAAAAAAAAAGAAGAAAATGAATATATAACAGGAGGTGAAACATGGCTTTACCACTACAATCCTGAACACAAAGACAATCAAAGCAGTGGCTACCAAGAGGTGGGAGTGGTCCAGTCAAAGAAAAAGTGGACAGATCAAGAGCAAAGCTCATGGCCATAGTTTTTTGGGATGCTGAAGGCATTTTGCTTGATTCCTTTCCAGAAGGCTAAAGAACAATAACATCTACTTATTATGAGAGTGTTTTGAAAAAAATTAGCAAAGCTTTAGCAGAAAGCTTCCCCAGAGAGTTCTTCTCCACCACAATAATGCTCCTGCTCATTCCTCTCATCAAACACGGGCAACCTTGTGAGCATTTGGATGGGAAATCATTAGGCATCCACTTCACAGTCCTGATTTGGCTCCCTCTGCCTTCTTTTTGTTTCCTAATCTTAAAAAGTCTTTAAAGGGAATCCATTTCTCTTCAGTTAATAATGTAAAAAAGAATGCTTTGACATGGTTAAATTCCCAGGACTCTGTGAGTTCTTTACAGATAGACTAAATGGCTGGTATCACTGCTTACCAAAGTGTCTTGACCTTGATGGAGATTAGGTTGAGAAATAGTTTTTTTTTTTTAATTTTTATCTTTTAATTCTATTTTTTCCATAATCTTTTTGAAGTTCCCTCATACATCATATGACCTGGAACCATCTATCTTCCCAACATGGCACACAATATGATTTTCCAGATGAAAGATTACAAAGATACCTCTGTGTTGTTACATCTCCTATATACCCAGAAAGGAAACTTTAGATGGCTAAAAAGCAGTGCACATATTATAATGTTGTTCTTCTTCCAATAAGGTAATTTATAGCTTATAAGAACAGATTTTTTTTTTTCCCTATGAGACTCTAAAAAACTAGCTTTATTTTGGGAGGGAGAAAAATGTGGCTGATAAACATTTTATTTTTCCTGAATTGGCCCTTGTGTCAAAAAAAAAAAAAAAAAAAGAAGAAGAAGGTTGTTTACTCCTTCTTCAAGTTCTGTGGAGGCCAGTTGGATTCAGAGACATTAGTGTTACGAAAAGCCCTTTTAGAAGAGCACACATGAATTTAATTTATTGAGATAGGCCATTTTATGTGGAAGTTTAGTTTCTGACCTTTGTTGAAGTCACAGAAAATGATGTGGCTCAATTTTGGTGTTTAAATCAGTGTGCACAAGGGCATGAATGAAAACTGGGTAGGCTGACAAGCCATGCAAACGAAAATGAAGCTATTTACCCAGGATGCCATGATCACTCTCAGCATCCAGGCACCTGAAGGAATCCTTCCCCTTCTGGCACGAGGAGCCCTCAATCAGTGGAATTCAGAGCTTTCTTGTGTTATGGGCAAAGGTACTCCAAATGCAAACTGTGTGAAATTTATTTTCCTGTTATGTTTCATTTTTTCCTAAAACATTTATAACAAAAGTAATATACATCCAATTCAGAAAACTGGCAATTCTAGAAAATCACAAAGAAGAAATTCTTCATGAGTTATTCGGAGAAACATACTAGTTGATATCTTCTCTGCCTTTTTCCAATGATATAACTACTTAAAAAAAATTGAGAATATGCTAAATTGTGGTTTTATTCCCTGATTTATTTCAATATATCTTAATAATTTCCCCAGGCTATTAAATATATTTTTTGCATCAACATCATTAATATTTATAACACACAGTGGCTTATTCTTTGGATATACCACAATTAATTCAACCAATATACTTTTTTTCAGACATTCAGTCTTTTTCCATTTTTAAAAATCAAAAAGCATGTTGGGATAAATATCTTATGGGTAGACTTTTGTTCACAGCTCTGGTTAGAAGAAATTCCGAAGATAAATTCCTAGATGTGAAACTGCTAAGTCAGATGATATGCAAATGTTGTAGGGATTTTGACACGTACTGTCAGGCTGTACTCCAGAGAGTTTGCACAAGTTTACACTCCCACCAGCACTATATGAGAGCACCATCTTCTAGAACCTGTATCAACACTGGCTGTGACATTAAAAACAAAGCAAAACAAAAAATAAAATTTGCCAATAGGATAGATTAAAAAACAGTATTGAGTTTCTTAAAAAAAAAAAACCTTAAAATAAGACAAGTTTACTGAGATAGCGTTACCTCATTTTAGCAATAAGAAACTGAGACTCAAAGCAAGTAAAATAACTTGGAAACAGGACCTATACTCAGGCTCATTTGTTGGCTCATCAGTTTAACCCAGAGTCTCCCAACTGTATGTGGGGCACACTGGTGTAATACAACTTGCTGAGCCTCTTCTTTCCTGGGTCTGCTGAGGGCCTGGGGTGGCTGGAGTCTTGAGTTGGGATGCAATCACCTGGGAGGAGCTTCCTGTGGGCTTAAAAGCACCTTCAGTTTACTCCATTATGCAAATAGCCTAATACTGCATTCCCTGAAATCGAAACAACTGTATATAATGTGGTGAGCAAGACAGGTGTGGTCCTTGTCCTGGGGGCACTGATGCTGTAGTGGTGGTCAGTTCGTGGCCAAGGCAAGCATGTGTGGCACAGCAGGGAACACGGGGCAGTCAGGGGCACCTAACCTAGTTTATGCTGGGTGGTGGACAGGGGGTGTTTCTAGGAAGAAGTGATGTGTAAACTGAGACCCGATGGATGGGTGGGAGATGGGCGGAAAGGGTGGAGAAGAGAGTTGCAGGCAGTGGGAACAGTGTGTGAGAAGGCCAAAGAGGAGAAGAATGGCAAGTTTATGTTCCACATATCTGGAGAGTAGAATGAGGGTGGGAGGTGTCAAGAGAGCACAGAAATTAGGAAGGCCACATACAGAGACCTCTGGGCAAATGCAGACTCAGTGAAGTCTTCCAGATTTTAAAAAGTGGAAGAAAATGATCAGATCTGCTTTTTTAGAAGGACTACTCTGCCTGCCATGTGGAAGTCAGCAAAGAGAGACAAGCATTTGTTTAATTCACCTCACAAGAGAGGCTCAAGTTAGGCATTTCAAAGGAAGAAGAATCGTGGGCACACCACCACATAATTTTTATCAAATGCTTCGTTGAGAGAAACAGCCTTCAGCTAGCTTGTATCTTTAATCTATCTTCCAGATTTCCTAAAATGCACTGGTGGAGCACATTAGAAGCAGAGAGCGGGCCCTCCTCTCCCACTGAACGACTCTTTGGTCTAATGACATGAGGGTGATCATGGTTTTCACTTTAAGTTCTATTATTCTTGGCTCCACTTTGTCTCTTCTTAGTCTTCTTTTTCTGGACTATTTTGTCACATTTTACATATATTTGCAAGTTACTTGAACTCTTGTTTGAAATAAGGCAGAGGAAAAAAGTTAAATAAAGGGGTAACTAGAGGATTTTCTTTAGAATATTTGTATACAATGAGACATCAGTAAAAAAAAAGTAAAGGACTCTCTTTGGAACTGTTAAGTAGAAAGAGGACAAGCAATAATAATGGTTTTGGAATAAAGAGAGAATATATCAAATAATATGTGGGTTATTAAGTTTGATTTACCATGAAATCTTTAAATATCATGGTTACATTCAGGTTGTTGAAATTTAGCTGTTTTAATCAAGAGATCTATCTTTTAGATAGAAAAAGGTTAGAAAAGAGTGTTCATTTTTCATCTCAGTTAAACACAACTATGATTTTCTGCCTTAGTGCTCATAAAATGTGGTCAGAGCTAAATCTCAGAGATCTCAAACACTATTATGTCAAAGACTGATTTCTTGTTATTTTAGGTCAATTAGTCTATATACTCTTTCTCTTAATCATACCATTCAGCCTTTGATTAAAAAAACAAAAACCATCGGCTCTTCCCATTCCTAGATGGATTTTTGAAAGCATCCCAAGCCTGGAGACGCACACAGGCACACACACATACACACCTGAGTTTTCTCCTTTCATAATTTATTCAATATTTAAATTTTTTGTGAAATATTTTTTTTATTAGTCCTTTTACTCCTTTTTATCATTTAAATTCCTTAGCAGTTTGCTTCCAGTTCAAGTGTTACTCTGACATCTGGTTTCTAGAAGCAAGATGAGGAGAAGAAAGGCTAAGCTGGCCTTCTTGGGTGTCTCTGGGCTCAGTTACCTTAGGAAAGAGGGCCTCATTGGAATTTCTGGGTAGATCCTCCACACCATGATTCTAAGTGTGGCTCCTGGACCATCAGCATCACCTGGGAACTTGTTAGGAATCCACGTGGTCTGGAAGCTCTCTGAGATTTGATAACTACTATACCATTACCAATGTGATGCTGGTCCCCATCTGGCCAAGCTACATACGCTGAGCCAACATAAGCCGCTCCACTCCAGTGCTGACTGCGGCCGGCCTGGTTAGGTCACCCACTTTCAGTTGTCTTTCATTATATATCTCTTGGCATGTTCTAGTGGAAGAACAGAGGGCTGTGAACTAGCTCTGTTATCAATTAGCAGAGGAACTTTGGATATATCCTTAGACTTCTGACTTGCCTGCACTATCTACTTTGTTTTAATTTAATCATACAGCTACAAGTGTTTTGGTCATTAAAAGTACTTAAAGGGCAAGATGGAGCAAGTGTGGTAAAAGTCTTGATAGTTGTTGATTCTGGGAGATGAGTATGTTGAGGGTCCACTGTACTCACTCTACTATTCCATCTGTTGGGATTTTTCATAAGAAATATGTTTTTAAAATACTTTAATACTTTTTATTATTAGTGCTATATTCTGGTTTCCTCATGGTAGCATAACTAAGCATGCTGAGTAGGATCAGGTGGTCTGCATTCTAGTTCTGACTCTGAAGTTAACTAGTTATTTAAAAGTGGGTAACTTATTTAACCTCTCTGGTCCTTGGTTTCCTCAACTGAAAGGGTGTATTATGGCTCTTTCAATGGCAAGACTGAAACTTTCAAGTCAAACTTGCTTAGGTAAAAAGGCTCAATAAAAAGACAATAGGGAAGGTGGGTTTCTACTTGTTTAGCCGTGTGATCGTGAGCAAATTATTTAATCTGTTGGCCTTAGATTCTTCATCTGTAAGATGGGAGGTATTATAGAGTTGTCTTAAGAATTAAATACAATGATGTAAATAAAGCACTTAAAAAGTGCTTGTTAAATGAGCACATAGTGTTGACTTGTTCATTCATTCATTCATTCATTAAAATTTCTCATTGCCTAGATAGCCACTATGCTAAGTGTAGCTGTACAGCAGTGAACAAAACAGCAAGAGTTTAGTCTAGAAAGGAAGACAGACCTTAAACAAACACATGTAACTACCGTGAACTCTCCAATTGTAAAATCAGCTACAAGAAAGAACAGATGAAATAAGACAGAATAATTTAAATAGGAAGGACCTATTTAAATAGAGCTGGAGGGAGGGGCTGATAAACTTGCCATAAATTGTTTCCCCTGATTTATTTTGTCAGACTTATAAAGACTTATGAATATACCACTATTTTTATCTTCAATTTTAAGTTTACTTACAATTTAATTTTATTATACCAAATTACAAAAAGTGGTATATTGAAAAGCTAGATTGATCACATACAAAACATGTTTTTTAAACGTTGGTGCTCTTGCACTGCTGCAACAGTAGCTGTAATGGCCTTTTATTAAGAACAGAGGAATTAATATCTCTGTGAGTGATTCTTGCTGGATTGAATTTTTATAAGAACAATCTGAAATAGAGTTGAACAGGGTGTGATAATATTGTAAAAAAAGTTCTAATTTTCAACAACACAGAATAAATGTATGAATAAGAAAAACAACACTATTTGATGGGGGTGGTCAGAAAAAGACTAATTTTCTTGAACAAAAAAATTCTTTTATATTCATTCACTCACGCATGCAAATCGGTTCATGGTTCATGCTGAGGGTTGAATGATGATTTATTTCAAAACTCATATACAAAACTGAATTACATTTTAAATTAAGATGTCTTTCTACTGAGCATCACTGCTTGAGATTTTTCTACCTCTGCCTTTCCTGCCCAAGGCTACTGTAGAAAAGAAACTGATGGATTGAGAGTGGGGAAAAATTGGTCCACACATTTCTATGAATTATTTTTTTCTCCTTTTTAAATATAACATTGTTTTGTTTACTAAACATCAGCCCCTACATAGCTCTACGAAAGTATAATTTTCTACAGAAATTAAGAATAAGAGAGAAACAAGCTTTAATTTGGTGCCTATTTATTGCACTTAATAAATGTAATTTAAATTACCTGACTTTTAAATAACTTCCTGGAAAAATGTGGCTTTTCTGTTAAGTAATGTCTCAGAGAAGCCTATGAAATGTTAAGTCAAGAAAGCTTTATATTTTGAGCAGCTCTGCAGGTAATTAGTTTAGACAAAAATTAATTTCATACTTCTTGGTCATTCTTCCACAATAAATGACTTTGAAATTACAAAATAAAATATCCTTTCTTCAAAAACAAAAGAAAATGCAAAACCTTAATCAAACCAAGACAATTTAATTTCCTGCGTAAATCCCACATTGGAGCTTGGAAATGAGTTTCTGGAGAAAGCCTCTACAGAAAACTGTTTTGAAAATGTCTCCCCAGAATCTTATTTAGGAGTTTTCTATTTCTGAACATATCTCAAGTTATAGATATTATAGAGTGGCAGACGACTGATGTAAATTCAGAACTTAAGGAAATTGTGAAGAAAATGAGAAAACAAAACCTATTTTAAAAGAAAATTAAATTTTAAAACATGTTTAAAAGAAATGCGAAGAATATAAGAAGAAAATATATTTGGCATAATTACATTCAGAACGTGGAGACTGTGGTTTCACATACACAGACACCTTTTTATTTATTTATTTATTTATTTATTTATTTATTTATTTATTTATTTTAAGAAATGGGGTCCCATCTCTAAAAAATGCTCAAACTCTTGGTGTCAAGTGATTCTCCCACCTCAGCCTCCTGAGTAGCTGCGATTATAGGCATGCATCATGATGTTCGGCGCAGAGACTGTGGTATTATATTAATAATTTTTTTCAAGGAAGAAAACAAACCAGATCTACGCTGAATGAGTTCTGAAAGCTGACTGAAAGAATCCTGTTAATCTAGAAGGATGAGAAGAAAGATTGCCTGTAAAAAAAAAAAAGAAAAAAATACCAAAATGAATCTCCCTCATTGCTGACCACTGAGATTCAGCCTTCTTATTCAGAGGGGAGTACGTGGTGACCCCTGAATTATGCTACACCAATTCATCTTAAATTAAGGGTAATTTGTACAAAGACTTCGGAATTTTTAAGGAGGAGTGATTCCTACTGTCCCAGCTATGAAAATCAGAGTTTCCAGCATTGTAGTCCAATCTCTTAGTATGTTTTTCTAATTCCTTGAGGGCAGGGACCAACTACTGAATCCCTCCATTACTCCTGGATCCCATAACACCCAATGCCTGCCACGTGACAGACACATACTTTTCCTTTCTCCTGACTGAGCCAGATAGTTGAATTCTCTGATCTGCCTCCTTATTTTTAATTTATAAGACTCTACTTAAAAAATAGCTTTGTTCACCTGCACCAAATAGGGTCAATGAATTTTAAAGAGTCTTTGAAAAGCTTAAATAAAACACAATTTATAAAGAATGAAGCTGGGAAATAAAACTATCCATCTCTGCTGCTTTGGAGACTGGCAGCTGCGTGCACGTGCAGCTACCCGGAGGTATAGTGCTGACCTCTTACTCCATCTCCTTACCTGCCCCTTGGGACCAGGACCTTTGGCCAGGGACCATGTTTACAAATGCAGACATCTACAAGGACCAGCCTGGCACAGCAGGCCAAACAAAAAATGCTTCTTCAGGATTTGGTCTATTGGCCATTATTTTGCCATCTCTGATCTATTCTGTGAACGTGTCTAATTAACTGTGCATCTAGCTCCTTTGCCCTAGAATTGACCCCCTTGCCCCCTGAAACACTTCTCTCCATCTTTTGTATGGCCATCTCTTACTCATCCTCTAAGACTCAGCTTAGACATCAAAAAACTCCTCCAAGGACATTTTCTCTCTCCGTTCTCACCTTCCTGAGCCCCTCCACATGGTTGGTCTCCATGTCTGTTCCCAAGCTCTCACAGCACTTCTTAGACCTCATGCTAACATGAGCTGCTGCCATGGCTGCCCATCCCCTTATGCTGTGTTTTTTCAGTGAAGTGACTTTGCACTATTCATCTTTATATTCTCTGAACTTAAGAATGGTGCCCAAAGGAACCTTTACAAACCATGCAAAAGAGAGAACGCTATGGTATGACTTCCACTCATCTAACACCAACCAATGAAAACAGCATTTAATTGTGTCCCATCTTTTCACATCGTCTTATGGGAAAAGAGAGGAATCAAAGTGAAGAGACATTAGGCAAAATGACCCTAGATTATTAGTAAAAGATATTTGCTCCTAAAACGTATGTTTTAATTGGCTACAAGTGATAGACTAAGTTACTATGACAGTTAACTCTTCATATTCATATTTATTAGAATATCTGGGCATTTTCTGATTATAAAAAGGGAGATGAGAACAGAAGAATCCTTCATCCCTAGGAATACTGTCACAGCTCACAACGCTTGAAAATAGTCACAAATGCTTTCTTTTTTCTCATGATGAGAGAAAGGAGTGTAACTTTCAGAAAATCCCAGCAGCGTTCCTCTTGTTCAACCATTGTAATGACTAAGCATGACAATATGTACAAAAAGTTTTTGTGAACTCTTCATACCATGGTTAATAGAGAACAGTTTTATTTTAAGAACAAGTTCTCTACATTAATACCACTATTATTAAGTTGAGGCCAAATTTGTTCTTCCTGCCACTTCACTGGTTAACACTAAAAAAAAGAAATTTCTATACTTATAAAATGTTTATGTTCTTATTACATTAGCAATATATACACACCAAGAGACTAATCATAACAACCCTTAGAAACTCTGCAGAGCTTTAGCCTGGCTGGGTACCCGTCTGCTAGACTAGTGTGCCTGGGTGATGAATAATATCCACAGCTCCCCTGCAGCCCACAAAATGTTTACATTTGCTTAAGTGCTTACTGGTAAAACCCTCAGTAAATTTGAAAAATGTCTCCTGTAAAGCCCTATAATACTTAAGCTAAACCCTGTTCTTTAAGTTAATAATGCCAACTAAACAATCCATTCATTTCATTTCTAAAACTCCATCTTCATCATTCATTTCAAAACCAGGTATTGACTGACCCCAATTCCAAGTGTTTTAATTTATCCTCTCTAAATAACCTTTTGCTCTGCTCTTATCGTGCAATCTCTCCTGCTTACAGCCCACACCTAAAGCTTACATGTTATGGATCACTCTCATCTGATCCATTAAGTTGGAAAAACTAATGCTGACATGTATTATTTCCCTGTCAGCGTTACCAAGCTGGAAAATAGATAATTCAAAAGAGACATAATCAAAATACAGATGTCTCTGAAATAACAAGAAGAAAGGCCCAGTCCTGGCTCTGCCTGCAGGAAGTTTTCACTGTCCACTCTGTCCTTCTTCTTTGTCTGACTTTCCAGAGAAATTCTTGTTTGTACCGATCTATTCATTTCATTCAACACATATTTCTGGGCTGCCTTATGCTGTCTGTTAAGCATTTTATACATGTGGCTAGGTTTTTCACCCAGATTATAAAACTTTGAGCATTATAAAAACAAAACTGACAGTGCTTGTACATTACAGGTGATCAATACACTCTTGAGGAATTGAAGAAAATAATTATTTGATTCTAAAATATTTAAAAGAAACAGTAGGCCTTGACATCTTTAAGAAATATTAAATTAGGATAGACCAGCAAAAAGGATATCACTAAAAAATATATATAAGATACCTTAAAAATATAAGTCTGAAGGACCTCAGGTTTGATAAGAGATGGTAGATGAACGGTGTCTACATCTCTCTGTCTTCTCTGAAAACAAGGAGAACATGAACAGAAACTCCAATTTTAACTGAACTAGGAAACACATCTCTGAAGCGAAATTAAGACTTGGTAAATATTAAGAATCTCTTTGGCTTTAATTATAACACACAGAAAGAATTTGACATAATGTGTTTGTTGAAAGTTGGGGAGGTAGATTATAGCTAGAAAGTTACAAAGCAGAATCATAGCTTTAGATACACATCTGGCCAAGTGCCACGTAAAGTCCCGTGGAAGCTGCCCTGGATCCTTCCCTTTGCCTTAGGTACTTTTGTCCTCCCATTCCCATCCCTAATGCTTAATTGTCCTTATAACCCTTTCCTTTGCCCCAGGGAAATGGAACTATCAGGCCCAAGCTGGAGCAATCAAATTTTCTCTCATAAAGATTTGGAATTGGGACAGGGAACTCAGCTGGAGGACCTAGGGGCTAAGGCTGAGGTTGCCATTTTGATATGAGTCCATTTAAGTGAAGAGTGGTTGGCAGGGCCGCCATGCAGAGAGAAAAATGCAGTGAAAGTACAGAGAAAAGCAGAGATGAATGGTGAGGCTGGAAGCTGAGCTGCAACTAGTGAAGTGGTGAGCAGGCCACCCTTTCCAGAAGTCGGCTACAAAAAGGAGAAACAGAAGAGTAACTGGATGGAGCAGCGAATTTAATAGATTTTTGTCTAAGACAGAAGGACAACCTGTCAAATATGAAGTCAGAAGAGAAGGAACCAATGAGGCGACAGGGCTGGCAGAGGTGCCGGGAGAGCCCTCAGGCCCCACAACCTCCATTCAGGCCAGCTGGTCTCCAGGTCTTACAGCACGGAAGACCATAAGACAGAAAAGGGGTCCCAAGGACCCCTGGAAACATTCCAAAATAAGTGTTAGACTCTGGCAGCTATAATCTCCTAGGGCAAAACACTTGGTTTTATCCTCCTGAGAAGAACTGAGGTATATTTTAGAAGAAATATTGGGAACGTTCACTTTTAACCACTTGTCTCCTGCTGTCCCCTCCTCTTGGCCACCCTAAAACTACTTAATCCTTTTATCCTATTAGGACGAGTGTTGCAAGCAGATATGCAGCTTCGTTAAGTGGAAGGTGTTCAAGGACACTGGCTGCCTGTGTGATGTGTAAGAGGTACAGGGAAGGGAGTTACTAGTGATGATATAAAACTGGCAAAGAAATGGGCTCAGAGGTGTCAGAAACAAACTACTTGATTTGGCCTCTGCCAAGTCCCACTTACCAGTGTGAGTATCCAGAATGGAAGCCATGGGTCCCTGAGGCTGTGAGGTGGCTGCGCTGACACAGCCTAAGGAGAACAGATGCAGTGGTTTGGCTCCAAGTAATAGGGATAAACTCCGTGGTGAGAAGCTGACAGCAGAGGTTAACACAGCTCCATTGTGACCCCTCTGGAGCACTTTTCTCCAGACTTCCTCACATGCAGGAGCTCTTTAGCCAAATGCACCACGACTCTAGATTTATCCATGAGCATCTGGGATGCTTCCTAAGTGATGTGATGTACAGTGTACTCAAGTTCATCAAGTGGCCCCGAGCCATTAAAGACTCTGATAAATAATTCTATCATAAAGGCCCCAGAGCTGACATAAAAAGCAGAAAGCCACGGGGTCAAGTGCTTCCACAGGAACTACATTTGGTAAATAGAAGCTGTAAAAGGATGTTTCTATTAACCACTTGCAATTATTGTAAGGCCACCATCTTTTCTGGAATGGATGGTCAAAATAGCTAATAATTTCTTGTGTCCCTGGAAGTTTTAGGATGAATTTAAATAGGAGGAAAACAGGAAGACCAGTATTTTCCCAAACATGATAAGACAATCATTTTTTTTAAACTATAAGTGATACCTCAGACACATGGAGTTGGTATTTTCTTTTTTTTCCTTTTGTGTCTGCTCCCAGACTAGAACTAAACAACCAAAGTAAATGCTTGGCACACTCCCAAGGAAGCACAGCTCTGCCTTGCACCAGTGCCAGAAGCCCCTAGAACAGTGACGGAGGCAACCAGATGAAGAAGACGAGACATTCCTCTCCCAGCAGTGTGAGAGACACCTGGCGACTGCTGGCAGGAATCAGCATTTCACACAAGCAATCAACATAACTAAAACTTAAGTACTGTCCTCTGTATTCTCCTTGGGAAAATGAAACAAATGACAATGTCATTGCATTGATTTTTTTCTCATTAAATGGCATTTTAGCTATAAACATTTTCCCCTTTGATTTGCAAAAAAAAAATTATAGAAAATTTCTATGTTGCTTAAAATGTAAAGGGTTTTTACTGTAACTATTTCAAAAACAGTCAATTATCTTACTATTCCTTGTTTATTACATATATTCAAGGTCACTTTCTCCATCATTTGAAACAACATAGACAAAAGGGAGCTCAGTAACAAACAGGCAAGCAGCACCAAGACTGGCACTCAAAGCTGTATTAGGACCAGATGCATTTTCAATTTCTTGGAACAGTGGAGCTGCAGTTTATTCAGTTTATTTAGGTCAGCCCTAAGGTGAAACTATATTATATTCAAAATTATCCTTTAAAATCCCCTGAACTCATCCATAAAGTACATGGAAGGTTATGTATGTACAATTCTGGAAAATAATGACTGTGTTCACTAGAGTTTGAGAATCACTCAGTTAAATTAAGAGGGAACAAAAGAAAAGCCTAATTTAGATGGCTGGGCATTCAAACCATTCTGCCTTTAAGGAGACTCTCAGTAGAGAAGAGGTGGAGAATTCTATGGGGTTCTGTTTCCCTGCGGGGTTTACTCTATTATTCTTCATGCTACAAGCATCGGCAGCCTGGCTAAACAGAAATGTATTTCTGTTGGTGCTGGCTGTGAGGATTTGACTGAACAGGGGAGCTGCACCTTCTCTGGGATTACGTTCTAATGTCACCTCTGCTCCTCTCCCTTATAATGAATTACAGGTAGACAGAGCTATAGCACTGTAACAAAGGTGAAGATACACATAGGCAATAGAGACGGGAACATTTCAGAGAAGAGTAGGCAATGGTAGCCAGCCTGAATTTTGAGCTGAGTAACAGCAGAACTTCACTTCTGCTGTGACCACCCTGGTCCAAGCTATCATCAAGTCATGCCAGGAGCTGCCCCAAGTCTCTCTCCTGGGATTCTACGGTCTACTTTACCCAGGCAGCTGAGGGGTTCTTTTAACCTAAATCTGATCACACCAGCCCCATTTGTACAACTCATTTCTGGCTTCTCCCACTGCACATGGAGTTCCAGCCCTTCTGTCTTCATCTTGTGCCACCCTGCCCCTTGTTCATTATGTTCTCACCACACTGGCCTTTCTATTTATAGTGTCAGGTAGAAGCCCACTCTGGCCACCGTACGTTCCCCCAGATCTCTGCATCACTCTCCTTCAGTTCTCAACTCCAATCCACTCCCTCCCAGTGCCTTCCCGCTCTGGAGTGCTCTCTCCCAATTGTTCTGTATTATCATTCTGTCTCTTTCCTTGGCACCATTGATGCCCACCTAGAATGATCTTTTAGAGCTCAACTGTTCACTGGCTAAAGTTCTACCTTCTCCACCGGACTGGAATGAAGGCAGGGATCAGGTCATGCTGGTCATATTCCAGCATTTAGCACAGAGTGTAACATCCAGAGATGCTGAGGACACAATTCTGAAAAAAGTAGTAACAATGATGACAGCAGTATCATTTACTGACAGCTTTATAAGAACAGTCGTTTTCTCACATAACTCTATGAGGTGGAAGGCACAAACCTCATTTTATAGGCGAGGAAACAGAGCCTCAGAGAAGTTTAGTAATATGGTCAGGCTTGCAAGGTGAAGCAGGCAGAGGAGCTAGGCTTTGATTCCAGGCAGTCGGACCCCAAAATCTTATGTTCTACAACATTCTATTCCCCAAGGAAAAACCAAGTGCTCTGAAAATCTAGTCTAAAACAGAACATAATTTTCAATACACAAATTTACCCATTGCAAGTGTACAGTTAGTTCTGAGTTAAAAAAAAAAAAAGGTAAACATAGTGTAACCACCACCACAATCAAGATATAGAACATATAAATTTATCTTTTCAAAAAGTTTCTTACGCCCCTCTATAGCCAATTCCCTCCTATCCACCCCCCCCCCCCCCGCTATTTCCCAGTAACCACTGATCTTACTTCTGTGCCTAGTTTTGGCTTTCCAAAATGTCATATAAATGGAATCATACGACATGCTGTCTTTTGTCTCTGTCTTCTTTCACTTAACGTAGTGCTTTTGAAACACACCCGTGTCACTGCACGTACCAGTGGTTTGTTCCTTTTAATTTCTGAGTAGTATTTCAGCCGTATTTTGTTTATCTATTCATCAGCTGAGGGATGTTTAGGTTGTCTTTAGTGATATTTAAGCTAATATTCATGTACAGATCTTTGTATGGACATGTGTCCATACATACACAGGAATGGGATTGTATGGTAAATTTTGTTTAAATTTATTGAAATCTGCCAAACTGTTCTTGGAATTGATTGTACCATTCTGCATTCACACTAGCAATAAAAGAGAGCTTCAGGTATTCTACACCCTTGTCAGCACTGTATTGTTGTTTTTAATAAATGTTAGTTATGCTAATAGGTGTGTAGTGGTATCTCATTGTGTTTTTAATTTGCATTTCCCGTATGATTACTGACGTTGAAAATCTTTTGCTTATTTAACGCCTGTATTTCTTCTTTGGAGTAGGGCCTATTTAAATCTTTCACGCACTTTTTTTTTTTTTTTTTTTGACAGGGTCTTGCTCTGTCACCCAGACTTGAGTGCAGTGGCATCATCTTAGCTGACTGCAACATCTGCTTCCTGGGCTCAAGTGATCCTCCCTCCTCAGCCTCCCAAGTAGTTGGGACTACAGGCACATGCCACCATACCTAATTTTTTAAAAAAATTTTGTAAAGATGAGGTCTCACTATATTGCCCAGACTGGTCTCAAACTCCTGGGCTCAAGCAGTCCTCCTGCTTCGGCCTCCTAAAGGGCTAGGATTACAGGCCTGAGCCACTGTGCCCGGCCCCTTTTGTCTATTTTTAAGGTTCTTTTCTTAATGAGTTTAAGACTTCTTTCTATATTCTGTACATGAGTTCTTCATCATGTCTGTATTTTACAAATGTTATCTCCTACTCTGTGGCTTGTATTTTCATTTTAAGTGTCTTCTGAAGAGCAGAAGTTTTTAATTTTGATGAAGTACAGTTTATCTACTTTTCTTGCATGGTTTGTGGCTTTTGTGTTTTATCGAAGAGTCCTCCGCCGAGCCCAGTTTCACTGGGGAGCAGCCCATGTTGTCATGCTGGAAGTGGAATTCCACAGCTGATTTTGGAATACTGACCTTGTATTCTATACCCTTGCTAGATTTACTTATTACTCCTAGTAGCTTTTCTGTAGATTCCTTTGAATTTTCCATGTAAACAATGACATTGTGAAAAGAATTTCATTTCTTTCCAATGTATGTGCCTTTTCTTTCTCTCTCTTGCCTTATTATATACTAGTCAGGAGCTCCAGAACAACACTGACCAAGGTCCAGTTCCTATAGAACAGCCCTCACAGTGTAGTCTGGTCCGTACATTTTCCTTAACCTCTTCCCAGTTTTACTTCCTCACAATTCTCCTATACACATCCTTCCCTCTACAGCTGGCCAGGTTGCCTGTTTTTATCCTTACACATGTATTTTGCACTCCCATCTTTGCATCTTTGCTCACCATGTTCATCTTGCCTGACATGGTCTTTGCTTCATTCTCTACCTATCCAAAGTCTGTCTGTCAAGGTCTACAGCCTGTCTCTCTATCTTGATGTTCATTTTGTCTCTTCGCTCATTCTCCACTCCTGTCCGAATGGCCTTCTCATTGCCTTGGCAGCAGATGCCATGTATTCCTTCTTTGGTATCTTTACTTCTGTATTTCTCCCACCTAGGAGGTCATTTCTTTCTCTTATCATCCATCCACCTGTCCATCTATCCATTATTAAGCATTAGCTACCTGCCAGGTATAATGGCTAGCATGCAAGCTCCACGACAGCAAGAATTTTTCTGTTTTGTTCACCTCTGTAATATAGTATTGAAAATGGTGCCTAAAACTGTCCACGTGACAAGAGTATTAATACCCAGAATGTACAAGGAATTCAAACAACTCAATAGTAAAAACAAACAAACAAACAAATAATGCCATTGAAATGTGGGCAAATGACATGACATTTTTTGAAAGAAGACATACATGGTGGCTCATGCCTGTAATCCCAGCACTTTGGGAGGCCAAGACAGAAAGATCACTTGAGGCCAGGAGTTTGAGACCAGCCTGGGCAACATAGTGAGACACTGTGTCTACAAAAAAATTAAAAACAAAATTAGCTGGGTGTGTTGGCTCGCACTTGTAATCCCAGCACTTTAGGAGGCCAAGGCAGGAGAAACGCTTGAGCCCAGGAGTTCGAAACCGGCCACACAAAGTAAAAAAAAATTACCTAGGCCCAGCGACTGGCACCTGTAATTCCAGCTACTTGGGAGGCTGAGCGGGGAGGATCACGAGTTCTGGAGGTTAAGGGTGCAGTGAGCCATAGTCCTGCCACTGCACTCCAGCCTAAGTAACAGAGCAAGACCTGTCTCAAAAAAAAAAAAAAAAAAAAGAAAAAGAAAAAAAGAAGACATACGAATAGCCAAAAGGTATACGAGAAAATGCTCAACATCACTAATCATCAGAGGAATGAAAATTAAAACCATACTGAGATATCATTTTACCCCAGTCAGAAGAGCTATTGTTATTATAAAAAGACAAAAAACGAAGATGTTGATGAGGATGCAGAGAAAAGGGAACTCTTACACACTGTTGACGGGGCATGTAAATTAGTATAGCCTCTATGGAAAATAGTATGGCGATCTCCCAAATAACTAAAAATAGAACTACCATTTGATCTAGTAATCCCACTACTGAGTATCTACCCAAAAGGAAAGAAATCAACATTAATCAAAAAGATACCTGTACTCATGTTTATTATAGTACTTTTCATCACAGCAAAGATATGTGTTTTGTCTTAAATATGTTTGGTGAAACAGTGATCACTTACGGAAGACCTATCTGCCAGTTGAGTGGAAGACAGATGGAAGGAGGGTTAGGAAGAAGGCAGAGAAGTCAGCTGGGATGTGCTGTAATAACCCACGCAAAACTGATGATGGGCTGAAGCTAAAGCACTGAGGTGAGAGGGCACAGATTCCAGGGTAAATCAGGGGGTTGAAAAGACACAATCTGTTGAGTAATCAGATGAAGGAGATAACAGAAAAAGAGTGTCTAGGATGGCTTATAGGTGCCTGACTTTGGAACATAAATTAAGGTATTAAGGAAAAAGATTTGGGAAAGAAAGTGAATTGGGGTGAATACACACAAAATGTGAGCTGCCTGCAGGGGCAGCCCAATAGATTTTCAGAGGAACTAGGCTCAGAAAAGCAATCTGGGTTGGAGGTACAGACAGTGTGGAGTGTAGCAAATGCAGGGAAGTGAGATGAGGAGGAGATTAAGGACCACCAAACTAGAGTAGGTGGAGGAGGAAGGAACAGAAACAAGAGCTCAGCAGGGAACAGGCAGAATGGCTTATTTCTTACTCAACCTTTGGTTCTCAGCTTCAAGACGCATTCCCTGAGAAGTAATCCTTGGTCTCCTCAGTTTGAGGTAGATACTTCTCTTTGTGCTCCCACGTCACACTGGGCCTGTCCTTGTAGTATTTAGCACATTACACACATATGAGGTGCTTCATGACTCAGAACCCCACAAGACACAGAAGTGTGCCTTAGTCACCACTGCACCTCCAGGGTCGAGCACCATGCCTGGCTGGCATGTGCACTAAAAAAACACATTTGTTGAGTGAAATGTACCTTTGACAACACTTAGTGTCCTTTTAATGCACGTGTGTTGCCATCTCCTCGACGTGATTCCAAGAGAATGAAGACCATGTTATTTACCTCTCTGCAACCTTGGGAACTAGCACCCTTTTCTACATAGACAACACTCCACAAAAGTGTTCCGATGATGATAGTATGAGGGAAAGGTTCAATAACCCACCACTCTACTTTCCACTGAGTATTTTTTGCCTACCAACTTAATCATAATGGAAACACAGTTTTCACTCTGAGTTTGCTTATTCAGCGTGTGTTTTTGCTTACTTCTCCCCATCCTTTGAAAATAACTTGAATTTCTTTTTTATGTTATTAGCTGACAAGTATTATATTTTCAAGCAAATTTTAAAGACATTCAAATTCTGTAAACAACTCTATATTTCTCTACAGTTTTAAACCTCTTCCCTAACAATGTACTTTTATTTACATGATTTTAGTGATCTTATTATTATATCCATAATAATGTTATGAGATGAACAGGTTAGAATTTTTCTTTTCTCTGAGACAGGATTTCACTCTGTTCCCCAGGCTGGAGTACAGTGGTGCAATCATAGCTCACTGTAACCTCCAAATCCAGGGCTCAAGCAATCCTCCTGCCTCAGCCTCTAAGGAGCTGGGATGACAGGAGTGTGCCACCATGCTCGGCTAATTTTAAAATTTTTTTCTGTAAAGACAGGGTCTCACTACGTTGCTCAGGCTGGTCTCAAACTGCTGGCCTCAAGCGATCTGCCCACCTTTGCCTCCCAAATTGTTGAAATTATAGGTGTGAACCATGCACCTGGCCTAGGCTAGCAATTAAGATTCTTCTTCACACATGAGGAAGCAGTAATGTGGAAAGATTAATTAAATGACTTGTCATGCTTAGAGTCAGTTAAGTAACATTTTTCATCAGACCATGATAATCACATGAAGAATACCTGAAGACTGACATGTTATTTATTACATAAAAATTTGTAAAATTGCTAATTGGCTTTTTCCAGTCACCAAGTTAAAAAAACTGGATAATACTGAATCTAACTTTATATTAAGAGATTAAACTTCTCTGACATTTACCTTCATTGCATGACTGAGTTTGCAGATTCAACTTGTAAAACGGGTTTACTCAATATATTAGTCCATTTTGTGTTGCTATAAAACAATACTTGAGACTGGGTAATTTATTTAAAAAGTTTACTTAGCTCACTGTTCTGTAGGCTGTGAAGTTCAAGGGCATGGCTCTGGCTTCTGGTGAGAGCTTTCATACAGCATCAAAATATAGCAAAGAAGGTCAACAGGGAAGCAGACATGTACAAATGGGAAAACCTGAGGCCATCCTGCTTTAAGACAACCCACTCTCTCAGAGACTAACCCATTCCCATGAGAACTAATCCAGTCTCCTGAGAGCAGGAATGAATTCACCATGACAACAGCACCAAGCCATTCATGAAGAATCTGATCCCATAACCCGAACACCTCCCACTAGACCCTACCTCCCAACACCAAAACATTAGGGATCAACTTTCAACACAAGTTTTGGTGAGGACAAACAAACCACATCCAAACCAAAGTGTTCACCCTTCAATGTAAGTCCCTAATATGTAACATATGCACTCTAAGGTGTGTTCTTTGCCAGAGAATAAAAGGAGGCTCTAAATCTAACTCCCTCATTACAACAAACATTATAGCCAGAACGATTTGCCAGAAATGTTCAAACAAGTCAGTTTGTTGGTCCATATGGCCTCCCCAGCCATGTGGAACTGTGAGTCAATTAAACGTCTTTTCTTTATAAATGACCCAGTCTTAGGTAGTTCTTTACAGCAGTGTGAAAATGGACTAATACAGAAAATTGGTACCAGGAGTGGGGTGCTCTTACAAAGATACCTGAAAATGTGGAAGCAACTTTGGAGCTGGGTAATGGGCAGGGCTTGGAAAAATTTGAAGGGCTCAGAAAAAGACAGGAAGATGTGGGAATGTCTGGAACTTCCTGGAGACTTGTTGAATGATTTTAACCAAAATGCTCATAGTGATACAGACAATGAAGTCCAGGCTAAGGTGGTCTCAGATGGAGACAAGGAAATTATTGGGAATTGGAGTAAAGGTCACTCTTGCTATGCTTTAGCAAAGAGACATTATGCCCCTGCCCTAGAGATCTGTGGAACTTTGAACTTGAGAGAGATGATTTAGGATATCTGGCAGAAGAAATTTCTAAGCAGCAAAGCATTCAAGAGGTGACCTGGCTTTTTCTGAAGGTGTACCGTCATATGCATTCACAAAGAGATGGTCTGAAGTTGGAACTTACGTTTAAAAGGGAGGCAGAACTTAAAAGTTCGGAAAATCTACAGCCTTACCATGTGGTAGAAAAGAAAAACCCATTTTCTGGGGAGAAATTCAAGCTGCCTGCAGAAAATTTGCGTTAAGTAATGAAGAGCATAATGTTAATTGCCAAGAGAATGGGAAAAATCTCTCCAGAGCATTCTAGAGATCTTTGCTGCAGCCCCTCCCATCACAGGCCCAGAGGCATAGGAGTGAAAAATGGCTTCGTGGGCTGAGCCCAGGGCCTTGCTGTTCTGTACAGCCTCAGGACATGGTGGGCACTCTGTTTCCCAGCCGTTCCAGCTCCAGCTGGGGCTAAAAAGAGCCAAGGTACAGCTCAAGCCATGGCTTCAGAAGGTGCAAGCCCCAAGCCTTGGTTGCTTCCACATGGTGTTGGGCCTGCAGCTGCACAGAAGACAAGAGCTGGGCTTTGGGAGCCTCTGCCTAGATTTCAGAGTATGGAAATGCCTGGATGTCTAGGCAGAAGTCTGCTGCATGCAAGGGCTGAGCCCTCATGGAGAACCTCTGCTAGGGTAATGTGGGGTTGGAGCCCCCATATAGAGTCCCCACTAGAGCACTGCCTAGTGGAGCTGTGAGAAGACAGCTACCATCCTCCACACCTCAGAATGGTAGATCCACTGACAGCTTGCACTATGTGCCTGGAAAAGCCAGAGGCACTCAATGGCAGCCCATGAAAGCAGCCATGAGGGCTGTACCCTGCAGAGCCACAGGAGCAGAACTGCCCAAGGCCTTGGGAGCCCAACCTTGCATCAGTGTGCCCTGGATGTGAGACATGGAGTCAAAAGAGATTATTTTGGAGCTTTAAGATTTAATGATGGCCCTTTTGGGTTTCGGACATGCATGGGGCCTGTAGCCCCTCTGTTTTGGCCAATTTCTCCCACTTGGAATGGGAGCATTTAGCCAATGCCTGTACCCTCATTGTATCTTGTAGGTAACTAACTTGCTTTTGAATTTATAGGCTCATAGGTGAAAGGGATTTATTTCCCTTGTCTCAGATGGGACTTTGGACTTGGACTTTTGAGTTAATGCTGGAATGAGTTAAGACTTTGAGGGACTGTTGGGAAGGCATGATTGTGTTTTGAAATGTGAGAAGGACATGAGATTTGGGAGGAGCCAGGGGTGGAATGATATGGTTTGGCTCTGTGTCCCCACCAAATCCCATCTCAAATTGTAATTCTCATATGTCGAGGGAGGGACCTGCTGGGAGGCGGTTGGATCACGGGTGTGGTTTCCCCTATGCTGTTCTCATGATAGGGAGTTCTCACAAGATCTGATGGTTTAAAAGTTTGTGGCAGTTCTCCCTTTGCTGTTTCTCTCTCCTGCTACCATGTAGGAAGGTGCTTGCTTCTGCTTCACCTTCTACTATGCTTGTAAGTTTCCTGAGGCCTCCTCAGCCATGTGGAACTATGAGTCAATTAAACCTCTTTTCTTTATAAATGACCCAGTCTCAGGTAGTTCTTTATATCAGTGCGAAAATGAACTAATACACTGCCCAACTGATTGACTCTCCATTTCATGAAAGATTTCTCTGCAGCATGCAGTGCTATTTGATAGCATTTTACCCACAGTAGAACTTCTTTCAAAATTGGAGTTAGTCTTCTCAAACTCTGACACTGCTTTATCTACCAAGTTAATATAAAATTTTAAATCCTTTGTTTTCATTTCAACAATGTTCACAGCATCTTCGTCAGAAATACATTGGGTCTCAAGAAACCACTTTCTTTACTCATCCATAAGAAGCAATTCTTCATGTGTTCAAGTTTTATCATGAGATTGCAGCTATCCAGTCACATCTTTAGGGTCTGTTTCTAATTCTCATTCTCTTGCTATTTCTTTCGTATCTGTCTCCACTGAAGTATTAAACTCCTCAAGGTCATACATTAGAGTTGGAAGCAACTTTTTTCAAACCCCTGTTAATGTTGACATTTTAACCTCCTCCCTGAATCATGAATGTTTTTCATGGCATATAGAATGGTGAATCCTTTCCAGACAGTTTTTAATTTGCTTTGCCCAGATCCATCAGAGGAATCACGATCTATGGCAACATCCTTACAAAATGTATTTCTTAAATACAACTAAAAAGTCAATCACGGCTGCAATCCCAGCACTTTGGGAGGCTGAGGAGGGCGGATCACAAGGTCAGGAGTTCGAGACCAGCCTGACCAACATGGTGAAACCCCATCTCTACTAAAAATACAAAAAAAAAAAAAAAAAAAAAAGAAAGAAATAGCCAGGCGTGGTGGCACATGCCTGTAATCCCAGCTACTCAGGAGGCTGAGGCAGGAGAATCGCTTGAACCCAGGAGGCAGAGGTTGCAGTGAGCTGAGATCGCACCACCGTACTCCAGCCTGAGTGAGAGGAAGACTGTCTCAAAAAAAAAAAAAAAAAAAAAGGTCGAATTGACTCTTTGATCCATGAGCTGCAGAATGGATGTTGTGTTGGCAGGCATGAAAACATTAGTTTCCTTGTATATCTCCATCAGAGCTCTTGGGTGACCAGGTGCATTGTCAATAAGCAGTAATATTTTGAAGGCAATCTTTTCCTCTGAGCAACAGGTTTCAAAATATTCAGTAAACCATGTTGCAATCAGATGTACTGGTATCCAGGCTTTGTTTTCCATTTATAGAGTACAGGCAGAATAGATTTAGTGTAATTCTTAAGAGTCTTAGGATTTTTGGAATGGTAAATGAGCACTGGCTTCAACTCAAAGATAGCATCAGTCTTAGCCTCTAATGAGAGTTAGCCTATCCTTTGAAGTTTTGAAGTGAGGCATTGACTTCTCCCCTCTAGCTATCAAAGTCCTAGATGGCATCTTCTTCCAATAGAGGGTTGTCTCGTCTATATGAAAACTCTATTGTTCAGTGTGGCCACCTTCATCAATGAACTTATAGCTAGATCTTCTGGATAACTTGCAGCAGCTTCTCCATTAGCACTTGCTGCTTCACCTTGCACTTTTTGTTTTGAAGACAGCTTCTTTTCTTAAACCTCATGAACCAATCCCTGTCAGCTTCAAACTTTTCTTCTGCAGTTTCCTCACCTCTCTCAGCCTTCATAAAACTGAAGAGAGTTAGGGCCTTGCTTTGGATTAGGCTTTCGTGTGAGGCAATGCTGTGGCTGCTTAGATATAGCCAGATTGCTAAAACATTCTTCATATCAGCAGTAAGACTGTTTCACTTTCTTATCATTTGTGTATTCACTGAAGTAGCACTTTTAATCTCCTTCAATAACTTGTCCTTTACATTCACAACATGGCTGTTTGGTGCAAGAGGCCTAGCCTTCAGCCTATCTCAGCTTTTAACATGTCACCTTCCTCATTAAGCTTAATCATTTCTAGCTTTTGACTTAAAGTGAGAGACAAGCAATTGTCCCTTTCACTTGCACACACAAGGCTATTGTAGGGTTATTAATTGGGCTAATTTCAATATTGTTGGTTCTCAGGGAATAGGGAGGTCCAAGGAGCAGGAGAGAGATGGGGAAACTGCCAGTTGGTGGAGCAGTCAAAACACACACAACCACTTATCGATTAAGTTTGCTGTCTTTTATGGGCACGGCTTATGGTGCCCCAAAACAATTACAACAGTAACATCAAACATCACTGATCACCATGTCAGATATAATAATAAAAAAGCTTGAAATACTGTACGAATTATCAAAGTGTGACACAGAGACACAAAGTGACCATATGCTGCTGCAAAAATCTGCACCAACAGACTTGTTTGCTGCAGGTTTACCACAGGCCTTCAATTTGTAAAAAATGTAGTATCTATGAAGCATAATAAAGCAAAGTGCAATAAAATGAGGTATGCCTGCATACCTGCAAACTATAATAATTTAGATACATTACACTTTACATTTATATGTTTTTCTCTTCTAAGCAAAAGAAGCAATGCCAATTTGCATGAAAAAGCTTTAGAAATAAGGAAATTCTGTGAGCATCATAATCATCTTTCCCTCTGTACGGGGTGACATGTAGTTAACATCCAAACTGGGCATTGTTGAAAGGGAAAGAGGACGTTATCAATAATTCTGTTGGGGCAAACCAGGACTGACCTAGGCAAACCCATTTGACCTTCAGCCCATATTACAATCATGCTACGTGGGAAAACACTTTCCCTACGTGATCTCTTTCATCCTAATCACCTGATATACACATAACAATGACACCTCTCCTTTCTTTCACTGACTCAATTTAATCTCTGGATCTAGCTGAATAGCTAGAGATACATCTTTGAGCTATAATGTCTGGCGAAGGGCTTCTTCTTCCTCACTTGCTCCAAGGTCACATACTCTAAACGGTTCTCACGGGGATCTATTCTTTGCCATTTTGTCTATGGCTTGCACAAAGGGATGTTTAGAAACCCGTTGTTTATTTTCCTCAACAGAACGCCATAATCCCAAATGATGAAATCTGGAAAAATCAAAATCCTTAAAGTCTAAAATCCCAAAAGATCAAAATCCTGAAAATATAATTCTGGAAAAAATAATTTAAAAATTCTTTAAAAGATATTTCTGTACATTTTTAAAAGGGAATTTGAGAAACATACAAAAACATGATAGAACATTTTATAAGCCACTTTACACAATAAAATAGACAATAATAAGATATACATTTGTGCAAGCACAAACACTCAGGTATACTAATGACAGTCACATGGGCATAACAGTTAGAAGCAGACAAACCTTATTCATAAAGAGGTCAAAGGAACTGTATAAATGCATATCACTAAGGATGGTAATGGTGTGCAGCCAGCGGTATAACTGTGTTCCTCTGAAATACCATGGCAAACAACCTAAGCCTTTTCACAAGATTGCTCAAAAACCATGATGGGACACCACCACCACATACACAGTCCCTAGAGCCAAGATCTTGAGAACTTTTATCTTTCACAAACACAGATATATAAAAAGGACATCTTTTCATTTGTTGAGGAACTGTCGGTGTTTTTACATACACGCACAATGCTAATACACAAAGCCAAATTTGTGATAATGCACTTTGTGGAGTCAGATTTGCAAAAAACACATAAAGTGAATTAGAACTCTAAAAGGCTTTACACCATCTACACCTCCAGAATTGGAAATGATGTGCAGATGAAATACATAGCATAGAGTGAATTGTAAAAACAAAGCTGACAATTTAAAATTGTGAAAAAAACTGAAAAGAGAGAAAGAAAAAAACTAAAAAAGAAAATCAGACAAATGAAAGATTATTACAGGGATAGATTATGAGCAACTGAACAGAGACAGTCCATTAGAGCAGGCCGACTTTCACAATCATTACCTATATTTTGATTTCTTGCATCACGATGAATAGCTGCTTTTTTTCTTTTAAGACATGGCTCTCCTTGGAGAATACATTCACATTCATTTTCAATGTGGTTCTGATCTTTTTGAAACTCTTCTATGATTTGATATAAACTGACATGAGCATTCCTTATTAAATTTTTGCAGCCAGGCGCAGTGGCTCATGCCTGTAATCCCAGCACTTTGGGAGGCCAAGCCAGGTGGATCACTTGAGGTCAGGAGTTCAAGACCAGCCTGGCCAACACGGTGAAACCCAATCTCTATAAAAATACAAAAAAATTAGCCAGGTGTGGTGGCACGTGCCTGTAGTCCCAACTACTTGGGAGGCTGAGGGAGGAGAATCGCTTGAACCTGGGAGGTGGAGGTTGCAGTGAGCCAAGATCACGCCACTCACTCTAGCCTGGGCAAGAGAGTGAGACTCTGTCTCTAAATAAATAAATAAATAAATAAATAAATAAATAAATTTTCCTGTCTTATGCCATGCTTCTATGTTATTTTGGGTAAAAGGAAATCCATTCCACATGGACCCATATACAGAACATAAATCTGGTGGAAACAATACTGGTGGTTGAAGAGCAGCACCATTTCATGTCATCTTATCCTAACACGCACATGATTATTTTCAAACCAGTCAGTAACTTTATTGGCTTCTTCAGGCAAATGCAGCTTTAATTTATTAAAAGCTCCTGGAATGTTGTAAGTTGGAAGGAATGCCAATGCAGGCAAATGATGTATTTTTAAAGTGAGGTTTTCGGATTTCAGTGTTGCCAAATTATGTAGCCAACCCGCTCATCTGAATTTTCCGCCAAATGCACTGGGCTGAATGGAAAAAATAAACTTTATTGGTAACATCTTGAAATTTACTTTAGATGCCTTCATCGCACCTAACTCTATATCTGTGTTTGAGGATTCGATTACAATCCATTTTCTTTTGCAAAGTCCTCCAAATCTTCAAATAAGTATATATGAACTGCTTCACATTTTCCAGTCATTAATACATAAAGGAGGGAATAAATTCTAGAATTTGTGGATCCAACAGGGGCATAAATTCTATGTAGTTGATAAAAAAAAAAAAAAAGCAGGGATAGTTTTGAAAGTGCCATCCATTAGCCAACGTAAAACATGTGCTGATTTTTCTATATCAGACTTAGAGGTAAATATAAGAAGTCTGTCTTCTTTGACAGTCAAATCACTAATCAAGAATAGGTCACCATTTAATGTTTTTTTGTGACACTAGAGAAACCTCAATATCAGCAAGTGTCTTTGGTTCAGGAGGTCCCTGGGCTTGTTGAATTCCTTTTATTCTCTGATGAAGGGCATTTTTTTGAAGGCAAATATAGCGTTATGTGTGAAGGGGTAGAAGTTGTACATGACAGCATAATTTGGCAGAGAAGATTTCTTGTATTTTTTGCCAGTATTTTCACTTCTATGATCTTCAAAACACTCATTACACTTGTATTCTGAAAGTGATTGTGGTCTACAAATTTTATAAGTATATGCTATCCATTTGAAAGTCTGGTTATTGCCAGCTGTTGCAATTAAGCAATTTTCTGCTTTCAAAGCACCAATAATAATTAGCTTTAAAATTTTTATCTTTCACCATTAGGTAGCCTCATACACTTAACTTATCATAGTCTTTTTTTAGAGGGAACAATATCACAGATCTCTTCCATTGTGCTGTAAGAAATACGGTAAGAAGGAATAATATTTGGCTTCCCCAGTGGCAAATCTGTATTAGTCAGAGTTCTACAGGGATACAGAACCAATAGGATGTGTATATAGATATATGAGAGGGGATTTGTTAAGGGGAATTGGCTCATGCAATTATGGTGGCTGAGAAGTCCCACGACAGGCCATCTGCAAGCTGGAGACCCTAGGATGTCAATGACCCTAGGAGCTTTCCAGCTCAGGCTGAAAGCCTCAGGACCCAGGGGGCTCCTGGTGTATGTCCTGGAGTCCAAAGGCCAGCAAGCCTGGCGTTCTGATGTCTAAGGCAGCAGAAGATAAGTCTGTCTCAGCTCTTAGAGAGATACCAATTCACTTTCTTTATCTGTTCTCTTCCAGCCTCCAGCCAGCTGGATGTTACCCACCAATACTGAGGGCAAATCTTCCCTATCTACTCCACTCAGATTCACACACTATCCTCCTCTGGAAACACCCTCACAGACACACCCAAAATAATGCTTTCCCTGGTTTCTAGGTATTCTTCAATCTAGTCAAGCTGACACCTATAATTAAGTCCACAAGTTCACCCCTTGTTAACCTGGCATCCATATGCACCTCCTTAAACCATACTTAATTTTTAAATAAAGATTAAAGTGATAGTTCCACCTAACATGATTTTACTATCCTGTGATTGGAATTTTCGGGCCTTTGGACATTAGGGATTCTAGACTTTAGGAATTTTGATCTTTTGAGACTTCAATATTTGGGACTGTGTCTTTTGGGATTATGATCCAAACCCCCTTTAAAAGGACAGTGTTGCCAATTACAACAGCTAAGGCCCCAATGCTCCCTCCTGAGTACTAACAGGTTGTGCTTCCACCACACTGGACAAAGTAAGATGGGCTGTTTAAAATGATGAGCCTTTATCTGATTATGCTTAAAGACTACTTGCTGGGCCTATTCCTACAATTCCCTGGTTCTAAAGGAGGGTATAATTTCACTGAGGAAAAATGACTGAACAGAAATTCCAAAGCATTACCAGTGGCGAGAGCAGCTTTTAGCTCTTGAGATAGGTTACAGACTTTGCATTTTCCCCTCTAAAACAGATCTACCCAAATAAAAGTACTTTTGACAGTTTCTAAACCTCAAACACACCATATACCTTTGTTTATATTTCAGAAAAAGGAAATAAAATATCAGTAGATGTGAGCTTTTTGTTCTTATATCTTTTCATCTGGTTCTATTGCCCTTTTTACTATAATGATATTTTAAATTCATTGAGAAATGTCTAAAACCAGCTAATATTAAAGATCATTTCTGCATAGATTAATCTGACTGCATATACACTTGCTTCCTTTATTATTTTACTTAAATATGTGTGATCATTTGATTCACAAGTGTTATCACAATAAATTTTAAGCTCCATGAGGGCATTGCCTGGAAACGTGAAGAAAGAATCCAGTGATTTACATAGTCAGTATAAACCATTTGGCCCTTTTTATTCTTCTAGGCTTGTAATATATATTAGGTTAAAAAAAAAGTTTTTTAAATGCCGGTTTAGAGGTCTCCAGGAAGTAAAATGTTTAATTATTAACCATTAGTGATGTTAAAATATTTATATGCCTTTTATTTCTACTTAATTGCAACTGGTGGAGAGTGATGGAGGCAGTACTTTACTTGGCATACAACAGCATTATCAGTTTATCTGAAAAAGTAAGATTTCAGACATATCCTTCTTCTGAGACCCTAGATGGATTTGTCTGAAGATCATTTGCGTTAATGCAATGTTTTTATCTTCAGCCACTACAAATGAAAGAAAGTCTATGCTTCAAAGTGGAATTAAAAATATATATATATCACATAAGTTACTACCATAAAAAAAAACCCTGCCACTCTTACATCCATCTTAAGTGCTTTGTAACACACTTTGGTTAGAGGTGGAAAGTATTGCATTTCCATATCACTTTGTTTCTTTGTGGGTATTTTATTTCCACTTCGCAGCTCAAAGCAAAATAGTGGGAAATGATTCAGATGAACAAGCAAATGAATGTTTTATAATGTGGAAGACACTTGTATTCGTGATTTTACCTGATCTGTCCACGAACCAGCGGTCTGTTCTTTGTCCTATTCATGTTTGAGTCAAATGGCACCTCAAAAAACTGTAAAAAGAATGAAAAAAGACAGAAAACATTAACTATAAAACAATTCTTTTCTTCCGCTTTAGTACTGAACATTTTTTCTGTAGTAAACTTCATTTTAATTTCGATAGCATAAATCAATACCCTGGCACTTCTTGAAGAAAAATTCCAAAAAAACAAACAAACAAACAAAAAACCAAAACAACAACAATAATTTGCACTAGGTGTCAGGAATATCTACTTTTATCCACTTTGAAAATCACCTGTTAAACATACAAGTAGCCAAGTCCCTTGGCATATGCAGACAATTGGCTCTAGGACCCCCCATGTGTGGATAACCAAATCCACACATACTCAACTCCCGCAGTAGGCCCTCCAGAACCTGCCTATGAGAAAATGTGGTCCCTCTTTAAGTTCAAGTTTCACATCCTGCAGTCTGTGTTTGGTTGAAATAAATCCACGTATAAGTGGACCCACACAGTTCAAACCCATGTCATTCAAGGCTCAACTGTATAGTTTCAGGTTTGAAGCATTAGCGTTGTAAATAATTTCAGAATCTTTCACACAACCCAAAGCCTGAGAATCAACCAAGAATCAACTGACCCTGGGGAATGGGCTACTGATGTAAAGAACCAGGGCTGACGTAATTAAGATCTCAGAGATCTCAGATGAAACTGAGGTTATACTGCAATGAAGGTAATCATCCTATTCTGCCCAGGATAGTTCTAATTTACATCTTGGTGCCAGCATCATTAACAGCAACCTCTCTCACTCTGAAAGCATCCTAGCTTGGACAATAGATTGGTATGGTCATCCTAACAATGAAGTACAGTTTTAATTGTTTACCTATTAAAAGACAAGGCCCAAGGTATTATCAAAACTAATTTTCCAAAGCCTTGACAAACTGTACAAGTATGTTCTTAAATTTGTTATTAATGTCTCTTACTTGTCTCCTTTTTTGGTAAAACAGAGTACTCAAAAAATGTGCTGATTAGGTTATTATTTAAGAAATCTTTGACTAAATGGGCTAGAACCAAATCAACAGACGAAACAATAATTCAATGGAAGGCTGAAGTCAGTACTTCCCCAGCTATGTTCCCTTACCATCCCCGGAGATGCTCCCAGGAAGAACGACTCTATGGTCAAATCATATGAGCACAATAAAATCTCTGAGAAATCCCAAAGTGAAGAAACCAAATTAACCTTACTTTAGGCAGTGTTTCCCAAATTTATTTCACCATGAAACCTTTTTTCAAGAGAAACGTAAGTAACAGATTTCAGAAATTCCTGGTCTGACTAGATTTGAGTGGCAGGGATCATTTCTTACTTATGTCTGTATGAATCATAGCTCTTTGTAGAGTGTGTTGTACTCAATATGTGTTCTATAAATATTAGAAAAAAATAAACACTAGTGCTAAAAAGACAAATAAGTGACATTCTATTTTATTGTACTTTTACAAGTCATCTAGTATGATTTACTAAGAAGTATATGTTAAAAATGAAAGAAAATTTATTCTGAACTATTTGAGAAATGTAGAATTTTTCCCCATAAGTTTGGGACATCTGGTAAGTTGTGTTCCCTTTAATTTTGTAAAAAACTTTGACATATGTTTCCTTTCCCCATATCCTATACTACAAACTACCTACTTTTAATTTTTTTTTTACGATGTCTTAGTATTCCTAAACACAATGACATTTTCCAATACGATTATTTATTTTTTTCTTTCTTCTTTTCAGGTTACTATAGTCACTTCACTCACAAACTCTGAGTAGTTACCCACAGTGAGGATTCCCTGTCATTCATAGTAAGTATCTACTAGCCCTAGTCCCTCACACTTGGGTCATAATGACCATCCAGTTACAGCTCATTTAACCAATGGTCAGGTACCTGTGATTCATAGACCTTTAAAATAAAACCACATACCAATAATGATAACCACCACTATCCCCACAGCATTAAGAGAGCATTTGTCATCTGTAATTATAAGAATAAAAGATATTCTTCTCTTGATGGCTAACCTTTATGAAGGATGGGCTACACATGTTAAGCATTTTACATGCATTGCAAAAGGAACTGTCTACCAAGCCTGAGTTTTCAGAGCTTCCTGGGCACTGCTGCAGCCCAAGAGTGTGGCCGTAGTCAGAGTAAGAAACTAAATGTCAGGAGTCTGTATTGCCTCACCTGCTCTACCTGAGGCCATGGCTGCATGAGAAGACCCCAGATTAGGAAATGGCAGTGCTCACTCTACAGGTGGCTTTTTTGAATTGGTTTCTGTTGGAAGCAACTGTGGCAGTTGCAGTTTTTATCGACTGCAGCATATTCCACTTAATGGATATACCATAAAACCAATCCCATAGAGATGAACAGGCAGGTTGTTTTTCATCATTCTATACGACAAACATCCCTAAACATGCATCTGCATATGTGTGCAATTATTCTTACAGGATAAATGCCTAGAATGTTCCCCTCCTTTTGAAAACAGTCCTGCCTTGACTTGAATACACTACTTAAAAGGGGTTCTCCTAATTCTACATTCTCTCAGTGCTCCTCTTTAGGCTCATTATTCAGTCCATACAATTTCCTTAGTGTCTACTACACACCATACAATGGGGATACAAAAGTCAGTTAGATTCAGAACCTGCTTTCAAGAAGTTCTTACTCTATGCAGTATGCAGGTGTCGGCAAACTGTAGCTCATGGGCCAAATCCAGCCTGTACCTGTTTTTAAGGCGCACAAGCCACTGTCTTTTTATATCTCCTTAATAATTGGGAAAGTAAGTTAAAAGAAGATTATTTGTGGCATGTGAAAATTATATGAAAGTAAAATTTCAGTGTCCATAAACAAAGTTTTATTGGAATTCAGCTACACTCATTTGCCTTAGTATTGCTATGGCTGCTTTTACACAGCAGCAGAGCCGGGTAGTTGCAACAGAGACCACATAGCCCACAAAGCATAGAATGTTTACTGTCTGACTCTGCGGAAAATGTTTGCCAACCCCTAATCCACTAGAAAGACTGAGACAAGAGAACCCGGTTAATTATAATCACATGTGCAGTAGAAGGACAGAGTTGTGCAAAGGATTATGGGAGTCCAGAGAACGGGCTCTGAACCCAGCTAGGGAGACAGAAAAGGGCAAGGATGATTTTCCTCAAATACTCTTCAAGGGAAGCTTAAAGGCTGAGCAGGGCTAGATGGTTAAGGGCATAGGGTAGGAGGGACAAGCACTCCAGACACAGAAGAAGCACAAACAAATGCGTAGGAGGCAGAACTTTGATGAAATGCTGGAGTACCTAGCAGAAGTTCAACACAGCAGACTGATTAAGAGCCTAGTCTTGTAGCTAGAGAAATTAGGGTTAAATTTCAGATTTAGGCCGGGCACGGTGGCTCACGCCTGTAATCCCAGCACTTTGGGAGGCCAAGGGGGGCGGATCACGAGTTCAGGAGATGGAGACCACCCTGGATACATGATGAAACCCCGTCTCTACTAAAAACACAAAAAATTAGCCGGGCGCGGTGGCGGGTGCCTGTAGTCCCAGCTACTTGGGAGGCTGAGGCAGGAGAATGGTGTGAACCCTCCCGGGAGGCAGAGCTTGCAGTGAGCTGAGATTGTGCCACTGCACTCCAGCCTGGACCAGAGTTAAGACTCCGTCTCAAAAAAAAAATTCAGATTTACCATTTAATAGTGGCTGTGCAACCTGAGTAAACCTAATTTCTTCATCTGCAAACCAAAAATAATAATATATCACTTGTCAGGTGATGTAAGGATTAAGATAATGTACATAAGGCATGATGCCTGGCACACAGAATGTACTTACTGAAGATCAGTTTATTTGCTATTATCATGAGTGTTGCTGGATGGCTGGTGATGAAGCTCCAGAGGTAGACAAGGGTCACAGAGAGCCTCACGTGCCATGCTAATGTGCCATGACTCTGCTGTGTACGAGGTGTATTTTGGATTGATCCCTATGACTGCCACTTGGAGGATGATTTTGACAGAAAACATCGTAAAGAAGCCCAGGTAAGAGATGATGAGGGCCTGAACAAGGGCTGTGACAGTGGAGATGAAGAGGAAGCAACATCTCCCTTTCCCCCCAACACAATGAGCCTTACCCAAAGTGCAGACCCTAGCCTTCTGTGTTCACTCTCCTATCTTTTGTTTTCTTTTTTTTTCTTTTTTTTTTTGAGATGGAGTCTCACTCTATCGCCCAGGCTGGAGTGCAGTGGCACAATCTTGGCTCACTGCAAGCTCCGCCTCCTGGGTTCACGCCATTCTCCTGCCTCAGCCTCCCAAGTAGCTGGGACTACAGACACCCACCACCACACTCGGCTAATTTTTTGTATTTTTAATAGAGACAGGGTTTCACCGTGTTAGCCAGGATGGTCTCGATCTCCTGATCTTGTGATCCATCTGACTCGGCCTCCCAAAGTGCTAGGATTACAGGCGTGAGCCACCGTGCCCGGCCTCACTCTCCTATCTTTCAATAAAACCACTACGTGTGCAGCCCCATCTTTCTCCTGGGCTCCAATTCTGTAATGTCACTTGATTGCTGTTTTTTTTTTTTTTTTTATGTAGATGTTTTAACATCACAAACTCAATGTGTCTCAAATTGAATTCAACACATTTCCACGAAAATCAAAGTGCCTCTCCAGATTCTTTTTTTGTTAAACATACAACTTCTCTATAACCCATGTCAAAATCTTTAGAATCGGCTCTGATTTCTTCCATGCATTGGCCAACTATATCTAATTCATCACCATATCCTGATTATTTGGACTTCATAATATTTCTCAAATCTACCCTTCCTGGTTCACTCTACTATTGCCACTACTATAGAAACATCATCAAATTACTTGCTCAAAAACATTTAATGGACTTCTCACACTGCTCATTCCCAATGGACCCTGAAAAGTCCAAATTCTTTGAAAGTTATTCAAAGGCTATCACTAATCTAGCCCTAACGCTACTTTCAAGCTTCTCAATTACTTTATTTGTATCCCCTGGTCACACTCGCCACTATCTCAGGAACAGAGCAAACTGCCCAAGGGAGTTGGAGACTCAGCCAGTTTCTGACCCTGGGGTTGAAGAAAATAATATCGGAAGCCTTAGTTTCCTCAGCGGCAAATGGGAATAATTTCTCCAACAATTGAAGTTACTATGAGGATCTGAAAAGACAGTGTAAGTGATGGACTGTAGCACATCATGCACTTCTGCTCATTTCTCACCTATGTCTGCATCCGTTGATTAGACTGATGTTCCTTGAATCTTCACTTAACAAACCCAACCCATCCTCTTAAAACTAAGTTCAAATTAAAATACCTAAACTGAAGCCTAAACTTCTGACTTAAATGTTATCCCTCTCTCCTTTCAATCCCCATGGCACTTGTCTGAACCACTTAGAGGTGTGTGGTTGCAATTTATGTGAATTCATATAAATTGCAAATAAAACAAACACTCATCAAGAATTACATAATTTAAAAAATAGCAGGTCAAGTGAATAAATCTTTTATAATTTTACAACATAGCAATGTCACTCTAGTCGGTATATAAAAACACAGATTATCCATTGTTAGAGCCAATCTCTTTTTAACAGTCATAACTTCATTAAGGTATAATCGACATGCAAGAACCTACACATAGTTAAACTATTTACTTTGGTAAGTTTCAACTTATGTATTTACCCATGAAACGCCCACCAATCAAGATCCTGAACATATTCAAATCACCCCAAAATGTTATGTCATGTTTCCCTGTAGTCCGCCTCTTCCACCCAACTCACAAGCTTCTTGTCCTCAGGCAGCCACTGAATTGCTTTGTGTCCCTAGAGTACTTGCATTTTCTAGAGTTTTATGTAAATAAAATGGACTCTTTTTGTCTGAATTTTTTACACTCCGAATAATAACTTTTGATATTCATCATCTTGCAGAGGGTTTCAATAGTTCATTCCTTTTTATCGCTGAGTAATATTCAATTATATGGTAGTATCGCAGTTTGTGCATCTTTTTACTTGCTGATGGATATTTGGTTTTTGGATGGATATCTGGTTAATGGATATCTGAATATTTCTAATAGTTTTTAACTATTACCAAAAAGCAGCTATGAACATCTGTGTGCAAGTCTTTGTATGGACATATGCTTTTCACTCTCAAAGCTAAACACACATATATCATATAGTTGAGGTGTTTAAACTACTTAGGAAACTGTCAAACTATTTCACGAAGTGGTTGTGCCACTTTTTCATTCCCACAGCAGTATATGAAAGTTCCACTTCCAGGTTTTGGTCATGTTATGTGGTAAGGACAAAGTGTTTGCCAAGGACAAAGAGAATAGGGACTGGCTATCAGAAGAAAGTGGTTATAAATACCAGCAATGACCCTGTGATCAGTTGCAGAAATGAGGACTAGAACAGTTATAAATGCTTTTTTCTTATTTTGATAGAACTGTATTTGTATACATGAATCAAACTTTTTATTCCTCTCTCCTATCCTCCTGCCATTTAATGTAAAATATGTTAACAGTATTTAGACTCATACTTCAGTATTTAAGTTATGCAATATCAAGGAGCTTGAAGAGAAATGAATGGCACCTAAAGATGAATAGAGACTTGTCTTCTCTTTTGGGGAGTAAATTAGTGATTTTTTGGTTGTAAGAGGGAAAGTTTTACTGTGTTTGGCATAAAACACGATTCTGCTATCACCTTATTTGGAAGTTTAGTACGGCTGAAAGATGTATCTGACTGCCAAGCTGACAAGGGTGAACCATGATGGCTCTGTGTTGTGTCAATTTAGTTAATCCAGAACTACATTGCCCAGAATCCCCTTTCTGTACAGTTTTAGGTTAGGGCTGGCCAAAAGAAGCTTACGTGAGATGTGGACGTTGGAAATGAAGCAGTAGCCATGCTTACACTTGGAAAATTGGCATAAGGTCAGGTACTACAGTGGAGCACACACAATTGTGAATCTGTTGGCTCACACTGTTGGCCTGGAGCAGTGCTGGGCCTGCAGCTTCTGTAGCTCCTGCCAGATATCCTTGGGTTGCAGCTGATCCCCGAGCTTTTCCAGCTTCTTATCATCCTGGGCCAAGTATGTGTGCTGCTCCTTGGTGGAACATACAAGCTCTTCTGTAGGTCATGTGCATCATCAAAGTCCGATGTTTAGAAGTGGCAAGGACAAGAGACAGCCACGTGGTCTAGTTTATTCTAATGAGTTTTAGGTGGTCCTCACAGATTCCAGGTTGTTCTTGCTCTCTTCTACTTCCCTTACAGATGGCTCTGCTTTTGTCAGGCCCAGAATTAGATACTGGGGCAACAGCCTCACAGATTGCTTAACTCAAAGGAATGCATAAGGTCTAACCCCTACATCAGCCTGATATGGTTTGGCTCTGTGTCCCCACCCAAATCTCATCTTGAATTGTACTCCCATAATTTCCACGTGTTGTGGGAGGGACCTGGTGGGAGAGAACTGAATCATGGTAGCGGTTTCCCCCATACTGTTCTTGTAGTAGTGAATATGCCTCACAAGATCTGATGGTTTGATAAGGAGAAACCTGTTTCACTTGGTTCTCATTCTCTCTCTTACCTGCTGCATGTAAGATGTGCCTTTCACCTTCCACCATGATTGTGAGGCCTCCCCAGCCATGTGGAACTGTAGGTGCAATTAAACCTCTTCCTTTTGTAAATTGCCCAATCGCGGGTTATGTCTTATCAGCAGCATGAAAACGGACTAATATACAGCCCTTATATCCTGCATAGTGGTTCTGACATTCTGATCAAACTTTGACTGATACAAACTTCTCTTACTTTCAACAGAGCCGCTGCTTAAAGGTATTTAGTTTTTCAGTATATTCATGTTATCTAACAATCTAAATGGCTGACTTCCTGAGATATGTGAATTCATAATTCTTAATGTTAACAGGAAATGGTATAGTAACATGCAAATAGGCACTCAATAAATAATTTATTTAATAAACCATCATTGCAAATAAACATACCTGCAGACTGCACTAAATTATTTTAAAATGATGTATAATTTATATAATGTGTTGAAAAATTATTAGCCTGTTAGAGTCCATATTCTTTATTGAATTAGTTGAAGTTACATGTAATTAAAAGGTTCTGCCTGAACATTCACATTCCTTCCCTTCCCCAATATTCAATGTGTAAGTATTTGGAATAATCTTTCCTCATGACTTGATATATGTACTTTAATTGAATTTCATGGGATGAAAGAGGATTCCAATTACAAATCAAGTGATTTAAATGCTTGTAAGGTGTTACCTAATTTAACAAATAAACTCGTGGTTAAGTAACTATCTTGGCAGTTCTCGTGTGTGTGTGTGTGTGTGTGTGTGTGTGTGTGTGTGTGTGTGTGTGTTAGTTCAGGAATTCTAATGCATCATTTCATCTGGATGAAAAAAGATACTGTCTTTTCTATGTTTCTAGCACATCATCCATGGAAGAATAGAAATAGATAGCAACTGGACTCCAGGATGCCATAACTTGGCAGCAGCATCTGACTCCCATGAATGCTTAAATTTTGCCGGACAAGCAACATCTGGGCAAAAATACCATGCTAACCAAGACTCATGGTTCATTTCAGTGAGGGCCCAGCAATTCTTCCTAGCACCAAGGGATCAGAACTCATGCTGCTACTTGATTCTGTTCTTCATGCATTTACTATAATGCTTTCAGTTAGGCTTACTGCATTGGTTTAGATACTTAAACCACATTTCCTAAACATAAAGCATTGTTTATTTCAATGAGCAATTTAAACACTTCAACAGTTATTTCAGAACCTATATACAGCTGGCTTTAGCCTACTCATTTTTTTTTTCCTGTGCTTTATAATAATTAGTTTTTCATAATGTTATCATTTTCAGTTGGTTCCAACTACTTCTGAAGCAGTGAAGTAAAAACAATGGCAACTTGTGCTGACAACAAAAGACAAATGCAGTAATATCAACCCTTAGAATATACTGTTTGGCCCCCTTTTTCATATACCCTCACTACTTCAGAGAACACTGAAAGTAATATGCTGTAGTAAACAGAATTTGGGCAGCTGTCCAGGTCAAGCTAATTCTGTCAGGGACCAGTCTTGTACTGCACCTGCCTTCTTCTAGTTGAAGGCTCTTGTTCACGGTCTCAAATGCTAAAGAATCCAGTACCTTACACTGCTCCTGGACACAGTGATTACTGAGTGTGTTATCTGATTCAAACTGGGCCAACTGAAACGTCTTTCCCTGGAACTATACAAACCAAAGCCCCAGAAAACATGCCCTCCTTTCTCTTAGTTGTCTATGAACACAGAATGGGATACAAGGGAAGTGAGGGAAAGGCTGGACATTAATTCCAATGGTCAGGTTACCTCCAAGGCCTCTGCCCTTTCCAGTTGAAATCAAACCTACAACGGTTTGACTCCTTTAACCTCCAACATCCTAATACACAAAGACTGTGAACATTTCAAACATTAATATTGCACGGAAAGGAATAACACCTTTTCTTCAGAAAACAACTTATTTTCTGACTAGGTTAAATTTTCAAAAGAGGTTTTCCTCTCAGTCTTTCTTCATAAAAATCCACCAATCTTTTAGAACTCTTTTCACTGTAAACTTTTTTTTCCTTTTTTTTTTGAGACAGGGTTTTACTCTGTTGCCCAGGCTAAATACAGTGGCACAATCACGGGTGGCTGCAACCTCTGCATCCTGGGCTCAAGGGATCCTCCTACCTCAGCCTCCCAAGTAGCTGGGACCACAGGTGCATGCCACCAAACCCGGCTAAGTTTTTGTATTGTTGGTAGAGATGGGGTTTCACCATATTGTCCAGGCTGGTCTCAAACTCTTGGCCTCAAGTGATCCACTCGCCTCAGCCTCTTAAGAGTGCTGGGATTACAGGCGTGAGTCACTGTGCCCGGCCGTAAACTTTTCCTTTTTTTCTTCAGGTTCACTTCCCCACCATCTCCCTTCCCAATCAGTCATATCCTCCCTCACATTTATTGCTCTCTGGCAATCCTGTGATCTGTTATAGTACTCAGGCTCTTGGGATTGCAAGTGATAGAAACACAACTCAAACTAGCTCAAAGGAAAATGGGGCTTTATTATTGCTTATAACAGGGTTGTACCTGCTTTCAGGAAGGACAAGATTCAGAATTTCAAATGATGCCATCATGACACCGGCTCCTCCCATCTCTTAAATTGGCTTGGTTTATTCCTGCATGCAGACTTTTTCCATGAAGCAGGCAAAATGACAACAGCAGTCCCTGCCTTCCACACTCCTAGCCACCCTAAAAACTAGTTTATTTCTGCTTAGCTCCAAGAGAAAAGTCCAGAACCATCACGGCCATGAATCATCATGGCCAAGGAATGAGGTGACTATCCTGTGAGCACGGGGAGGGTGCTGGTAGAGAGACACAAAGACACAGTATCGCCGCTAAAACACATATACTATTTTCTCCATAGCAAAGGAAAATTTTATTACAAAAAAGTGAGAAGATGCTCAGTAGACAGGTGCAGTTAAATTATTTATAATACACTGTAAAGCTAACCACTTCAAATCATTTCATTTCATATACATCATACCTACAAAATTACTTGCCTAGAGTAGAAAGGGTATTCCTAGTTTAAGTATCTGAAGGGCACTAATTGATATAAACATAGTAAGTATTTATATTAATCTTTGTCTCATAATTGGTTTGGGAATCAATGAACAGTTCTATTTAACAGAGTAGTAAATGGATCTTTCTTTTTCTCCTCATACTCACATGACAAAAATCTAGGGCATGATTATACCAATGGATAAATATCTATTAGACACCTATTATAACGTTTGTGCTTCCTTATTATACATATTTTTATGTTAGTGAATATTAATTTTAATATATTATAAATATATTGTTATATATGTTATAGACTAACAATACATTTTATATTATAAAATATAACGTTATATTTTAATATAGTATATATAATTACCTAGTAATATATTAAAATATATTATATTAATTCTAATTATATATTATCCAAATAGTTAATGCTCAGATACAAAATACACTTATTAATCTTCCTAACAGACAATATATACTTATGATACTATTGAACTCTGTGAGCCAAAATGACACAGATAACAAAAATGGATAGAAATACCACAGCCCAACTGATGTACTTCCTAGTCCTACTTTGATTAATTACATCCTATGCAAAAGGCAGATGTATTCTAGAGATGTCTGTAAGTTAGGCTCAGAAAATACTGAATTTGACAATAACTTTTTCTTCCCCTACATTAAATAATGGTCACAACATTCTTCTAGAGAGTCAACAGGAAAACAAACATGTGAACCTCGTGGGAGTTTGTTTTTCCATCCATCTTCTCAACGCTGTCAACAAGTGTTTGTCATTCCAATATGGCTCACAGCTTCCAGGGTTCAAGACAATGTCTCGATCAATCTCAGACCAAGTTAAAAGGGATGTTAAAAACAAAAAAAATAAAGCACAGGGAGAGGCACCTTATCCAGCAGGATTCCATGTGCCATTACTTTCAGCTTACAAATCAGTAAAGACACCCAGTCAGCCATTACTCTCTGGTTACCAATTCTCTGTTGCCTTACCTAGAATAAACAAACTAAGTAAGACTCCTTCCCATTGATTTTCCCCCATGAGGCATTTGAAATAATGAATGTGTGTGCTCTGGCATTCATCAGAAGTGGCTTTTCACCCAATGTGGTGACTGGGGCAATGTTCTCCTCTAAACAGATTACTCAGGCCCTCTCTCACTAGGCTGGATTTTAAGGCTTCATCCTTAAAGGAGAAAATAAAGGATCTAAAAGGTCACCTAGCACTTATCAGAGGCAAAGTACCACATCCTACAAGTAAAACACTCAGAAACTTAAACTGGTTTTTACTAGCTCCAAGAATCACTGTATGGAACTGACCCCTTTTTCCTTCCAGAGAGATCTCAGTTTGCAAGCAATGCTTTCTGAAAAAAGATGGAAGGAGAAAACATCAAAATATTTACAATCCTTGTCTCTGGATAGTGAGAGGGAAGCTGATTTACTATGCTTTACCTTTTTGTAATTTTCAACTGTCTATAAAGACCCTGTGTTTTCTTAAAAATTTTTTTTAAATTGTTTTAATTTTTATAGGTACGTAGTAGGTACATGGGGTACATGAGATATTCTGATACCGTCATGCAATGTATAATAGTCACATCATGGAAAATGGGGTATCCATCCCCTCAAACACTTATCTTTTGTGTTACAAACAATTCAGTTATACTCTATTAGTTATTAAAATGTACAATTAAATTATTATTGACTATAGTCACTCTGCTGTACTATCAAATACTAGGTCTTATTCATTCATCCTATTTTTTTGTACCATTAACCATCCCCACCACCCCACTACCCTTCCCAGCCTCTGGTAACCGTCCTTCTACTCTCTATCTCCATGGGCTCCATTGTTTTGGTTTTTAGATCCTATACATAAGTGAGAATACGCAATGTTTGTTTTTCTGTGCCTGGCTTATTTCACCTAACATAATGATTTCCAGTTCCATCCATGTTGCTGCAAATGATGGAATCTCATCCTTTTTAATGGTGGAATAGTACTCCACTGTGTATAAGTACCACATTTTCTTTATCCATTTATCTGCTGATAGACATTTAGTTTGCTTCCAAATCTTGACTATTATGAACAGAGCTGCAACAAACATGGGAGTGTAGATATCTCTTCCATATACTGATTTCCTTTCTTTTGGGTATATACCTAGCAGTGGAAGTGCTGGATCATATGGCAGCTCTATTGTTAGTTTTTTGAGGAACCTCCAAACTGTTCTCCATATTGGGTCTACTAATAATTCACATTCCCACTAACAGTGTACGAGGATTCCCTTTTCTCCACATCCTTGCCAGCATTTGTTATTGCCTGCCTTTGGATACAAGCCATTTTAACTGGGGTGAGATGATATCTCATTGTAGTTTTGATTTGCATTTCTCTGATAATCGATGATGTTGAGCATCTTCTCATATGCCTGTCTGCCATTTGTATGTCTTCTTTTGAGAAATGTCTATTCAAATCTTTTGCCCATTTAAAAATCAGATTATTAGATTGTTTTTCCTATAGAGAGTTGTTTGAGCTCCCTATACATTCTGGTTATTAATCCCTTGTCAGATGGGTAGTTTGCAAATATTTTCTCCCATTCTGTGGGTTGTCTCTTCACTTTGTTGATGATTTCCTTTCCTGTGAAGAAGCTTTTTAACTTGATGTGATCCCATTTGTCCATGTCTGCTCTGGTTGCCTGTGTTTGTGGGGTATTACTCAAGAAATCTTTGCCCAGGCCGATGTCTTAGAGAGTTTCACCAATATTTTCTTGTACTAGTTTGAGGTCTTAGATTTAAGTCTTTAATCCATTTTGATTTGATTTTTGTTTATGGCAAGAGATAGGGGTCTAGTTTCATTCTTCTGAATATAAATACCCAGTTTTCCCTGCACCATTTATTGAAGAGATAGTCTTTTCCCCAGTGTATGTTCTTGGCACCTTTGCTAAAAATAAGTTCATTGTAGGTGTGTGAGTTTGTTTCTGGGTTCTCTATTCTGTTCCATTGGTTTACGTGTCTATTTTTATGTCAGTACCATGCTGTTTTGGTTACTATAGCTCTATACTATAGCTTTGTATACTATAGCTCTTTGGTTACTATAATTTGGTCAGGTAATGTGATTCCTCTAGTTTTGTTCTTTTTGCTTAGGACATCTTTGGCTATCCTGGGTCTTTTGTGGTTCCATATAAATTTTAAGATAGTTTTTTCCATTTCTATGAAGAATGTCATAAGACCATGTATTTTCTAGTCAGGAAAAAAAGATAATAAAAAAATTCTACCAAAATGATACAAAATATGGCAGACCCTCTTTAGGTAAACTAATAAAGTATTACTAAAGTGAGGTAATATAAAACCAACATTAACGGAGCCTTAGTCAATTAGAAACTTTCTTTTCTCCAGAAAGTCGGAGGAAGGCAAAATGTTGATCCAAAATATTTCTCAAATACACCCATTTTTTATTCCTATCATCAGTGCCACTTCCTTAATTCAGGCTATTTTATTTTGCCTAGATTACAACAGCCCCCTGACTACTTCCCCTACCTCCAGTATTGATCCTCCCCTAGTAACTTTTCACAGAATAGTCGAAGTGATCTTGTCAGATGCAAATCTTATCATGTTACTTTCTAGCATAAAACCCTTCCATGGCTGTCCACTGTCCAAGGAATAAAGTTAAATGCTCTAACACGGCTTACAAAGCTCTTCATAACAGCTCTTGCCTCCTTTTACCTCTCTAGGCTCTTTTCTTTCTTGTTCTTTACCTCTTTCATGCTGTACTCTAAGCATTCTGAGCTACCTTCGGTTTCTCAAGGAAAACATGCTTTCAGGTCTTCACTCACTCTACCCCATGGCTGTCAAGACCCATCACAGCATTGAAACCACATCTACAACTACACAGGGCTTATTAGTTTTTGCCCTAATATTCTACTTTTCTCTGTGCATGTGCCTAAGCAGTGGAGCTATGCTGGAAAAAGACACCTTATAGGACAAGAGGATTCATTACAAGTACACAACCACAAACTTCAAATGTGCTCTCTAGTCAACTCAATCTGCTTCTCTCCACAAGGATTTCATATCTGGTCCACTCTCAAGAATCTGATGTTTCTACACAGCGCCCCCACCCACCCCTCCCTGCCCCTCCACACACACCTATAATACAGGGCACAGCCTTCTACTTTATTGAACACTGAAGTCCTCAAACAGGACACTCCCTCCTTTTCCTACTATCATCCCTACCAGTGTGTACAGCCTCTTCTCTCCTAACTTTAGGATTACCTAAGGACTGGTAATCCTGTCCCCTTCCACTTTCTAGGAAATTTATTCCATCAATTACCCTTGTCTGTATAGCACGTTTAGCCTGTTGTCTTCTAACTGTATTATTCCCATTTGTACCTAACTGTGCTCAGTTTTGCCCCATCCCAACCCCTCTCCCAAATTCCACAAATCTCACAGCATCATTATTTGATTTTAGCACAAGGTTAGCATTTGGGAGAGAGAAAAAGAAAAAAAAGAAAAAGAAAAGAAAACTTTGAGCTCACATCGTAGCCAGCATATTTAGTTAACGGGGGTATCCAGGGTGGAGTTAAGCTCTTTCTAAAATCTCCAAATAAGCTCAAAGGAATTTCTACTCTAACAGCTGCCAACGGCTACAATTCCATCTTTGCAAAAACTGTTTTAAAAACTGTTCATTCTTAAGGCCAGTTTTCAAGAACAATAAATAAATGTATTAAAGCTCACTAAAAACTTCTAACGTTAACAGACTATTTAGGTTGCAAAATTAAAAGAAAACCAAACACCTTTCAAACTAGGACTTAAAAGATCAGAAAATTTTTCATCCACTAGTGCTCCTTCACCACAATCTAATATGAATACAAGACTTTCATAGTTAATAAATCCTTGCAGATCCCCTCACAATTATAATACAAAATAGGCATGCTTACTGACAACATTAACAAGGAGAAAATAATGTGACAACAGTATGACCCTGGAATCCATTCTCTAAAATACTACAGAGTCGAAAATGCCATCATTTAAAAACAAACAAACAAAAAACAAACAGAACATGAACATTTACTGCAGAAAAATGATGTACTCAAAAAGAAAAGGTTATACCACATACTAATCAATAAAATTGGCAAATCTACAGAGGTCCAAACACAGTTATAATATACATCTGGTCACAACACGGTGGGGGTGGAGGCCAGAGAAATCATTAAGCAACCCGAGAACTCCCAAACAAAGAAACTGTAAAATTCTGAACTATAAAGCAAAGGAAACACATTAATCCCTCAGGAGTTGCAGTATTTCAGCTGGGTTATCCCTTCTCTTGGAAGGACACAACAATTCACCAAAACCTACAGTGACACAGTATCTGCACTGTACGCTTGTGGGCACAAAGCCAACTTGCTTTAGCACTCCTGACACCTGTTGGCTTAATCATCAGCAAAAGCAAGACTCTATACAACAGAGAGAAAGGGAAGGAGGGAAACAGAAAGGGGGAAACCAGGGGCAATAGGGAGAAAATACGTCTCATCCATTTTGCCTATCAGAGAACACAGAGTACACCTTTAAAAGACAGTTGCATATGCTTTTGATAATGTTCAACGTGTTGAAAATGTTCAATAACACCCTGAAAGATTTACACGTTTCCTCTAAGATTACAGTTTGTTTTTGAACTTCAGATCCTACCCAAATGACAAGAGAAGTGATTTGGTCAGAGAGGAGATAATAGCTTTCTACTATATTACCTAAGCAAAGCGACTTGAAACCTCTCTTTAACGACTCTGTTTGTTCCATCTCTGAGATGCTGTGTTGGGAGTACAAGCAATTATAGTGCATTTCAGCTTAGGTAAAATTGCTCTACTGCCCATTTTCTCCACAATCCTGAAAGACTTTCTTATCAATTCCATAAATGTATTTTAAAGTAACTTAAAAATCTTCATGTTTAAAGAGTATATGTTTTCAAGCAAATACATAACAAAATGTGCTTCTTTATACATTTCAATGGAAGAAATTGGAATGATAAATGAAAACAATGACTATCCTATTAAAATAATAATAAATAGTAAATAATGGTATTTGCATTAAAGGATAAAATCAGTACCCGAAATACACTGGGACATTTTCAAAGAGGTCTTAAGAAGACAACACGGGAAATATGCATCTATAAGACAGTTGTTAATTTGAATACTCCTGACAGCTTTTTACAACTGTTCCTAGCTTTTCTTTCAACCTGATTACTGGCAATGCCTTTATATCTAATGGTAGAGTTGGACCATCCACATGATAGAGGGACCTAGAGTTCCTTTGCTGAAAGATGTAAAAAGGCTGAAAATTCTTATAGCAGGGTAAGACATTTGTCATGCACAGTGGATAGGATATTGGGTAATTCCCCAGAACCCTGAAAAACTGAAGTACATAGCTTCTTTCCTGAGAGGCCAAACAAAAACCTGTAATGTGTTGCAAGCACAGTCACCATGTCCTGAAAGAGTAATACATGATCTTACCACCATAAAGAATGAAAAAGATAACAATGTGGTCCATCTATGGAAGAAAAGATTTGATATACACACAAAATATTTTCAGTTCTCTTTTTAATAGCAAACTGGGAAGAAATGTTTGCTTTTCTATACATAGATAGAAATTCCAAATTATTAAGAGTTTCCAATAAAGAAAAGATATAATAGAGTTCAATGGTTCATTTTGAGTCTTTCAATGGTGCTTTATTTTTAAGGAAAAAAAGAATTAGTTAAAAATGGCATAAAGGGAATTTATTTCTAACTCTTCTGCCAAATACCAATTTAACTCAGAAAGCAGGCAAATATTTTTAAATGCTCATAAATAACAGTAGTTGATGTGTGACTATGATTTTATTAGCATAATTATGCAGCTTTAGATAAATGGCATTTGGTCATTAAATCCCAATATTAAGAGAATTACAATAGATTATGTATTTATCGGCTGTCTGCCTGTGTCACAGTTTTCTGTCTCAGACACAATTCTTAAAATCCAGAAATACATATGATTTTTCCGTGTCTGCACAACTATCTGTGTAAAGTAGCATCTAGTTTTCTGACAAATATGAGTTAAAGGAAGAGTGTTAATGTCTTAGTAAAATACTTCCAAAAAGAAAAGGTTTTAATTTTACTAACTAGATTTGAGTCTTGAATACTAGTTTCTGGCTAGTGGGAGGGCAGGTTTTCTAATAAAGAGGCGCTTACTCCTTATTTGAGTGACAACAGTGCAGGTGGGCTTGACATAAGCAATGACGATGTTAAAATCATGATGAAAACCTGATCCCGGAGAAATTTTGAACAACACTTCAAGACAGAAAAGACATTTTAAAACTTATGTGAGTACATTTCCAATCAGAGATTTTACTTTAGAAATGTCATATGGACCACAATTCTCTATTTAGTACAATTCTATATTTAAAAAATCTTCCAGATCATATACTGCTACTCTTATGCGAGGCAGTGAAATTCTAAATTATATGTGGCAAGATGAAACATTAAACAACAATCATTACCACAACAACAGAATTCATAACAAATGAAAAGGTAAATGGACTCTTTAAATATAATGAAATCTGCAATTATATAAAACAATGTTAGATAATAAATGTCTTTACAAAAAAAAGTCTGTAATGCTAAATCATCTGAGACTTACTACATGTATTTTAGCCTATCCAGTTTACAGTGACTTTTATTCCACAATGAGAATAGACTGAAATACTCCTAATTCTTATAAAAGGTAGTCTTCTTTTTTTTTTTTTTTTTTTTTTTTTGAGACAGGGACTGGCTCTGACACTGAGGCTGGAGTGCAGTGGCACCATCTCAGCTCACTGCAACCTCTGCCTCCTGGACTCTATGCCATCCTACCACCTCAGCCTCCCAAGTAGCTGGGACTACAGGCACGCCTAGCTAATTTTGTATATTTTGTAGAGACAGGATCTCACTATATTACCCAGGCTGGTCTCCAACTCCTGAGCTCAGGCAATCTGCCCACCTCGTCCTCCCAAAGTGCTGGGATGACAGACGTGAGCCACTGTGCCTGGCCGATGTAAGAGGTAGTCTTTATAGGTATAATACAAATAAGGAAAGTCACACTGGGGAGGAGGAGTGGAAATTTTGTCAACTGGCCTTTAATAATAATTATTTTCGAACGGTTTCAGATACAAAAGTGAGATGTAAAACAGATAAATTAACACTATAACATAATTAAATTAACACTATAACTTTAACACCGTAACTCATGATTACGCAAAAAAAAAATCCTAGACGATATCCATGTATGAATTCTGAAATGTATGAGTAATAGCAGTAGACACTAGTTTGTACCAATATAATTTTTCAAAATGATAGTTTTAATAATTCAATGTATTAGAGGCATCATTTCCTTAATCATTTATCATAACGTGATGACTTATTAATTCTGTTAAAAGCTTTTTTAAAAGAAGATTACCACAAGTCAAGATTCTGAAAGCTTTGCAACAAAAAAAATCAGACATAACGTTGCAATTAAATGAAGAACAAGCTCATTGAAGATTACTGATCACATATATTACATGCTATTTAATAATCTAAATCTTATATTGCCTTTTAACAGGTCGATGAGGTTACTATTAGAATGTAAAATGTTTAACATGAAAAACAAAAATATAAACAGGAATATGAAAGTAAGAATATAGTGTTTCAATATCATTTATGAATGAAAAGGAAAAATGTTCTCATGAAAGACAATAAGAAACTCTAAATTTAATGAGTTTAGTTTATCTCTAATAAATTCCACTTCTGAAACTACATATTAAGGAAATACATACAGAAATAGAGGAGAAAACTACATGCCAACCATAAAAAGTATCTACTGTAGTTGTTAACAGGTATGATTGGAAGAAATACTAAAGGAATGATTAAAATGTGGTAAACAACTTGATAGAATATGAGGCAGTCATTAAAAATGTTAACTAAGATTACTCTGAAATAATCTGGAAGAATGCCTAAAATACTAATATAATTTACAGTTTATTATTTGTTTCAGAGTGGTAGGTCTATAGTTTTTTGTTCTCTTGTCAAAAAAATCTTATTAAAATAAAAAGGAGATGAATCATAAACAAATAATAAGTATAGATAGATGTGGCTACATGCTTTCAAAAAGATTTGCACATGGTTGGGAAATATTTTTTAAAATTGAATGTTACATTACATTTTCCAAACCACATTAAATCTTTCATGCTTTCCAAAACACATTGGGAATGTAAAATTTTCATCACAAACTCTTTTGAAGGTTAGTTTGAGGAAGAAAGTTCCTTGTAAAGATGGCAATTCAAATAGACTTACAAGAGAAGCCCTATCAGAAAAGGTTTCTTTACTGTTGAGTGCTTTTCAGAATGACATTTTCTATGGCTTTGTTTATGGATAGCTGCAGTTCTCCAGGCCTACATTGCTCAGAATTTTTGTTTTATTTTTACTACTATTATAGCACATTCTAATTTTTCCAAGAAGTTACAGACATCTAGTACAGCAAGACAGGCAATCATCAAACACTGCAAGCTGAAACAATTTTGGATACTAAATACTGGAGTCAACACAGGGATCCTTCCAAGTATAAGGCTTCAAATATGCCCACCTGTATTTTTTCCTCTTAATACAGTGATGGTTATGAATGAAACACCTAAGCTCGCAATCACTATGCAACTTTTATACCTATTTATTTTATTGCCAAGAAATCCCGTTTACTTATTTAGGCATAGGAAAGGTGTAGCTAGGTTATTTCATGTGAAACTTTCTTACGAAAATTTCAATAATAAAATTATAAAACCTTTATTTTTGTCAGCTTTCTACTTGAAAAGTAGTATATATTCTCAGCTATGGGTTTAGTTTAGTGATTAAGGCAGTACATTTGCTCTAAGTCCACCAGCAAATTTGCTATAAATAAACAATTCATTAGACAGATACTGGCTAATATTATGAGCGTTAATTAATGTGTTAGCCTCTCATGATAATCATTCATAATTTTATTAAAGCAGGTGAAAATCTATAGCTAGTTTAGTAACTGGATGACTATAACAGACATGCAAAATATTGAACACCAGTGCCTTTTTTATATTGATAAAAAAAAGACTAGAGCAATGCACCAACTTACTTTTTATAAAAATCAAGAACAATTTACTACCATTAGTTACTATTTACTAAGGGCTTACTATTACCAAGCCTGGGCTAAGTTCTTTTGTGTATTATTTCATGTAATCCTCACTGTAACCCTAATCAGGAGGCATTATCATTATCATCATTTTAAAGATGAGGAAACTGAGGCCCAGACAAATAAAGTAAATGATCGAGGTCGTACTGCTTGGATATGATCCCAGGCAGTCTGTCTTGAGTCTCCGTTGCTTCGTCACTACTGAATACACCACACAGCACTCCGTTGCTTCATCACTACCGAATACCCCACACAGCACACTACACTTGAGCAAGAGACAATGCTGGGATGAGGAGACAATCAGGCAGTGTAAGACAAAGACCTTGGCTTCAGCTCAGGGTCCAGCTCAAGAGATAAGACACTTGTTTATAAAATAATAGGAGGCAGTACAGTAAGATCTATAGAAATGCAAATTATAACTGCTAATTATAAGTTTAGAGAAAGGACCGATTATGAGTCTGAATACCATACGTCCAAAATGTGGCCCACCAGGCACTGGGGTACAGGACACCTGAGCACTTTTCACAGAAATCTATGTTTACTTATATAGCTAGCACTCAAGAACCGGTAGGGCTGACCCTTCACAATATAAAATGGAAACTTAAAAAAACATTACTCTGGCTACCAATACAGTGGTTGCCATTAGGAGGATACTATGGAGAAAACATTTAAAATGATTTTGTTCTTTTCAACAAGGACAACCAGCATGTTTATCTTTAGTGGAATTGCTTATAATGTACCAGATACAGTTTCAATGTCTGACAATGTGGGCTAAGTTAATGTAAAGTTTGGCTTATCTGTAAAATGGCACAATACACAATATTCTAAAAGCCCCTTAAAAACAAATAATATTTAATGACCTGGAAAGTCCATGATTTGATATTAAGAGAAAATATCAGATTCTGACATGTCATATACAGTATGGTGTCTATTTGTGCATGTGTGTATTATTGAAAAGAACTGATCAAGAGCTACAAGCCAATATATTATAGCTGAGTGACACTATTCCCTTTGTAAGGAAATTTTATTCATGTGTGTCCCTTTAATGACGACCACATTATGAAATATTTCAAAGAATCAGAATCAGAGTAAGAAATTTGGTTGATTTTAGTGTAGTAAGATTGCTAGGTTGTAGAAATATGGTAAAAAAAAAAAAAAAAAAAAACTGAATTGTGTCTGCCACGTAAGAACATTTTGGAATTAAGAGCTCTGACAGAATCACAAAACTCTATCTGAATAATGACCTAATCTGCATGGAAAGAAAAACCAGGAACACAGGCAAAGTGTTGAAGGACATGAAGACTAATCTAGACATAGAAAATGCATTCAATAACTGGTACCCTTTCTAGTCTACCTTAATACTATTTATTTTTCTACCATTTATTAGTTTACTATTTTTAAAGGGATTTGTATTAGATAGTTGTTAAAGCCTATATATGAGTCGGAAATCCTAATCACACTCTTTTAACAACACTATTCTTAAAATTTTGTGTATGAAAGCATTAAATATATAATAACCCACATGGGAAGAATTATTTTTATTCTCCTACCTCTGATCAGCATTTTAAAAAGAGATGTAAGTATTTACTTTCACTTAGGATATGTTAATTTCTAAAAAAAGAATGACTGGGTTAAAAAGTATAAATATTTTTTGATCCAATCACTCATACACATACTGTACACACTATTATATTCTAATAGTTTCTCATTTAAGACTCAAAAACTTTCCATGTCATTAAATATCATCTGGAAATGCAATTTCTATGATATTATATAGTGTTACATTATATGAATAAAACAATTTACTGAGACCACTTTTTCTATATTGAAATAATATTTAATATGTTTATAATATATAAATATATTTGCACATATTTTGATAATTTAGAAAAAAACTTCTAGAAATGGAATTACTGGGTTGAAGAAAACATGTTTTTAAGAATTTTAAATTATACTTCTAAAATTTCCCTTCAGAAAGGCACTCCCAATTTAGTTTCACCAACAGTGAGAAGAAGGCCTGCCTTCTAGCATCCTCACCAACTCTTGGTAAAACAATTAAAAAAACACACCACCTAAAAACATCTTTACCCATTAAATTCCTCACCACCTCACACAGACTTGGCCTTCTCACTGATTTTAAAAAAGAAACACACACAAAAAAATTGTTAGGACAGTCTAAGTAAACTTGAAGTTTTAATGAAAAATATAAACTGACAAATAACCAAAAAGATTTCAATGTCAAATGGAAACTAAACACTATAGCTTTTACTTTATGAAAAAATCTAAAGATTTAATAAAGTGTTGATTTTAGAGGAGGCAATTATCACATGCAAATATCTTTATGAACAGACTAAAACCATACATGTCCATCTTTGTCATCTTCACTATAATTAATTGCTAACATTGGGAGGCAAGCTGAAGTTCTTGTTCTGCTAACCTTATAAATAAGATGATTTAAAAAAAAACCTGCCATAAAAATGTATTTTGAGGTCAGAGATTCACTAAAAGTTTTGAAATGTACATACCAAAGAAACAAATAAGTACAGGATTCAAACGGCCAAAGTCTCAGCCGTGCTTTATGGCAAGAAATTTCCTGAAACATCAGTATGTCCCACACAAGCCAAATGTCAGTCTGAGCAAACTGGAAATGAATGGAAAGCACATCTAGGCTTTGTTTTGCTAATAGAAAGAAAAAAGTCTAAAAAAAGGTATGTATAATTACTTAGCTTTTCCTTAGAAGGATGCCTGTTACTCAAAACTCAAATGAATAAGTCACACTTCATTTTTATGTCATCTCTGGGAAATAAGATGTTGCATACAAATGAATTTTCTAGATTAATGAAGTAATTTTCTTGTTTGCATACCCAAATATTAATGAAATTGAAACCAGTTTTGATGGAAATATTTCTAAAATTTCTCGTATTTCTGAGCCTTCAAAACAATTTACTGAATATTATTTCATCTCTTTCCCAATGAATGACTCAGTGTACTTGCTGTCACATTAGATTGCTCAAACTCCTTAGCTTCTTAAAATCAATCACCTTTACATTTTCTTTGTTTTGTTTGATGCCAATGTTCTCTTCCTCTCTATCTTCGTCTCTAATCCCCAACTTACTATTTTTAATTTCTTTTGTCATTATTTAAAAGGAAAATTAAAAATGCCTGAAGAAAACAAAATCCAAACAACTTATTTGATGAAACACAACTATTGACAGAGCACTTTTTGGTGGCTCTCAACTTGTATTCCAAGCTCTTTTCTTTGCTACTCAAATGCCTTTACTTTTCCTGAGTTGCTGGCCATGAATTTGAAAAAGATTTCAATTGCAGAGCACAGGTATTACTGAATTGCAATGTTGAAATCTAAAAATTCCAATAGGTTACGTAGGAAGACTATGAAAAAACAGTAATTCCATATTTGAATAAAAATTTATTTTTGGAAAACAAAACGATGTTCTTTATACACATTTAGAGTACAAAATCAACACTCTATTGCTTCTACAATACAATGCTAAAAAACCTCAATATTAAGTGTTTCTCAAAGTGCAGTTCAGGGTTCATCTGCATCAAAATCTTCTGCAGTCCTTAATTATAAATGCAGATCCCTGGGTCTCACTTCTGACCCAAAGTAGAATATCCGGGAGTGGAGACAAGCATCTGCATTTTCAATCAGCTCCCCAGGTGATTCTTTATACACGGTAAAATTTGAGAACTACCAACCTAATATCTAAAATCAGTAATATGCTTGCTAAACTAATAATAAACACATTTTCATTCATAACAAAATAGCTATATTAGTTCCAAAGAAATTTTATAATTAAAATATTGGTTACCAAAATTATTCAAAGATTTCAACTTAACAACATCTGTATAATACCCAGATAAAGAAAAAGATTAAAATAAAATATTTCATTAGAACAAATAAACTACATAAGAAGCAAAGAGAATACTATATAAAATTTCTAAATGTTTTACCTATTCAAATATGAACAGCTCTATATAGTATGAAGCTTCATGCCTACACTAGAACAGACATCTCATCATATATTTATTAGGCTAATTTTTAAGATAATTTTTATATGCATCGTTATATACTGTTGTCTTTTATTCAGAATAAAAGAAAAAATAGTGCTATGCTTTGGCCATTTAGACAGACTCAAAAAACATTTTTAAAACAAAAAGTCAACATCCTGCTTGTAATATTGTACTATACAGTTCTGCAACGTTACCAGTGTGGGAAAGTAGGTAAAGGCTACATGCAATCTCTCTATATTATTTCTTACAACTGCATGTGAATCTATGAAGATCTCTAAATAAAGAGTTTAACTTAAAAAAAAAAAAACACCGAGGGCAATTAATTTATCCATGTCTAGTCAAAAAACTACTACCTTAAAAGGCACACTTTCTGCTATTAAAGTTAAATAGCAGTGCTGTTTTTTAGCTTACTCAGCTAATTACTTTTGAAATCCTCTCCAAGAGTGTGTTACACCACACATATTCTTTGGGAACAAGTTTGATCTCCTTTTATGTGCTTGCTGTCCCTTTTTGGAGGTGAAAACATCTGTGTCCCACATACAAAGCAAAATTAGGCATCTTACAGAGTTATTCTGTGCTCTGAAACACTATCTGACAAAGGCGGATGCTTTTCATCTCCCAATGTGAACAACCATTAAAATACTTGTAAGAACTCAGTTAATTTTTTCCAGAAAACAAACATTTTCTAACATATATGTTGTTTACTGGATTTCTTGATGATTGAAAAAAAAGCTGATAGAAAAGATAACTTTGTATTTTTTATCTCTTCACATTCTTTAAGAATACTTTTTAACAAGCATGTATGCATATGATTAATAATATTCCTAAAGGTCATGAGTACAAGTAGATAAAACCTAAAAATATATGTTCTCTAAAGATCTATATATAATCAACTACAAAGAATCATTCCTTTTTCCTTCAGGCATTAACATTTGTTGAATTTGAGGGCATCATGGAGTCTACCTTATGAAGCCTTTAAAGTATAAGTAACTAAAAAATATTACTAACATTTACAGTATGAAAAGGAATTATTTAACACCAAAGCAAAGAAGAACCAAAAGAGTTCAGAAACACTGACTCAAATAACCATTACGAATACCAGGGTTCCTCTTAGTAAAAGTCATCCATCATCTATTATATTAAACAAATTTTAAAAAAAGAAAAGACTTCCATATGAAAACATATAATCTCACTTATGCCCTATAAAGTAAGACAAGCTGACTAAAATCTCACTAATTAAGACTACACTGAAACTCATAAAAATCTGAATTAAACACTATTTTAAAGAAAATTTCTTATCTGCAATTATGATAAAATCTCATGAATTTAGATATTATTAGTCATTTTTTTCATCATCCAGACTGAAATCTGGATGAAAGTGATTAACATCTAGCAAACTCTTTTATTCCATGTAGTGCCATTTCATAGTTTTAATAACATGTGGTGTTGGTAGTGATGGCAGGCATTTTAAATGCTTGATAACCAACTGTTTAAGTACCTTTAAGTATATTTATTAAATGTTTTATATTACACTGAGTATAATTACAAATCATGTTTGTTAATTAATTTATAACACTATTAGCTACTATGGGTCATGCAAAAATAGACATAATACCCACAACTCAGATTACTTTTAACAAGAAACTCTTCAAAAACTTAATTATCCTAATTTAATTTAAAAATTAATAGTATTATATTTCTTCAAAACTATTTCATAATTTGAACTTTTTACAAATCCAGTTAGTCCAAATTGGTGTAATAAAGATTAATGGATAACCAGGTTCTCTCAAAGCTTCCTTTATTGTATGACTCATGAAAACATTTTATAACAATTTTCATGTTTAGATGTAAATAGGTACTTCTTCAATACTTTTGATTATTAAAGAAAATACAATCACAGTTGACTTATTTTTAATAAACTTGGCTTATTTTTAATACATTTGAGGGAAATTTTAGGGAATTTTATCAAATCAACATTAAGCCAAGATTTACCTGGTTCCTTTGTAAAGAACTTCACAAACACCACACATTTCTAAACAAGCTGTAAGTGTTACCATGTTACAAGCTTTTAAGTTAAAAATCTCAACAAAATTTCCAAATTGATTGAGTTGTACTGTTTCTTTTAGAAAATAAATCTAAAATGAACTGAAAATAAGAATGGTTAAAGTTCTAATTACATAGCTCTTTCAACATTATTAGATTATTAATAAATTTCTGTAGTCATATTGCATAATTTTTCCTTAATATTTAATTATTTTTAAACAGAAAATAAGTATTTGAAGCTATAATTTTGCATCAGAATAAACATAGGAAAAGTAAAAAATAAGCAGGGGTATTCTTTGAAACAGACATTTCATAATGCTACAAACATGTCTTTTTTCTTCTTCTCAAATAATTTAACAGGTTAGAGGTTAAACTATGAATATATCCTCTGGAAAATTTAACACTTCATAAAAATATTCTAAGGTAGAACAATATATTTGTAAGACTGAATAAAATATATAAAATTTAATTTTTTAAGATTAGGAAAATATTATGGATAAAAAATTTAAAAATACAAATTATTATGCTCACACACAGCCACCACCATTCGGTAAAGGGCTTATAAATGCAAAGTGATATAAAGCAGAAAATCAAGGGAAGAAATATTTAGTAATACAAGGATCATACCTTCGTGCTGTCTCAATTGAGATATCAGTAGTTTTACTTCAGATAAAACTTTTCTAAGTGATAGATTTGACCATCGACACGGATTCTCCGTCAGAATTTAAAACAACAAAATTACAGAACCTGGTATCATATACGTATGTTAGGCACAAGTGATCACACAGCTGTGGAAAGCTACATCTCAAATATCAAAAATTCCTGATATAATAAAATGGTGTAAACTTAAACCATCCATTTCTAATCCAATTACTTTATCTCCTCACCTCATCTGCAATGATTTCATGATGTTTGGATGAAGAATGAGGTGGCATTTGGTTCATGATTAAAACTCTAACATAGGATATAAGAATATTATGAAAAATAAACCCAAACAAAAGCAAATGAAAGTATTTTTAAAGGAAGATATATATGACAACAATGTACATATTTAAAGAAACTTCTAGTAAGTAGGAAATCATCCCATAAACAACCTACTTTTGCATCACTTTATAATTTAATTTCCCAGTTTTTTTAGTCAGAAGATCTCCTAAGTGAAAAGGACTTTGTACAAAGCTACTGATTTAGGCTTCAGAATCTCCTACACAATTCCTTTCCAGGCATGTGTATGTCAGTACCCCAACGTTCTTTCTTACAGTGACTGTCTCAGTCTCATGAAACTCCTTTGAATTTGCTATTATTACATGGCAACAATACAGGCTGCAGGAGAATGATTTATTTGAAGGGGAAAATGTGTCCTGTAATATTTTCTAATACTGTTTTCTAAATTATTGTCATCAGAACATTTAAAATGAAATGTTTTATTTCTTGACCTGCTCTATGTGCTTCACCCAGTGTATTTTATGGCATAATGTGACCATCCAGTCATATTCAGTTATCTAAAACTATTTCACTACAAAAAGCCAGGACTGGAATGAATGAGAGAAAATTCATTTCTTATAGAAAAATAAATAAAAAATAAAAAAATAAGCTAGAGTACTGATACTCATATATGAAAAATTAGTATTTTGATCTATATTTTCATATATACTGCCTTCTAGCATGCCTTCTCACTTAACTTTATAAACATCATGTGTATTAAAAAAATATGTATATATACAGATAGAACTACCTCATCATCTGTTGTAGCGTATTGTCTTCAATGAATGCATCCAAATATATTTAAACAATCTCCTTTTGGCTTTTCTTAACCTGCTTTCTGATTATTCTTCTAAATTACAGTAACTGCTTAGGAAAGCCCTTTGACTTCCTCTTCAATAAGCTGCCCTTTTATGATGTCTACAAATCAATGAGCTGGTCATTCATTTAAATAACTTAAATATATCCAAATTACACTTCACAATAAAAATTCAATCTTTTACATGTGAAGAATTTTACTAAGCCACTATGACATGCTGCTAGGAATAGTGGTGAACTAGGTGCCTTATCCTGGGAAGCTAATACTTAGTGAAGGCACAACCAAAGACCTACTTTGTGATGGTTTTTCACACAGACTAAATCATGGGTTTTCAAACAGTGTTTGAAGAATCACAGGTCCTGGGAAGGTTCTTGAAAGGGCTCTACAGGAGATGACGAGACTATTTAGTGAAGAAGAGCAAAGGAGAAGAAAAAGGTGGGGAACAGAAAAATCAGGAGGAAACAAAAGCAAAGGAGAGACAACAAACCACAAAGATGAAGACGACAATGAGGAAGATGGCCATGGAAATGCATATGATGAAGACAATCAGGCTGGCAAAGAAAACAGCCAAGAAACAAAGACAGTGGTGAAGAACGTAACAAAAAAGAAAATTTAAAAATTAACAGATTTACTTTAACTCTTAGAAAAAAAATCCTATAAGGGTAGATGGTACAGGCCTCAGTTTACATATGAAAGAGCTGAGTTTAAATAGATGATGGAATTACATAAGCCAAACACCTAATAAGTAGAGCTAGAATTTGATTCTAGGCCTGTTTCAAACTTTGACCTTAAGCAATACATTATTATATGTATTATTTGTAATACCTATTACAAGTAACTCTATCAGAAGTCCCGGGGAATTTTTAATTGCCTATGAAATTGCACATCAGAGGCAGTGATGGGCTTCAAATCTTGTAATCATTGATAGACATTACTCAGATTTTATCTTAAAGAGGTGAAATTACCTAAGAACAACACATATCCAGTGCCTTTAGTTGTAAAAAATATGCACAAAAATGGGAGGAATATTTTCCTAGAAAGGGAGGAATTATTCTGAGGGAGGCAGAATACAATCACCTCTAAGATAATTACTTCCCCAGTGTAATGTAATTGGGAGCAGAAACTCCTCACTTATGTCCAAAGGATTTTTACATTCTTAATTTTTGTTGAAACTCCAGGCTGGCACTGGGTGGCTTCAGCACCTTCACTACATTCTCCCAGGAAGAGAAGAAAGGAAAGAATATACACAGGGCTCATAGGTATATCCACCTGGGATTAAGAAGCCTCATGAACTAATTTATGTGGATTTCTTAGTATTGTGACCGTAGAGTTTCCTAGACAGGCTGATGCACAGGCTGAAGAAAAGAAATGGGCTTGCAATCTGATTCCTCAATAGGTAAAAACAAAACCACCAACCCTATATAACCCTACTGTACCCAGAGAGTCCTCCTATCCTTTTCTAGCATAGCTCTGCTAAAGTTGGTTTTTCAAGGTAAAGAGGTCTGTTTTTGTTAGGCACAAACAGCCTGCATCTTCACGTCTTTTGCTAAAGGAACACATGGTTTACAATGCTTACAGCACAATGAAAAAAATAATTATGGGGAGTTTTCTCAAGGGGCCTTAATGAAACAGTCAAAGCAAAGAAAAATACAGAAGGCTGAAAGAGTTGATTTATCCATATAAGCCTAAATAAAAATAGCTCTGCTACAGAAGAATCAGATCCTGGTAAAGATTACAAAAGACATAAATACTACGGGAAGTTTTAACTGATTCAGACAGAATGTGTCTAACTAGAAATCAAACAAGGGAGTTTAGGGAGGACAAACTGAGAACTTGAGTAAATAGTTCTTAGTGGCAAGGGACTCATGAGCTGAGGAAAGGTTACATTATTTATACACATTTATTATATTACATTATTTATATACATTTACATATTTATATATTTTGAAATATAAAGTGTTATTTCAGTAAAGAGAATAAATTTCATTTCTGTGAACTAAAATTTAAACACAATATATCTAGCAGTACCTGAAATCTAAAAAGGAAGATTTTTTTTTACTAATGCAAAACCAGTGTTTAAAAAAAAAAAAAAAAATAGGCCGGGCACAGTGGCTCACGCCTGTAATCCCAGCACTTTGGGAGGCCAAGGCGGGCCAACCACCTCAGGTCGGAAGTTCAAGACCAGCCTGGCCAATATGGTGAAACCCTTGTCTCTACTAAAAATACAAAAATTAGCCCAGTGTGTGACGCTTGCCTGTAATACCAGGTACTGGGGGGCTGAGGCATGAGAATCACTTGAACCCAGGAGGCAGAGGTTGCAGTGGGCCGAGATCGCGCCACTGCACTCTCGCCTGGGCGCGACAGAGCAAGACTCTGTCTCAAAAAAAATAAATAAAATAAATGTAGAAATACAGATTTTTGAAACGTGCCTTGAGATATGCTCTTCTTAAAGTTGACCGCCTTTGTTTAGGTTCTATAGTCCTGCTGTAACTCAGTCCAGCTGTACAATCATAAATCCATCCATAATGTACTTAAGTTCTCCTTCTTAAGCACCCTGCTCCCTTCTTCCAGTGTCCTTTTTATTTAATTATCTAAATATTTTTGGTGAAAGCATTTTTATGAGGATTCATGTGTGTAAAAAACCTATGGAATCCCTACTATATGCACACCCTATCAGGAGAATTCTGGATAATTTGCACCCTAAGCTACTAAATGTTAATTGTTTATTATGACTAAATGAATATTTGAGAATAGTTACTTTCTGTCTGGAAATATAAAATAGAATAAAAAGAACACAGGTAATATAATTAAGTCATAACTGAATGAAATACATATCTGATATTTAGTATTTTTTATTGATGGCTTCAGGGAGAGCTTCTTGTCAAATAAGCATTGTTTCTAATGTTCACAGCTAACATTTTAATCTCATAAGTATACGACAAACTAAAAAAAAACTGCTGCTGAAAATGCAAATGCTCAAAATTGCATCATTAAAATAGATTAATATGAAATAATAAAGTAGATACAAATGAAATAATTATATAATCCTTTCATGTATAAGCTTTTGGAGGTTCATTTTTCACATCTTTTTCTTTTACTAAGAATTCAGTTCAGTGAAATTTTCTTATTAGTATTAGAGGTACTAAAAGGAGTAAAATTAAACATAAAACGTCTAGACTTAAAAAAAAAGATAAATCAGATTTATATGCAGCATCTGCAACAAATTTGAGGTACTGGCTAGGCAGGCCTTCTAAGTTCAATGCTGTAATTTAAAAACCACACACACACACACACACACACACACACACACACACATACACACACTCTTAAAGATTCAAATTACTATTAAAAATGCAACTTTTGAAAAAAATTAAAAACACTTCTAAAGGTGGTGCTAACTTTGATGTGGCCAAGTACTATTTTGGTACTTGAGGGCAAAATAATAGCTTCTCAGTAGCATGTAATTAATAAAAGGACATCTAAGTAGGCAAAGAATATTACTTTTAATTTTTAAATACAAAAAGACAGAGTAACAATATTAATATTTTAAACACAAGGCCAATGCATACATTCTCAATGCAGCACATTCACACACGTATATAATTTTTATTTAATAGAAATCACTAGTGCAATATTGATTCTTTGCTTTGATCTACATGAATATTATAAATAGAATGCATTAACTGCACTTGAATTTTTGTATGTGATTTAAAAAATTCCTATAGGTACAAAATATTTAAACTGACTGGCTTATTTTTATTTATAATC